>NC_000023.11:151748333-152051363 GCF_000001405.40 Homo sapiens
AGCTATTTCCCAAAATAATGAAAAAGGTGATTTTGCTACTTCAGTTCATTAAAAACGGGATTCTATCTTTAAGGTTCAGAAAAAGCTGCATTTAGATGAACTATGGTTACCCGCTCCCCCCACCCCCCAAAAAAAAGAGAGCACAGAGTGTCTAAGCAAAGCAAAGGAAGTCATTTTGAAAATAAAGAGAGAAAAGCTATTATAATTGGTTAAGGATTTCCAGTAGTAAGTGAAAATCTCAGGAGAGGAATGGATAGCACTACAAACAATGTGTTCACATTCCAAGTCCTTAACACTAACTTTCTCTGTTCTGGATCTGGGCAAGCAGCACTCTGTTAGATCTTTGCGTGGCTCCTAATTTTATAGAAGTGGATGGATGCACTATTTCACAAGGTCTAAGAGTTTTTTTCAGATATTTTTGATGACTGTACTGTAGTAAATACTATAGGGATAGCACTATAGTATTGTAGTCATGAGACTAAAGTGGAAAAAAGACTATTTTTGACAAAAGATGCCATTAAATTTCAGACTATAGAGCCACATTTACAATATCTCAGGCTAATTACTGTTAATTTTGGGGTTGAACTTTTTTTTTTTTTTGACAACAGCGAGGGTGGACTATTGGATTGTCATTAGAGGAAGGTCTAGATTTCCTGCTCTTAATAAAATTACATTGAATTCATTTTTAGAGGTGATGAAAACTTCCTTTTTGAGAAGTTAGTGTTCAGGTCTTGGAATGCTTTCAGGTATTTTCTCATGCTGTTCCCTCTGCCTGGATTACCCTTTTCTGCCACTTTTTCTTCTGAGATGAAATTCACAGGCCCCTTCTCCGAGTCCTGCCACAGCTTTCTATGTGAGACTCCCTTGCACACTGGTCTGCAAGTGTCTGTTTAGCAATAATATATTCTCATCTAAAGACAGTTTGTTCATTGAGAAAAGGATGAAGGAACAACAGAAGGAATATCTGTGCAGCTTGTCGTGTGTGTGTGTGTGTGTGTGTGTGTGTGTGTGTGTGTTTGTGCGCGTGTGCCTGTGTGAGGATCTGGATGTCAGCCTAGGCAGTGTCTGTCTCTGGCCAGCCCCTCACCCACCCTCTCTCCGGTTGTTTTCTCTGTAAGAGCGTGACTCTCCTGTCTGTTGCTGGCCGCCGCCCCCGCCTCTCTCCTATAACTGGCTGTAATATAGGAACTGAAGTACGTTTTCCATTATGTGTTGGATTTATTCAGCACAGCCTGATGTTTCCTGCTCTTGATTTTAAAATGTTTAAATTGGAATGTTTTTTATTTTCATTTGAAAATACCCATTGAAGGTAAATTGCTCTATTTGCATATGGCCATCAATTGCTTTTCTCTGCATTGGTGACCTTCTATACAAAACAAAAGTCCCCTCTCCTGCGCACCACACTCCTTCTTCTTTTGGTGTGACCTGTGGTGGTCCTTGCCTGGCCAGCCCAGCCTGAGTCCAAGCCTCAGAAGCATCTATTCCTTGGTCTGGAGCTTAAAGTTAGTCTGACCATTTATCCCCTCCCTTCGGTGAATCCGAGGCAGAGGGTCTCTGTCTTCTGTTTAGCCTGGAAACAAGGAAGCCCCCAGTGCACAGAGATGGGGAACCCTACCACCAGAGGGCGCATGAACCTCAGGAAAGGGTGGTGGGCTCCACTCTGCGAACCCTCCACCCAGCAGAGGACTGAGCAGGGCCGGTTGAGGCAGTTAGGTGGCTGCCCCCCGGGGCCTTGCAGAGCTATTGGACAAGGTCTCTTTCCCATTGTGCCCCACTGTGGTCCCTTTGAAGGCCCTCAGAGGTTCCTGGGTGTCAAGGCCAATGCCCAGTACAAGTTTCTTCATGCTAGGTACCCAGACTCTGCTGGAGACTGGGGAAGGAGAGAATGTCAGGGTGGAATTACAGGGAGACTTGAGCACTATGGTTGTCATTACTTATTGTATTCAGAAAAAAAAAAAAATACTAGAAGTCTAAAAAACCCTTGATGTTATGGATAAGATTGGTTAGCATGGAGCTAATGTCAGCCTACTTAAAATTGACATAAATAAAATTATTATATAAATAATTGTTCCAGTGTCACATGAAGGTAGTACACAGATGATTGTGTACATTTAGCCAAATACCTACTTGATGCCACCATGGTATTTGAAAAGTAACACCACCATAACTCACCCTTTGGTGTTTCCTAGAGAACCTGCTCATCTTCCCATGTTGGTCATGGCACGTCTGTCCTTCAGGTTGCTCAGGCCAAAGCTCCTGATGTAATCCTGGATCCTTCTCTTTTCTTCATCCACTGCATCCAATCAGCCAGAAAATACCCTGTCTGCATAACTTTTCAAAGTCCAGTTAGAATCCATGCACCTCTCCCACCTCCGCCACTCCCGCCCTCGTGCAGGGCTCTCTCCTGGATGACTGCAGTCGCCTCCAGACTGGTGTCCCTGTTTCCACCTTTGCTCCCTCCCCTCCAACCCACTCTCCATCTAGCCAGCAGAGTAGTCAAAAGCAATGAAAGTCATGTCTCATTCTGCTTACATTCTTTTGGGGTCTTCCATTACTCTTATAATAAAATTCAAACTCATGGCTTGGTCTCCAGGTCCTGTTGCACAGCGCCCGCCAGCATCCTTGGCCTCACCTGCTTTCTCTCCTGGCCTCTTCTGGAGTCAGGTCCTCCAGTCTCCTCTGAGTTCCTCAGACACACCCAGCTTCTCTGTCCCTTGGCAGCCTTGCGCTTGCTGTCTTTATGTGTTGCTCTCTTTTCCTCTGGAACTTCTGTGACTGGCTTCTTGTCCTCAGGACTCCACAATGAAAAGAGCCCCCAGCCTCCCAGTCATGCTGATCTCGGCACCCTGTGAGGTTTTCCTAACAGCACTTAGCACCCTCCACAATCTTCTTGTTCATTGGTTTCCTTGTTTATTGCTTGTTTCCCCAATTAGAATGTCAGCTCCCTGAGATAGACCTTTGTGCTGGCCCCCACTACATCTGTAGCACCTAGAGCAGCTACTGGTACCTCAGTGTTCTGTACATGCCCAATACTGGGAACTTCTTAGGGGCTGGCCTCCTCTTTTTTCTCTAATGGACTAAACCCCATATCCTTAGCTGCTTCTCTCTGCCCATCCTCATAGCCCTGCAGGTTTTGCTCACACAAAACTCCTTGGTATTCCGTAACCCAACTGGAGCTGTCCCACGAGAAACTCGGCTTACACCTACTTCTATCCCTACATCTGTCTGCAACATTCCTCTAATCCTTCAAAGTCACCTCTAATGTCACCTCCCTCCCAAAGCCTTCTTTGATCCCCTATAAACAAGTGTGACTCAGCTATCATCTGTATTTGTGGCTTTCCCCCTTCCTTGCTCCTGGAGGATGGGGCTGTGTGAGATTCATGCTACCCTCCTATAGCCAAAGCTACTTGCAAGAGGGTATGTGTGTGGAGGAGGAGAGTGGGTGTGGACTTGGTCCCCAGGGAGCTCTGCTGAGGTAGAGCTCCCCAGTTGAACAGGGAGCTGGGGTAGGCAGGCATGGGGTACCAGCTGGCCCCAGCAGGAGGAGTGGTGTGCCATACTGGCTGTGGGTTCAGTGGCAGGTCAACTTCCCCCTGGCAGAGACTGAGCTGCCAAGAACTAAGTGATTTTGCTTCTCTCTGAGGCAGACATTTCCCTGGAAGGACAATCTAGCCCTGATTTAGGACCTGAAACCAAGCCAGTTACAGTTAGCCTGACGGGGAGGGTGATGAAGATGCCTTTCTAGATAAAATGTTTGCTAAGCCCAGGTCCAAAAGGGACTCAATGCTGTGGCTGGGACCAAGGCCACGCTTAGAGAGGGCCCGTAGGAACACTGGCCTGGGAGCCCTGTAACCTAAGCTTGGTCCTGTTCCACTCCCATTTTCTGGGGACTTGGACTATTCTATTCCTGGAAATCTGGAACATAGCACAGTAGGGTAGCTGGGGAAGAGGACAGTATCCAATAGAGCCTCTTTCCTTGGCTTCCCTAGGCTTGAGGAAGACCCTGCTCTTTCCCAGCACTGCCAGCCTAACTGCATATTCACATGACTCAAACTGGGCAGTGCTAAGGGGGCCTCAGCAAGCTTCTGTCTTGTCTTCTTTGGACAGATTTGTCCCTGGAACGTGATATTTGCCCAGGGTCTTGAAAGATGCAGAGGAGCTCGATGGGCAAGCAGGATGAGATGCCAGGTCCCACAAGCCAAGTGAGCAAGAGTGTTGAAGAGCAAGACCAATGGCCTCAGTCTGTGGCCAGGAGGGGGTTCAGTGGAGCATGAACCTAACTCTCTCCTGGGCTCTACAGATCCTGGAGTTAAAGTGATCTCAGTGGTGAACTGAACAAATTTCTTTCCCTTTTGGGTTCAGTTTCCCACTTATTTTAAGAAAGGAAGTTCGCAGGCCGTTTGCAGCCCTCCTGGGGAGTCAGAGGATAGATTCGTCTTACCTCAGCTTGTACACTTGCATCATTCAAGTTTGTCTAAGCTCAAACTTCCAGCCAGGACTTTGGAGTTGCCAGTTTCTACGGATCAATGTTTTTAATTAGATTGGGTTTCTTGTTTCTCCTTTATTGAATCGGGTAAGCAAATTAAATTGGGCAATTTGTTGTTAGGTCATTTAAGTGCCAACTGGGTTTCATAACCTGGGTTTGTGCCATATCCAAGTGCCTCCAACTTCTTCCTGGAGTGGTGGAATCAGAGGCCAGCTGGAGGTGTAGGCATCCTAGGGAACCGTAGGCGTGGGTCTCTGGCTCTTGAGGGTCTGAGTCCCTGGGGCATAGACCCACTCTCTTTGTTGGTCTAGAAAGGCAAGGTGGATGGTCACAGGGGCTCAGGACTGAAGCTGGATGGGAACAGTGGTGAGATAATAATCAGGAGTTCCCAGGGTTGCCTGTGGACAAGGCACTTCCTTGAACCCGTAGCCTCTGTTTTGTTATCTATATAACGGGTAAGGTCTCTGGAGACCCTTCTGTTCTGGCATTCTGTTGCACTCTGGCTCTGTGAAGGTGGAATCTGCTCCACCAAGATATAGCTTGTTTGCCTGGTGCTGGAGGGGGCACAGCTTTCGGGATCCGAGTCTTGGAAGGCCGACTGAAGTGGGCTGGGCAAGAGGCCTGGGTGGGGCAGCAGCCTGGGCCAGGTCTGGACAGCGCCTGGCTGACCAAGCTAAGGCTGCCTCGGGCTCCAGACAGCTCGCCCTGCTGCTGTTCCACCTCCGGCCGTAAAGAATGGTGGGGACGCTCTTGCACCGCGATTCGAGCGCACCGTTGGGCTTGCCAAGCCCTTGCTCAATCTCCACGTAGCGGGAGCTTTTTTGCACGACCTGTACTCCAGGAGTGGGAGCGCCCCAAGACCCTCTGGCGAAGAAAGAATTTGAGCAGGGCAGCTGCAGGCACAGGGCATGGCAGGAGGAAGCTCTTCAGCGCCTGCCTCAGATCTCCTCATCTCCACATCCCCCTTGGAGCCTTTGCCCTCACCCTCTCCTCTCAATGGCCACATTTGCCAACTACACGGTGCCACCCTGCAGGGTTTTTGTCGGCAACCCATTCCATCTCTTGCCCAAAGAAAGGGAGGAGGGTTGAGCTGTAGGCCATTCACCTCTGGGACCTGTTCTGAGAGAGGGTAAGGCTGGGACTGCTAGGCCACCTTCCTGGCTCCTGGAGATACAAGAGTGAGGAGGCAGGTCTGCAGACAGGCTGCCCAAACCTGTTGAATTCAGGGAGGTAGTGACAAGATGTGACAGGCGAACAGGGACAATGGCTGGAGGGCTCCAGCAGGGGCTAGGGACAGGTATTCAGGGCATCGGGCTTGGTAAATAACATTAACAAGGCAGCAACTTGAGCAGGCAAATTGGTAATGCAGACAGGGCTCCGTGACTGTGCTGGCTGGCTGCCTGTGAGTCACCTCTGTGGATCGATTTAATTGCTGAGCACTTGGATATGCAATGTGCTTAGAGAGGCTGAGTTGAAGCCCCGCCTCAAAACCAGTGCAACAATTTGGGTGTACTACCAGTGGCCCAGGAGCATTGCTTCCTCAGGCCAGGCCCGGAAGCCTTAGCTCATGTCTCTCCCCTTTTCTCTCTCTTTTGTAAGCACTGGGTCCCTCAGGTTTCAAGGTGAAACAGACTTCTTTTCTAAAGCCACCCTGATCTGGGGGGTCTCTAGAGATCTCCCCAGCCCCATTCAATCAAGTCACCTCTTGTTGCTTGATTGCATTGTCTCTGTCCAGTGCCTGACCCAGAGTAGATGCCAACAAATATTTTTAAAAGAATGGGAAAACCAGTGTATTTCTTGATTTTTTTCAGGTGCTTGCTGTTTTCTATTATGCCTATGAAATAAAAATACAGCCCTTTAGGAAACAATGTTGTGTCCGGTGTGTCCATAGCATAGCAGACGTTTCAGAGAATAGACCAGTTTTGTGCAGATGTGGACTGAGGGCTAGGTGGGGGAGTAAAGAATCTGAGAAACAGGAACTCTGCCAGCATCTCATTTTACAGGCACGGTCTTGTTCTTCCTTTTCTGCTCTGACCATGTGGAACAGAAAACAGTTTTCCTTGGCTCAAAGACAAGGCAGGCGAGGCAGTGACTGTGCGTAAACGTGCCGAGAGCTAACTGTACCTGTTATGGAACAGTTTCAGGTACTGTGTGCAGAAAGGAGTGGAGTGTGCGGTTCAAAACACCGGCTGCTGTGGTCATGCCAACCCAAAGTTGCTCCTGAACCTCAAAGTGATAGCATCCCCAGACTGAGCCACTGTGGGCCGGAAACCCAGGTTTCTGGTGGGTTGTTTACCCAATTGCGGAGATAACATCATAGCCAGATGGAGTAAGTCCTGATTGGTGACATTTGAGGATTTTGAGATGGAGCTGGCTAAAACTTGATTTTTCTATTTTCAAATCTTGTCATGTATTGAATCGTTTTCGAATGGCATGAAAATCTTATTTAGTGGTTAATATCTGCCCATTATTTTAAGAGTAGTTTTCATAACCAGTGACCATCACTAGATCAGGGCCACTAGTAAATCACTAGTACTTTGAATTACTGGCCCTACAAAGCCACAGCTTGGAGTTGGAAGCAGCTTTTCTCTGCTACTCAAAGGGGTGGTGACTGTACTGAGTGGCCAGCTTTGAGATTACTGCCATACACACTCCTGGGTTCTACCTGGCTTCCGCTCTGGGGATTCAACCTAGACCTAGGGCTGGGCCGAGACCTCCGCCTCCCCCATTGTGGGATTGAGGGGCGTGGAGGTGAGGTAAGGCTGTGGCCAGCTCTGAATGGAGAAAGGAATAAGAAAGGAAGGAGAGAGGGAGAGAAGGAAGGCAAGAAGAAGGGAAAGAGGAAAGAAGAAAGGAGGGGAGGAAATAAGGGAGGAAGAGAAGAAGAAAAGAAGAGAGTGAGGGAGATATCTGGGACCCTATCCTGGCAACTTATGGCGGCAGAGTGATGACAGGTGGAAAAGCTTAGCTGACTCTCATGCCAGGCCAACATGCAGAGCTTGGTGTTCAGCTTTGCTGGGTGGCAGGGCTCACTCGGAGGGGGCATGAAAGGGTCACTGGTGGAGTGGAAGGGGTCTTGGCAGGTCATGAGCTGGCTCCCCTCTGCTGGGGAAATGCCACAAGGACTCTTGAGAGACAAGCGGCAGGCCATTGTCATGTTCCTTTTGAAATGGGTCTTCCCAGGCTTGGATTTGGTCACCCCTCACAATTGGGTCACAGATGCCATCTGCAGTGGCACTCCTTGCCTTTACCTTTCTTTGCTCCCCTTCCAACTCCTTTCTTTTTGTGCTTCTCTCTCCTCTCTTTGCTCTCTTGCTCCTCTTCCTCCTGCCCCTCCTCCTTCCTTGCTTCTTTCTCCCTCTGTGGCTCTCTCATCTGCTTTCCCTCCTCCTCGCCCTTTCTTCTGTTCCTCCTTTTGCCTCTGAGACCACTCTTCCCTCCTCTCCCCCTTTTGCTTCCCCTTTTCTCCTCCCTGCTTTATCTCCCCCTCTAAAGCTCGCTTTTTCCTTCCCCCATGTCATTCTTTGTCCCCTCCCCAGGCACTTTTTTCTCTGTCCTCCCGAATCCTCCCATCCTCCTCTTCTCTGTCTTTCAGGATGGCTCAGCCATCTTTTCCTGCTGCCTGCCTCTCTCCTCCCTATGGCTCTGTCTTTTCCAGCAGCCTAGTCCCTGCTTCTGCCTCACCTCTCATCATCCCTCTTCCCTTCTCACAGTTCTTGCTCCAGCTTATCCTCCAAGCCCCTTCTCTTCCCTTTCCTTCTCAGTCTGTCTCCTCCCTATGTTTCAGGCTTCTAGCCCACCCTTCTTCCTCCCAGCTCCCAGCATCCCAAGCAGCAGACTCCTGGGACCAGCCTCTGGATCCAGTGGTACATGAAGCGGGAGAAAGGAAGGTAGTAGAAGGATATAGCCTCGACAGACTTTGCACTGAGCTGAAGGCATTGGACCCAGAAAAGCCACCAACCCTCCCCAGTCATATTCCCAGGCCAGGGCAGCTCCTAGAGATGTTACACACAGATCATCATTTCTGCCATTGCACCAAAACCTGCTAGAGGATGCTGGCAATGGCTTTCTGGGGACTCGCAGAGTCTCAAGGGAGTGGACATGGTGGTGGCTGCACAAACATTGTCTTAAGTGTCCCATTATACAGCTGGGGACTCTGAGCCCTACATTCAGAAAGTTAAAGAACTGGGATCAGAAGTCAAAGTTAGGAATAACAGAGCGAGATTCTTCGCCTGTGGAGTCTGCACACATGTATCAGAGATGTGGGGACACATGTGTGTTTGTGTGTTAAGTGATTTTCTTAGCATGTTTCACACCCATGCCCACACACCCCTACACCCACAGCCACTCTTCAACCTTGTGATACAAGTGGAAAGTGAATTTGTGCTATTTCTGAAAGACGAATTTAATATTCAGGGAAGTACGAGCTCCGGGAGATTTATGTTGGAGTCCTGAATGGAAGTGATATTGGGCAAGACTAGGCCACAGTGTCCCCATTTTCAACAGAAGACTGGACTAAATGGTCTCCAAGGGTTTTCTAGCTGTGGTGATTTTGGCCCACCACAGGCCCATTTTGCTCCAGACACTATACGTGTGTGGTTTCCTTTAAGCCTGGCATTAAGTCAACAAGCTAGATTTCTCCATTTGTACATACAACAGCCAAGGTACAGGGAGCTTAACTAATGGGCCCTAGAGTCCCAGTAAGTGAAAGATCTGGGATTGGAACATGGGTCTGCTTGGCTCCAGACCTCACTTATCCTGTGCATCAAGGCAATTTCTGACGGAGTTGGTCCAGGGATCTGGGACTCAGGGCTCTTGTCAGGCAGCAGCAGTTTGACCAGTGGAAAGGCAAATTAGACTGGGACAAAGCTGCTCAAGGGAGATGGCTGGAGCTGTTTTCCTTCTGTCCCTGCTACAAGCTGGGGAGTAGGGAGCCTTCACCCAAGATAACATGTGTTTAATCATTGTTTCAGTGATAGCAGAGGCTCTTAACTTTCGGTTAATCACTTGCTGTTCCCACTGCCTGGATGCTCTGTCCCCTGATCTCTGCATTACTGTCTCCTTCTGGACACTCAATCATCCACCTGAATGTCTGGTCGCCCAGTCTGAAGTGTCCATGCAGCTACTCTCTGCCACATCACCTTTTGTTAAATCTCTGGCTAGCACCACTCACTCATATTGTCCTCCTTTATTTCTGTGATTGTTCAAATTCTCCTCTCTCTCTCCACTGAATAGTGTCAGATCATGTTTATCTTGTGTCTGGTTGTACCCCCAAGGCCTGGCACTGTGCTTGGCACCCAGCAAGAAATCAGTGAAAGTTTATTGTGTGAATGATGCCCCAGTGGCAAATAGTGACAAGAACCCAGCACCAGCAAAGTGTTTGGTCATTCTGCGCTGGGTGATGGGGACACCGATGACAATTCCACCAACTTCTTGCCCTCCAGGATTTCCAACATAGTGGAAAGACAGACCTGGTCACAGATCACTGGGGTCCTGTGCTCTATGCTGTGTACTGTGAGAGCCAGACTTATAAAAGGTGCTGCCAAGTCTAGGGCACATTGTAACTGTCTCTGTCTGGGAGAATTAGGGAAGATATTGAAGGTTGAGTCGTTTTTCAGGCAGAGAACCAGGACAGGACATTTCTAGAAAAGGAAACAGTATGAGAGGAGGGGAGAGGTAAACAGGTTTCCCGCTAAGACAGGAGTCCATGTCAAGGGCTCCATTAGACAGGAAGGCACACATAGACTGTGTGGGATGACCTGGCTTGTAGAGGAAATGTTAGAAATACCAGCTTCAGGCCGGGCGCGGTGGCTCACGCCTGTAATCCCAGCACTTTGGGAGGCCGAGGCGGGCGGATCACGAGGTCAGGAGATCGAGACCATCCCGGCTAACACGGTGAAACCCCGTCTCTACTAAAAATACAAAAAAATTAGCCGGGCGTAGTGGCGGGCGCCTGTAGTCCCAGCTACTTGGGAGGCTGAGGCAGGAGAATGGCGTGAACCCGGGAGGCGGAGCTTGCAGTGAGCCGAGATCCCGCCACTGCACTCCAGCCTGGGCGACAGAGCGAGACTCCGTCTCAAAAAAAAAAAAAAAAAAAAAAAAAAAAAAAGAAATACCAGCTTCAGCCTGGATCATAAACCCTGAGCAAAGGTGCTGGACTTGGACACCAAGACCTTGGGGAGGACTGCCTTTTTAAGCATACCAAGACTGAGTGGCACCAACTAGGTAATGAAGGGGCCTCCAAGGAAAGAAAGCTGCTGGCACTTCTTCCAAAGAAAGAAAATGTCCGATGCCTCCCATAAGCTTGTCATGCAGCCTGGAAGTGTCCCACCCTTGCCGGAGCTAGACCCTCTGAAGACATTTCCGTGCCGAGTAAGGATCAAGGCCCCAGGGCATGTGGTGTGGTGGGTGCATGGACACGAGCCTCCACACATGTGTGTGGGGCTCTGGGATGAAGTAAATCTTGAGTAGCCATCCTGTGCCTGAGTGATGGGCTCTGAACTCCCGCCCCTGCCAACCCTCTGCCCTGCAGGGCTCTCAGTTGTTTTAATTTGACACTGACCCAAGTCACTGAAATGGAGATTGGCTGCCATGTCAGGAAGGAATAAGGGAGACAAAATTGCCTCGTGAGCAATACAGCTTGGTCATAAATATCACCAATAATCCCTCACACCACACTGTGCTTTTTCAGGCACTGAGCTCTTTCCCATACGTCAGCCCACTCGATCGTCACAATGAGTCTGTGAGGTAAACAGGACCAGGACTAGCTCCCCAGGGCGGGGTGGGCAGAGCTGGGGCTGGAAGCCAGGCCTCCTGCCCTCAGCCCTGAGCACTGCCATCTATGCCAAGGGGTCCTTGTGCTGCAGTGGGGAACCTGGCCTCAAAGGGCCAGTAGCCCAGAGACAGGCTGGGGATGAGCAGATTGTCACTCAAATGGAAACCCCGTACCCATTAAGCAGCCACTCTCTGTTATTGTTGCCCCTATTTTCCTTTAAAGCCTGTATTATTAAAATGTATTTGTGGACCTCGGGTGCAGAGAGTTGAATTGAATCTGCCCCTCGCTTCAGGGCTGGGCCACTAGCATCACCTACGGTATGTGGAAGGTCTCTCTTGCATTTTATTTATTTCCTCCTCATTCTCTCAGGTCCCCGCATCCCTTTCCCCCTCCGTGAGCACCCACTTTAATGCATTTGAGATGAGTCCCTGAATATGTTTGCGTTCTTATAAAATATAGTGTTGTTTCGTGTATGTGTTTTTAATTTGCATAAATATTATTGTGCTATAAATCTTGTTCTGTTTCTTACTTAAAAAAAAGAAATCAGCCTGTAATTTTGAGATCAGCCCATGTTGTGCATGCATCTAGTTACTTCAAACTGCTGCTTAGTTTTGTATTTAGCCCATCCATTCTCCTGGGGATGAAAAGATAACCTGTCCCCAGTTCCATTCAGTGCCACAGTGGCCACCCTTGGACACGTCCCCAGTGGGACCTGCGTTGGGGTAGAGCCCCAGATGTGGGCTCACTAGATCAGAGAATACACGTATGCTTCATTCTAAGCCCTGCTAGATTGCTCTCCAGTACAGTAGAGTAGTTTGCACTCCCTACCAGGAGAGCACTGGGATTCAGTGTCACCTTGTCCTTCCTGACAAATAATAATACTATTATTACCCAGCTTTCTAATGCCTGTCAAACTGATAGGGCAAGGTGAATCTTATTTTTTTAGTTTGCATTTCCTTGATTACTACTGAGTTTGGGTATCTTTTCACAGGTTTATTGGCCATTAGATTTCCTTTTATGTAAATTGCCTGTTCAAAATATTTCTCTGTTTTTTAAATTCAGACTTCCATGTTCTTGTTGATCAATTCCTTTTTGTTGGTTTTAAACATCACAAAACTATTCATCTCTGTAGTTTATCTTTGTTTTTAAATGTCATTTTGTAAACAGCAATCTGTAATTTTGTTTGGTCCAATCTATCAATCCTTACGGCTTGCTGATTTTAGTTTTAGATCTGACCCTTTTCCACTCCAAGGCCAAAAAGGTATTCTCTTACATTTTCTTGCAATTTATTTTATGTTTTTACCTGTATATTTAGGTTCTAAATCCATCGAAAATCAGTGTTTAAGTATGGTGTGAGGTGGGAATCTAGCCACTTTTCTTAGCACTGTTTACTCAAAAACCCTCCATTTCTCCATTGATTTGTGGTTCTAATTTAACATATATATTAACTTTCTAGTGTTTTCCTTTGGGGTCTGTTTTTATTTTTTCCTGTACGAAAACCTATTACTATTTACTAAATGACTATAGATTTGTATTAGGTCTCAATATCTAGTGGGACAAGTCTTCCTCTTTGCTCTTTGTCTATACAAATCAACTTAGATGTTGCAAGGCCTTTATTATTTCAATATCCTCTTATTTTCTTAATCCTTACATATAAAAATGCACGGCATTGGCACTGAGTTGGCAACCCTCCTTTCTCTGGGGTCTGGAGCAGAGAGAGCTACTACTTCAGGAGAGCTAGTGCCTTAGCCATTACAAATTCCTTTCAGGTCCTATGCTTCATTTCAAGACTGACAAGAGGCCTCTGAGGAAGGCATGTTAATTTTATGGATGAGGATCTAGAGGCTCAGAGAGAGAGGGATTCTCAGAGATGCACAATGATTTAGTAACAGAGGTGGTATTTGAGCCCATGTTCCCTGAGTCTCTGTCCTTGGCTCTTGTCACCACACTATGCTAGCACACATTGTTCTAAGAAAGTTGACAGCTCATCCTCCAAAGCACTAGTACTTGCATTGCCCACTCCCCACCCAGATGAACAAGGTAGAGGAACCATGTGGCCAAATAGCTTTGAAAAGGCAAAAGCTGAGGCCAACTGGCATTTTCAAGGCAGGTTGTCAAGCAGAGTTGGGAGGCCATGGTCAAAGCAAGGGAAGTCCAGGAGGCCCAGGCCCTGCTAAGCAGGTGGGAGCAGCCTCAAGTGAGATGGGGACGTCACAGGGGTGAATATAGAAGCAGTTGAATGGGTCTCAACAAATCAAGTCCTTCTATTCTCCTTCTGGCAAGAGTTGGGGGGTGCTGGTAGAAAGGGAAAGAATGGCACCAGTAACTGCACTTAGGAAGTCAGAGATGGCATGGGTGTACCTCTGTCAGGAGCCTCTATGAGAAGGGGTGATGCACACAGCAAGGTTTTTTCAGATGTCTCACAGACAGGCTGGGAGTCTAAATAGCCTCTGCCTGAGGAGCGGGAACATGGGTCCACAGACCCTGCCCTGGTGGGGTCTCAGAGGGGCCCAGTTGCCACTCAGCACTCCAGCTCCAGCTAAGTAAGCACTTTTTTGAGGTCAGAGCCACTGCCTTAGGATGTGGGCACCCCTCAGCCCTGGAGGTGTGCAAGGAATGGTTTCATGACCACTGAAACCAGGTATGAAGGTGTCTCCTGCACACGTGTCTCCTGTTTGTGGTGCAGGTCATTGCATACCAATGGTCCACTGGTTCCCAAGCCTGCTTGGGAGTTACCGTGGGAGGGAGTTAAAAACACAGATGCCGGCCGGGCGCGGTGGCTCGCGCCTGTAATCCCAGCACTTTGGGAGGCCGAGGCGGGCAGATCACAAAGTCAGGAGATCGAGACCATCCTAGCTAACACGGTGAAACCCCGTCTCCACTAAAAATACAAAAAATTAGCTGGCTGTGGTGGCGGGCACCTGTAGTCTCAGCTACTCAGGAGGCTGAGGCAGGAGAATGGCGTGAACTCAGGAGGCGGAGCTTGCAGTGAGCCGAGATCGCCCCACTGCACTCCAGCCTGGGCGACAGAGCGAGACTCCGTCTCAAAAAACAACAACAAAAACACAGTTGCCAACCTCTATGCTGGTGACTCACTGCTAGGCTGGGAAGCCTGTACTTTAGAGCAGTTCTTCTTAAACTTCTTGTGAAGGAAGGACTCGTTTTTCAATTTTCATTCTGTCACAATCTATACTTTTGGAAAATACAAAATCACACACTTCTGCATTGCAGCCATGTCAAATTGCCAAAACAGTACCTAAATACCTACTCTAATTGCTGCATTTATCTTGTCTTGCACCTGGAACAAACTGCTTGCCAACCAGCACCAGACTGTGAACCACACTCCGTGTAGCTTGTGTTAAATGACCCTCCCTCTAGAGGTCATCTCCAGCCTGGAAGTTCTTTGTCTCCGTGCTGCTCCTGGTCAGAAAAGGCTGTCCTGCCTCTATTCCAGCATGTGAGACTCCATGTGGGGCCAGGCCCTTAGGCCTGCTTCACCAACTAAGAGCTCATTTTGCCCTGTGATTGTCTTAGCTCCCCAGTTTCCTGCTGTCTGTGAAGGTGGCAACTTATGCAATTTCCTCACAGAATCCAAAGACCAATGGAGCTATGATGCATGTACAGTCTTTTTCTTTTCCTTCTTTTTCTCTCTTTCTCTCTCTTTCTCTCTTTCTTTCTTTTTCTCCTTTTTCTCTCCCTCCCTCCTTCCTTTTCTTTCTTTCTTTCTTCCTTTCTTTCTTTCTTTCTTTCTTTCTTTATTTCTTTCTTTTTCTCCTTTCCCTCCCTCTTTCTTTCTTTCTTTCTTTCTTTCTTTCTTTCTTTCTTTCTTTCTTTCCTTCTTTATTTCTTTCTTTCTTTTTCTCCTTTCCCTCCCTCTTTCTTTCTTTCTTTCTTTCTTTCTTTCTTTCTTTCTTTCTTTCTTTCTTTCTTTCTTTCTTTCTTTCTTTCTTTCTTTCTTTCTTTCTTTCCTTCCTTCTTTCTTTTTTTTGACGGAGTCTCACTCTGTCACCCAGGCTGGTGTGCAGTGGGGTGATCTCAGCTAACTGCAGTCTCCGCCTCCCTGGTTCAAGCGATTCTCCTGCCTCAGCCTCCTGAGTAGTTGGGATTACAGGCACCCACCACCACACCCAGCTAATTTTTGTAGTTTTAGTAGAGACAGGGTTTCTCCATGTTGGCCAGGCTGTCCTTGAACTCCTGACGTCAGGTGATCCACCCACCTTGGCCTCCCAAAGTGCTGGGATGACAGGCGGGAGCCACCGCGCCCGGCCCAGTCTTTTTCATTTAGTGGGCCAGGCCTTCCCATTCTGCCCCATACACGCTAAACAAAGCATGCATTGATTTAGCAAAGACCTGGCCTGGGCCAAAGGGGTCACTTGTTGTCCCCAAAGTGTAATTCTCAAAGCAGAGACCCAACTTCCGTGACTACACTCGATGGGCTGTACTTTTGAGTGGGTCTGACTACAGAGTAACAGCTGCACAAAAGCTCCCAGAGCAGGCTAAGGAAAGGTGGTGCTAAGGGAAATGGGGCATTTAAAATTAAAGGAATGGAATGTACCACAGTGATTGCTGAGGTCTTGTCCCCCTTGAAAGTTCTATAATTCAGATGCCTAGTAGGACTGAGCTGCTTGAAGCCAGGCAGTTTTCTCTCATGGCCGCAAACACTGCCATTCATTGCAGCAACACTTTCTTAGCATCTTCTAACTGCAGGTTCCTGTGCTGAGCCCTGGGAGAGGGAGATCAGCAAAGAGTCACACATGGTCCCAACTCTGGAGATGCATGGAACTCACAGTCCAGTGAGGAACAAGAAGGAAAAAATTCCTAATAGGACAAAATCGCTGAAGCATTGACCAGGCTGGATTGTTAGCTACATGAGCACAGGGATTATTATATGGCTTGTTTACTATGGTATACTCAGTGCCTGGTACCCACTCAATATTTGTTGAATGAAAGCTCTTTAATATTCCTATCCTGGGTGCCTGTGATCAATGATCAGTCTTATGTGCCCACTTGGCTAGCTATAGTCCCCAAGTATTCAATTAAACACTAATCTACATGTTGTTGTGAGAGTACTTTGTAGCTGTGCTTAACATCTACAATCAATTGACTTTAAGTAAGGGACATTATCCTAGACAATCTGGGTAGGCCTCAGTCAATCAGTTGAAAGGCCTTTAGTGCAAAACTGAGGTTTCCATGAGAAAGAAAAAGTTCTGCCTGTGGACTGCAGCATCAGCTTCTGCCTGAGGGGTTCCAGCCTGTCCTTCCTGACAACCTGTCCTATGGATTTTGGACTTGCCTGGCCAGCTCCACAATTGATTGAGCCAATTCTTTGCAACAAATCTATTTATATGTCTATGTAATTATTTACCTATGTGTTCATTTATGTATCTATCTCTCTCTCTTGTCTCATATCTATCTATCTACAGGGTGTCACCAGAGAAAGAGTACCAGTATCTAAACCTATATCTATATCTCCTGAGCCCACACCTTAACTCCACACCAGCACCCAGGGCTGTCACCCAACTAGCACTGCTCTTGCTGTCTGTGAGCTCTGCTGTCTTCTCCAATAGTCTGTGAGCTTGCTGAGGGGAGAGACCTGGTTGCCTTCATGTCTGTAGCCCCAGTGCCTAGCCAGGGCTTTGCGAGGAGTGATCTTTCTGAATGACTGTTGGATTAATGGATGTAAAAAGGACAGGAAGCAGATAATAAAGTGTCATGGGTGACCTCTTAGGTCAGTTCACCCACCTTGCACAGCTTTAGTAATGACCTCTGCACCTGTGATTGCTGAGCAGCCCGCTCTAGCACAGACCTCTCCTCTGAGCACCAGACTCATAGCTACTGTCACCTACTGCCTGTGGTAGAACCTCAAACTCAATATGAGAGGCAGCCGAATGTAGTGCTTAAAGAGTCTAGACTAATGGGCCCTACTGCCTGAATTGAAATACTTGCTTCTTCACTGATTAGCTGTGATATCTCAGGCAAATTACTTTATCTCTCTGGAACTCAGTTACCTCACTTATAAATTAAAATCATCATCATCATCATCATCATCAGCAGCAGCAGCAGCAGCAGCAGCAGCAGCAGCAGCATCCTCTACTTGATAGGGTTGGAGGAGGAGTGAGGTAACACATGTAAAATGCAGAGACGGGGTCCTGTAATACCGTATGCTCTCTACAGCACTGAAGACCTGTTAACTAATATTATAATGTTCCATTCAAATTGCTTTAAAACTAAACTCAAGATCTTCTCCGAGATGTTCCTCCTTCCCTGTATTCTGCACTATATAAATTTCTCTACGTCCACACCCCTTCCACTTCCCAATATATTTTTAAATTGTGTCAACTCTAATTCTTAAAAATCTTTTTTCTCCATCCTCCCTGCCATCACTATGATCCCAGCCACCACCATCTCTCACCTGGATGACTGTGACAGCCTCCTATATAGTCTCTCCACCACTGTTCTTGGCCCCTCCTCAAAGTCTGTCCCCTGCACAGCTGCCAAGGGGATCTCTACAAAGATTGTAACTCCTGCTTAGAACTTTTCAGTAATTTTCCATCTCATGATGAATAAAATGCAAACTCTTCCCCTGGCCCTGGCCTCCAATTCCTGTGTACCTTCTGATCTGATGTTCTGCCTCTTTCCCTGTCCTCCACTATGTTCTGGCTATACCAACTCCCTTGCTATTCCTCAAACACATACGCACCTACTGCAAGGTATTTGCACATATTGATCTGTTTGGCTTAACCCCAATTAATCCTTCCCATTTATGTCTCATTTCACACACCACCTCTGCAAGAAAGAATTTCCTGACCTCCCAGACCAGGTCAGGTTCTCCATTGCATGCTTTCATTGCATCAAAGCTCTTAGCTCAGATGCCAATATTCCTTTATTGGTGTGCTTCTCTGATTAATATCGTTGTCTTTCACTAAAGCCAAAAGCTCCATGAGGGCAGGGATTTTATCTGCCTTGTTCAAAACCGTCCTTCCGGTAGCTAGAAGAATATTTGGTACATAGCAGATGCTCAATAAATAGTTGTTAAATGGCTGGATCATGGAAATAACATTCAAATTGGGCTTAGGATATAAGCAGATATTTAAAACAAAAATTATAGGCACTTGGCGCCTGAGTGGTATAAACGGAGAAAAACAGATTTCAGGAGTAAAAACTACATGAGCAAAGGCACAAAGGCATATACATAGAGGGCAGGTGGAGACACTGCTGAGGATTCTGGCATAGCAGGAAAGAAGGTTTCTGTGGTGAGAGGTGAGGCTGGGGTGACAGTGTGGGGGTCTGTAGCCTGGAGCCTCATCTTTGTCTGGAGGGCAACGGAGAGCTTGAAACGGTTCTACTTTGGGGAACACTGGCCAGAAGTGAAGACTGCCTTTTAAAAATTTATTTATTTACTTTTTTAATGCGACAAGGTCTCACTCTGTCTCCCAGGCTTGAGTGCGGTGGTGTGATCGTAGCTCACTGCAGCCTCCAACTCTTGAGTTAAAGCAATCCTCCTGCCTCAGCCTTCTGAGTAGCTGGGACTACAGGTAGGTGCCATCACACCCATCTAATTTTAAAAAAATACTTTTTTTTTTTTTTTTTTTTTGTAGAGATGGGGTCTTGCTGTGGTGCTTAGACTGGTCTTGAACTTTTGGCTTCAGGCAATCCTCCTGCTTTGGCTCCCCAAAGTGCTGGGATTATAGGTGTGAGCCACCATTCTGCTGCTCTGCCATCTTCATCTGGCCTCAGGTATCTTTCAAATGCTTCACTTTCAAATAAGCCACCTTCAAATGCTCAGGTTGCGTTTTCTCATGCTAGGACAAGCCCCAGGGAGTCCCAGTGGTTCTCCTTTCCTGTTCTACATTTTCTGAAGACTTGGAGCACTTTTTGTGGGCTCCAAGAAAAGCTTACACTAAGTTCTCCACACCAGGTGTTCAAATAACAGTCATTACTTAAAGTTAGATAACTGGGGAAAAGGTCAGAGCTACAGGTTTGGAGGAAAACTGTTGGGCCTTCTGGGAGGGGTTAGAATCACTGTAAGCTCCAGAGTTTAGGGCTTGAAAGATGGACCTGAGGCCAGAGTGAAAAGAAACAGTGTGTGTGTGTGTGTGTGTGTGTGTGTGTGTGTGTGTTGAGAGAGAGAGACAGAGGGATAAACGAAGTGAGATAGAGAGACACAGAAACTAAGAGACACAGAGAGCAAGCCAGAGAGAGAGAAAGACAACCATGGTAATTAGAAAAGACAGAGGCACAGAGACATGGAGATCTAGGGAGACACAGGCAGAGACCCTGAAAGCCTAGGAGCCAGAGAGAGATGCTGCCCATGAGAAAGGCTGAGAGGCACAGTCAGAAGCATGGATGTGTGGAGCTGGTGGGCTGGCTTGCTCAGCTTCTGATAAATGACTTCTTCCTTCCAGTGAAAAAGGATATACGAGCTCTGGATTTGGAAGTTACGTGGGGTGGGGGGGAGGGGAGCCAAAATACCAAGGGAAGACAAGTGAAAAATAAGCTTGTCAGCTGGTTAAGAAATTTACTGGTAAAGTTTTTATATCCACACATTTTCTTCTTTTTGAGCCCAGTCTGTGCAAGCAAGAAAGTAGGTGCAGAGGCTTCTCACCCTCAGAAAGGAGGTCAACATAACTAATGGCTTTTTCAGCACCCTGTTGAGAGTTTTTCCTCAACCTGCCCATGGTCTAGCCCCAGTCAAGGCAGCTGGGGGTTCCACGTAGATCCCATCACCAGCCCTTAACTCCATTCATTGTGTATTTCACCCCAGCCTGTGTCCTCAGGGCCACAGATGTGGTAACCATGGGTGACATTCAGAGAGAAGGATGCTTTCTGGCTTCTTACTGCTGTACTGGAAAAGGGACTGCGGTATGACATGTCTCTTGTTTTTATTTTCAATGTCAATTAGAAGGAAGCTTCATATATTCTGGATAATTGTGCCAGTGTCCATTGTCCTCTTGTGAATAGAGTCTGCAGCAAGGTGCAGAGGGCTAGATCTGGATTGTATGGAACTAGAGCTTCATTCTGTTCTACTACACTGGTGGCTCTAGGCACTCTCTTCCTTTCTCTGGGCTTCCGATTTCCCTGTCTAACAAAAGGACAGGTAATTAATTACTAAGAGGCCTTCCGTTTGCATCATTCTCAAAGTCCTGGTGTTTTCAAAATCCCTAATTGGTAACCACCCACACAAGTCTATCATGACTTCCTCAGAAATATGAGTTGAATGGTTGTACCACTGGGTGGACTCACGACTATCTGAGCAGCTATAGCAAAATGGTGTACATTAAAACTTGGTGTTCCATCAAAAAGCTTATCCACCATGATCAAGTAGGCTTCATCCCCGGGATCCAAGGCTTGTTCAACATACACAGATCAATAAATGTGATTAGTCACATAAGCAGAACTAAAGAAAAAAACACATGATTATCTCAATAGATGAAGAAAAGGCCTTCAATAAAATTCAACATCCCTTCATGTTAAAACCCTCAATAAACCACATATTGAAGGAGCATACCTCAAAATAATAAGACCCATATATGACAAACCCACAGCCAACATCATACTGAATGGGCAAGAGCTGGAAGCATTCCCCTTGAAAACCAGCCCAAGACAAGTTTGCCCTCTCTCATCACCCCTATTCGATACAGTATGGAAGTTTTGGCCAGGGAAATCAGGCAAAAGAAAGAAATAAAGGGCATTCAAATGGAAAGCGAGGAAGCCAAACTATCTTTGTTTGCAGATGACATGATCCTATATCTAGAAAACCCCATCGTCTCATTCCAAAAGCTTCTTAAGCTGATAAGCAACTTCAGCAAAGTCTCAGGATGTAAAATCAATGTGCAAAAATCGCTAGCATTCCTATACACCAACAACAGGCAAGCAGAGAGCCAAATCACAAATGAACTCCCATTCACAATTGTCACAAGAAGAATAAAATATACAGTCAACAAGGGAAATGAAGGACCTTTTCAAGGAGAACTACAAACGACTGCTCAGAGAAATCAGAGATGACACAAACAAATGGAAAAACATTCCATGCTCATGGATAGGAAGATCAATATCGTTAAAATGGCCACACTGCCCAAAGTAATTTATAGATTTATTAAACAACTATTGACACTCTTCACAGAATTAGGAAAAATCTATTTTAAAATTCATATGGAACCCAAAAAAGCCCAAATAGCCAAGGCAATTCTAAGCCAAAAGAACAAATCTGGAGGCATCATGCTGCCTGACTCAAACTATACTACAGGGCTATAGTAACCAAAACAGCATGGTACTGGTACAAGAACACACATAAAGACCAATGAAACAGAATAGAGAACCCAGAAATAAGACTGCACACTTAAAACTATCTGATCTTCAATAAACCTGACAAAAACAAGCAATGGGGAAAGGATTCCATATTTAATAAATGTTGCTGGGAGAACTGGCTAGCCATATGCAAAAAATTGAAACTGGACCCCTTCCTTACATCATATACAAAAATCAACTCAAGATGGATTAAAGACTGAAACATAAAACCAAAAACTATAAAAACCTTAGAAGAAAACCTAGGCAATACCATTCAGGACATAGGCACAGGCAAAGATTTCATGATAAAGATGCCAAAAGCAATCACAACAAAAGCAAAAATTGACAAATGAGATCTAATTAAACAAAAGAGCTTCTGCATAGTAAAAGAAACTATCAACAGAGTAAACAGATAACTTACAGAATGGAAGAACATTTGTGCAATCTTGCCTTCTGACAAAGGTCTAATATACAGCATCTATAAGGAACTTAAATTTACAACAAAAAAAAAACCATTAAAAAGTGGACAAAGGTCATGAACAGACACTTCTCAAAAGAAGATATACTTGTGGCCAACAAACCTGTAAAAAAGCTAAACATCACTGAACATTAGAGAAATGCTAATAAAACCCACAATGAGGTACCATGTCACACCAGTCAGAATAGCTATTACTAAAAAGTCAAAAAACAACAACTACTGGTGAGGTTGTGGAGAAAAAGGAATGCTTCTACACTGTTGGTGGGAGTGTAAATTAGTTCAACCATTGTGGAAGACAGTGTGGTGATTCCTCAAAGATCTAGAGGCAGAAATACCATTTGACCCAGTAACCCCATTACTGGGTATATACCTAAAGGAATATAAATCATTCTATTATAAAGATACATGCATGCGTATATTCATTGTAGCACTATTTGCAATAGCAAAGACATGGTATCAACTGAAATGCCCATAAATAATAGACTGGATAAAGAAAATGTGGTACATATACACCATGGAATACTATGCAGCCATAAAAAGAAACTCTATCATGTCTTTTGCAGGGACATGGATGGAGCTGGAGGCCATCATCCTCAGCAAACTAACACAGGAACAGAAAACCAAATAATGTGTGGTGCCACTTATAAGTGAAAGCTGAATGATGAGAACACATGGACACACACTGAGGCCTGTCAGAGGGTGGGGAGGGGTGGGGGGAGGGAAAGCATCAGGAAGAATAGCTAATGGAAGCTGGGCTAAATGCCTGGGTAACGAGATGATCTGTGCGGCAAACCACCATGGCAAACATTTACCTATGTAACAAACCTGCACATCCTGCACATGTACCCTTGAACTTAAAATAAAAGTTGGAAAAAAAAGTTGGTGTTCAACGTGGCATACAGGTCTAATGTGACATGTCTCAGAACTCTGATCTTGATCTTGATCATTCTCACATTTACAGAAGTGATTCAGGTACAGGCGTATAAGGCAGTTGTGCCAAACTTGCCAATGCTCCAAGGTTTGGAGAAAAGGATGGAACTAGCTATAACACCCTAGCCCAACTCAACACGATGACTTCTGAAAGAGTCATTTAAAAAGTCATTATGTTTTAAAAATAAATTGTATGACCCTGATTAAAGAACTCAGGCCCTGAAGAAACTCAGAAGAGAAATACCTCGTTTGGTTAACCATAAAGTTCCAAAGGGGCCTACAGTGCAATGTGACCACAGAACTAGCTGCCACAGTAGTTGGCTGTACAGTGTAGAATGAAGGAAATAATGACTCCCCTCTGATCAGACAATATTCACAGACTTGAGCTCAGTTTTGGGCCCCACACTTGAACTGGGCTGGGTAAAACCTGGCATATGCAGAAAAAAACTACTAGATGGATGGAGAGGAGAAAAATGTGAAAGAACTGTTCAGCGTGGAGAAGAGCGGATTCCTGGTGGAGCATGGCCATCCTCTTGAGGTCTCTGAAAGTCTGTCCTGTGGAGGAGGACCCACAGCTTGCCAACTCCTGGGCCCTAGAAGGAAACCCTAAGATGAATCATCAGGATGCAAGTTGGAGGAAACAATTGGCTGCCTGAGGGGTGGGTTTTGTCAACATAAAAATGTGTCTTCTGTGCTCCCTGCTCCCAATAACACAATGGACTTCACAAAGGCATTCTAGCTGTGAGTACGAAGAAGCATTTCCAGGTGACTGGAGGAGCAGGTGTCAAGGATTCTGCAGCTGGAGACCTCAGGGTTTGAGAAGCCTTTTTCTTACACTCCTGCTCATTTACTTTTTAAGTTGGTCATTCATTCACTCATTCATTCACTGACAAGCCATTCCTAAGAACTGAAGAAGACCCAGGCCCTATCAACAAGGGGCTTCAGGGTTCGAGGGCTTCCTGCAGCCACAGATGATTCCTGAGGTATGCATTCATTAAGATGCACACTGGAAGCAGAGAAGCCTTTTGCAGAGTGCTGTCCCTCTGCTACTAGCCCCTTGTCCTGGAGGTGGAGGTCATGTTCAGTAGAGCTGACCCAGCCTGAGAAGGTCGTAAAGCCCCAAGGGAACCATGCTCAACATTGTGCCTGGCACTGAGCCATAGCCTAAGCATCATTCAGACTGTGGTGTTTGCTGCATCTCCTTCCTGCCTGTTGCCAGAATTGTAGTGGCATTTGGTGGCACCACAGGCAGCAGAAACATCAAGGATCCCTCCCTCAAGGAGGTGTGATTCACCAAAGGTGAGAATAGCCAGATTACAATGCTGCAAAAGCCTTAGAGATAAACTTGCCAATTAGTATGGAAAAGAATGAGGTCCCAAAGGCTTCAGAACCCTGTGTTTGTCTCTTCTCTTTCAGAGCAGCAAAAATTTTGGAGGCAGCCTGGGGTCCCTCCTGAAGCAGAAGAGCCACAACAGGCACTTTGGGATGGAGCTGTCGAGCCACAGCATAAGCCCCCGCACTCACAAATCGACTGGCAAATTCATCCACTGTGGTAGAGATGGATTTGTTTCCCAGGGACACTAGAGGAATGCACAAATATGAAGCCTGCATGTCAGTCCCCCTTCCCACAGGGTTCTGTGCTGCTCCCTTCCACCTAACAGGGGTCTGGGTTAGAGTCAGCCACAACTCCTTACCACATATTTTTCATTTGCTAGCCATTGCCTCGCCCAGGTTGCAAGCCCAGTCTTTTGTCTCTTGTAGTCGGGGTCTCAATTTTGGTATGGGGATAACAAGAGAGGAGTTGTGGGAGGTTGCTCTCCTAGAGCTACTGGCTAGCCCAGGGTAACAACAAACTTCCCTGGCATCCTTTCTCCTGAGCTGACCTGTGGAACTGATGAGCCACAGGTGAGCTTGGGCACATCGCCACAAAGGCAAAGCTGATTTCTCCATGGCTGGGGTCCCTATACTGGGATGCCCTGGCTGGATTAGCTGCCACCAGCTGCTCGAAGGTGGATTCGCATTTCTGCCCCTACTGCAGAGGCCATTTATCATAGTGATGATAGATATTTAATCTGTAGCCTGAGCTGCAAGCACAGTGATAACTGTAGACAGAGGAAAGGTGAGATTCGTAGTCTGTGTTAATGGGGCTGCCTTTATCATGGCCAAATAAATAATGAAAGAAGATGATAACAATGGTGCCTTTATGATCACCATGAAAAGCTCTTACTGCTTCAGGGTTCTGCACTGTGCTGGGCCGCATTTAAAAAGAAGGCAGGCAGAAAGCAAGCAGGCAAAGGGGCTGGGCAGGGCATCAGGCCAGGGACAGGGCGGAGGTCCCCCTATTGGCCTTAGTAAGTATGGCTGCAGCCAACCCTCCATTCTTACCAGTGCCATCGCGACCACCTTTACCACCAGGGCCTCCCCACACCCAAGATCACATACCTGGGTTTTCAGGGTCTTCCTAAAGGACTCCCAAGTCTCCTGTTGACAAAGGATAAGAGAATGGCCACCAATAAATGTTCAGATGATTTAATGGCTTTCCGTGGGATTATTTGAGACAAAACAAACTGGGTGGGGTATGAGTCATGGAGCCAATCAGGTTCTGCCTTTCATAGTAGATGTCGGGGAGACAGACTCAAAGCTGCTTCTGGAGCACCGGAGTTCTCTTTACATAGGACACCCGTCTAAAGTTTTAGAAGCTAGCTGAGTGGAGTGACCACTTCAGAACATTTACTAAGACCTCCAACATTTCTTCTCCTCTCTTCTTTACTGCTTTAGAACAAGAAGAGAGGCAAGAGAGCAAGCAGTCATGGCAAAGAACCCCTAGATGTAATAGGCTCTCGGGGATGCCAAATAAAGTTATCCCCTGAATTACACAGCCAGCTGCTAAAGGGAGGGCAAATGTTGGCAGGTTGTCTGGGAATATAACTTGATACAAAACTTCTGGAAGGCCTTAAGGCTACCACACACAACTCCACAGGACGTTCTACTCAAGCCCGGCTATGTAATTTGCTTGGTGGAAAATAGTAGAAGGTTTGTGAGTGGAGCGCTACCTTTATTTGTCCACTTGCATTTGGAAAACTGTCTCTTTAGAAACACCAAGACTAATATATATTTGTGTTAACCTGTTTAAATCAGGGTCATAACGGTTCTGGAGTAAGTGGCTTTCAAATTCCAGTTCAATCTTGAAATTCTTGCATTGTATTTTGTGATAATAGTCTTATGGATAAATGGAAATGCAGGCTACATTTTCTTCAATGCAGTTAGTAACATTTGTGAGAAGCCAAGCTATTTGGACCATGAGGCAGCAACCCAAGCACCATGATTTCCTCCAAGTTTATTTAACTTGGGACAAAGTACTGGGCAGTACTCCACTGTTTCTGATATGTGCATCTTGCAGATTGAAATTTTGGCTGAGAGGGTCAAGAGCTTGGCTGACACCCTCGCACAGGGCTTGCCTCTCAGTGGGCCCATGGAGACAGTCGGTGAATATGTAGGTGAATGAATGCCCACATCCTTCTCCCCAGCCATTTTCCTTCCTAGGAAGTCTGACGATTTCTCTAAACATCTTCACCTCTATCTGCCATCATGTTCAGATTAGCTTCGGACTTTCATGGACAAGGCTGGTGGAGATGGCAGGAAGATCCAAACTCTGTGTTTAGGTAATCATCTCACTCTTTTTACAGTATTTCTTTTTATCCAAATTGCTTTCTTGCCGGCGCTTCTGCTCCTTCTCTCTCATTCAAGGTTCTTTGAATCCTTTACCCTCAGATTTGTGCCATGCTTGCAATTGATGGTGAACATAGGCTCCTGGCTCTAGCATTCCTTGATCCTACAGACTGCCATCTCAGCGTGGCCAGCAAGGCCAGATGGCAGGTCTGAGATCTCACACCTGGATGAGCAAGAGCTGGCACTGTCCCCCTGCTCGTCTCTCAACTGCCACTCTCTACATGACAGGCTCACAAACACTCTCTGCTTAGGACCCATCTTAGATCCAAAGGGCCTTCAACGTAAAGGATTCCAGGTATCTGGTGTCTGGTCCTAGCTGCATCTCCCATTGACATTTCTCACATCCTCAAGCCTACAGAGGCTCTCCCCCAAGGACAGCTTTTATCTTCCAGGCTTTTTGTTTTTGCATCTGCCTTCTCTTCCACTTAGAATGCTATCTTCCAAATCTATTAACAGGGTTAACTTAGAATACCCTCTTCCAAACCTATTAACAAAGCTTTTAAAATCTCAGCTCAAGTAACAATTTCTCCTTGAAGCCTTCCCTCCTCCTTGATGAATTCAAAGAATCATCAAGCTGGAAGAAGCCTCTGAACTTATCTAATCCAATACCCCATTATATAGATGGGAAAACTGAAGCCCAGGGAGGGTCAGTGCATGCCCAACCTTGCAGAGCACATCAGTAGTGCAGCTGGGACCTAATTGCCGCTCTCCTGACATTTACATTGTCTCATTCTGCTCCCTCCTCCTCACCTGGCTGTCAGTTGTCGCTAAGCAGTAGAAATAAAGCAAACACACAGAAACCCTCACTTCTCAGAAAGATTAGAGGAAATATTGGAATAAAACATTTCAAAATATTAACCGTGGCTATCTTTGGGTGGTTGGAAATTGGATGACATTTTCTACTTCTTTTTCTTATTTGGAATAATTCAAGTGTTCCTAATGAGCATATATTGCTGGTAAAATGGAGAAAGTCAATACATATGCAAAGAAAGGTGGGGAGGAAAAGGAGGAGGAGGAGAAGAATGAAAAAAGAGAGACAATGCCTTGCAAAGCCAGTGTGGTGTGTGGGGATTTGGAGAGCCCAATGCTGCCTTAGAAGGCCCTGGACATCCCTTGTGGATGGAGGAAGTAAGCCAGCTCTTCTCCTTTGGATTAAGAAGCACGTAGCTCTCACACGGGCCCTAGCTCCAGCAGCAGCAAAAACCAAAACAAAACAAACAAAAAAAAAACTGTGTCCCATGGGAGAGGTTGCCTATCCAAGAATTACTGATCTCCTGACCTACATCTACAGTGGTGACTTCACACTTCATCTTCATAGGTTTCTGGGATTACTAGGATCCCTTGCTGACATTGAGCCATCTCATACTCATTGCTGGATTCTGGGCTGCGGGCTGTGGAGCGAGTGTGATAGAAATAGGAATCAGATGCATTTGCTGGCCTGGAGGGGCTCTCAGCTACGTGAAGGACACAGATGCGCATGTAAATAAGGCAAAGGCCGGATGGAGGTGGCTCTCGAATCCCATACCAGATGCCTGGGGAATGACATCGAGCCCTGCCTGGGAAACACAGCTGTCCTCATAGGACAGTATTGCAGCAGCTGCTTTCATGGCGCTAAAATCCGCTCAGCTCCTGCCTGCTGAGCTTGGCTTGGCTCGGTTGGGCCCTTACAGCCAAATGTAGGCCCTCTGCAGAAGAGGTCTGCATTCCGGCCCTGAGGCCTCATCTCCCCAGCAGTCTACTCCCACTGTCAAGGATGAAAGAGGGCCTGGGTCTGCAGAACAGCCTCTGTGTAAAAAGCTCACATAAACAAGCTGAGTGGCCTCGGGAAGCCTGAAGTGGCCTTGGCCCAGCTCTAGTGCTCATTTGTGCCCCTTCTCTCCAGTCTGTGCACTCCACCCACCCTCTGCTCCCACAGGCATGTCTGCTACAAAGCCGAGTTCACATTCCTTTCCTCCCGTCCTCTCTCCTCTTCCTGCCTCAGTGGCTCTTACAGCCCTGCCACCTTTCTCCCACTCCCAAGAGTGAGGCCCTCTAGCAGGCTGGCAAGCAGTGTGCACAAGCCCACATTCTGCTTCTGAAAACCAGGGCAGAGCAGCTCTTTGAAACTGCTCTGCACTGCCCTGCCTGTGTCATATCCCTGGGCCCCCTGGATGCTCAGGGCTAGTGCATACATATGCCTTTAGGTCCAAGAGCATTGGGAAATGGGACTGTCAGGACAGCAGCCCCGGGCAACTAGAAAGTGGAATGGAGGGAGGGTAGTCGCAGTCTGATTCCACGAGATATCAGAACTGCCCCTGCCCAGGGACTGTCTCAGAGCAAAGGGTGTGTTTCCCACTGAGACCGAGCTCCCTGCCTGGGAGTCAAAGGGAGTAGAGAAATGGAGAATCTCTATGCCAGGGGCTGAGTTCAGGGGAGAGGGCACTAAAGTTCCATGGGAAGCTAGTATTGGAGCTGTCTCTTGGAGAGTGCTTGGGCTTTCCAGAGAGGGTAAAGGGCCTTGGAGAGCAAAGGTTTCTGGGCCCAAGGGCTTCAGCGCAGCTAGCTTGTCAGGTACAGCTGTAGGAGGAGCACTGAAATGGCCTGTCAGGTTGAGTATTTGCGGCTTCCATTGCCAGGCCTTGTAGGCAAAACTGGGGTGCTCCACCCCTCCCGTAACTGTGGCCTGAAGACACAGGATGCACAGATGAGGGGCCATCCCTATGCACTCCTCCTAGACACCATCTTTGTTCTCTGGTGTCTTTAGGTGGCATGAAATGATAAGCCCTGATGGTTTCATTCAAGTTCCATGAGTTTGTCAGCTTCCGGGCACAAAACACAATATTTACTGTGCAGGCACTGAGCCAGAGTGGTGGGTGTGTGTTTTCTGCCTCTGGAAGTGCACCTTCCACTTGGTTTTGGATTAATTAGGCTCTTAAAGACGTGTGGATGGAGCTGACTTGCATACCTGAGGGCAGGGCTTTTCTTCACAAGCCACTGTGCCACATGGCAAACCCACTCTCATGGACGGGAGGGAAAGCCCCAGCTTCCCGAGGGTCCCCAAAGGCATCGGTTGGGCTTAGGACCATAGAAACAGGGAGCATGGCCTCCTGGCTTGGCTCACTTGGAGCCAGCACTCTGAAACATGTTGCTCTTTTTAGAGCACTGAGATGTGGGAGGAAGAGGGAGAAAAAGAAATGACTTGCTCTTCACTAGGGGGTGCGACTTGGGGATCACATTTTCATCGAGGCTTCTGTTATGAATTTTGCCCTTGCAAAATTCATAAGTTGAAGTCCTAACTTCCAGTATCTCAGAATGTTGACTGTATTTGGAGATAGGCCTTTACAGAGGTAATTAAATTCAAAGAGGGTCATATGGGTGGGCCCTAATCCAAAAGGACTGGTATCCTTATAAGAAGAGATTAGGACATAGACACACATAGAGATGACCATATGAGGACACAGGGAGAAGACTCCATCTTATAAGCCAAGGAGAGATGCTTCAGGAGAAACTAACCCTGCCCACACCTTAATCTCAGACTTCTAGCCTCCAAAACTATGAGAAAATACACTTCTGTTGTTTAAGACCCCAGTCTTTATTATGGCAGCCAGAGGAAACTAAGGCTGCTTCTCTGCTGTTAGGAAGCCTAAGACTCACAGGACAACTGGTTAAAATGCAGATTCACGAGCTCACCCTCAATTGATGTTATTTAGGAAGCCTGATACACCACCAATTCCTCTTGCTCAAGAAACTCTGCAGAGTATCCATCCGAAGGATGGGGGCCCTGGGCCACGCTTTGAGAAACCAGGACTAGAATATTGGACTTAGACTCAAAAGTACTGGGTTCGAGACCCAACACTGGGCTTATTCACTCTGGGAGCTTGGTCAAGTGAGGTTGCTTTTTGGGCTTCAATTTCTTCCCATATGGAATGGGGTTGATAGTGTCTTTCATGCCTTGCTCACAGGGCTGCTGATGAACATGTATATATGTGAAAGGAAAGGCTTTGGCTTCCTCTCAGGGGTCCAGGAATGGTTTATTTGTCAGCTTGAGCTGCTGAGCTACCATAACAAAATACAATAAACTTAGGGGCTTAAAGAACAGCTGCCTTCTTGCTGTGTTCTCACATGCTTCGGTGGGGTGGTGGGGGCTGGGGGGTGGAGGGGGGGAGAGAGAGAGAGAGAGAGAGAGAGAGAGAAATACAAACTCCCCGTCTTGTAAGGACACTAATCCCATCATGAGGGCCCACACTCTCAGGACCTCATCTAACCCCAATTACCTCCCAAAGGCCCCACCTCCAAATACCATCACATTGGTGGGTAAGACTTCAACATAGGAATTTGGGCGGCAGCGGGGGACACTGTTCAGTCCATCCCAGGTGGCAATGATGCCAATATGCTTGCAAGTCAAACTTAGACCCTATATGCGACTCCCTAGATCTCTGAGACCCAGGGCCCTCCATTTCAAGTTACTGAACTGTGAAATAAACCTCGAGGCCTTGTTCCTTCTTTGAGGATTCTCACCCTTTCTGAGCAGAGGTGCTCTGTGGCCTAGTGGCCCCAGGATGAGGGAAAAGGAGATGGGGGCAGGGGAGTAGCTGGGGGATCATCAGGCCTTCCTCCTGTGGACAGGCCAGGCTAGTAAAACTCTTCTGGTTATACTCAAATGTGCCGGGGCCTCTTTGGGCCCTCCCTGCTCCGGCACCATGCCCTTGTAGAGGGCAGTCTCAGCATAATGCTTAATCTTCGAAAAGAACAAATCCAACAGCAAATGCCTTGACAGTTAATGTGGCATTTTACTGAAGGTTTCAAGGAGAGACAGGGAGATATATATCACCAAGCAAAATTTATTAAATGCCCTCTTTCAACATCTTGGCTTTTTTCTTAAAATTTATCTTCAATGGCAGCTGCCTCAATTCTTCTCTCTCCCCCAACCCTGTCCTCCCCTCAAGATGGGTTTCAGATCAAGGCTTGGAACAGAGTAAGTTCTCAATCAGAGACTGCTGCTTTCCCCAGGAAATCTAGGACTCTTGTCTTCCCACGTTGACCACTCATTCATTGCAGCAGTCTCATGCCTCACAGAGTTTGCAGAGCAGCCTTACTAGAAGGTTCTCAGTCAGAGATCATTTAGGCCAGCTTTTCATGTTACAGAGGGGAGAACTGAGGCCCAGGAGTGAGAAGGCAGTTTCCTCATAACAAGGAGAATAGAGATAAGTAGCAGAGTGAAGTAGGTGTTTGGCTCCCTTTTGTCTCTGCTTAACTTTTGATCTTGAATGAAGTCCTCATCCATCTGCAGATCACTGTGAAGATGGTGAGCGATGCCACCTGGGCTTTCATTGTCAGTTCAGAGGCCCAAATGTGCTGGTCATAAGCTGTTCATCTCCAGTGTGGAATTAGCTCTTCCCTCTCCCAACCCCCAATCCAGCGCTAACCAGATTTCCAATGGTCTCTGAGTGAAATCTGGATAGGCAGGCAGGAGAAAGGAACACTGCTGAGGTGGCAGGAGAATGAAAGGGGTTTGTTCTGATGGGAAAGTGGACTTGGCAAGAGAGTTGTGGTTTCCTGCTCCAAAGCCATTCTCAGACTCTTGGTTTCTCTCTTGGAATGGGCTGGCGGCATAGTGGGGTAGAAAAAGCCATGGGGTTAGGAGTCTGGAAACCTGGACTCAGGTCCTGGCTTGGCTTCCGCCTCTGAACGTGGCCTTGGTCATAGCCCAGCCTCTGCCTGGGCCTCTTTCCTGCCTTCCAAGTGGGGAGAGTCAGACAGAGGCCCTGCATAGACTGGGGGTGGCAATCTATCACAGGTCCTGCCCATGTGGGCACTGGTGGCCAATCTGCCAGGCCACGCTCTTCTAGACTGCAGTCAGGAGGCAAGATCAGAAGGGACCCGGGCCTTCCTGCCTGGAAGGGATTTGGGAAAGAAGTTGCCTGATTGGTGCATCTGTAGTCCAACAACACTGAAATGGAATTGATATGGCAGAAACAGGCAGAGATTCTGGCAAACACCAAGGGGTGGGGGGCAGAAGTCAAGACCAGAGTGACTGTGGGAGGAGGGACTTCTGGCTCTTAGCTTCCAATCTCATTTATTTTCTTGCTTCCAGAGGAGCCTTCTTGGCTCTTGGAGGAGGGGAGAAACTGTCACAGCAAGCAGCTCACTGTTTTTTTGTGTTTTTGTGTTTTGTTTTTTGTTTTGAGACGGAGTCTTACTCTTTCACCCCGGCGGGACTGCAGTGGCATTATCTCGGCTCACTGCAAGCTCCGCCTCCCGGGTTCACGCCATTCTCCTGCCTCAGCCTCCCAAGTAGCTGGGACTACAGGCGCCCGCCACCTTGCCCGCCTAATTTTTTTTGTATTTTTAGTAGAGACGGGGTTTCACCATGTTAGCCAGGATGGTCTCGATCTGCTGGCCTCGTGATCCGCCTGCCTCGGTCTCCCAGAGTGCTGGGATTACAGGAGTGAGCCACCTCGCCGGGCCAGCAGCTCACTTTTTACATGCACAGAGCTCCAGCAGCAGGCCTGGCAGAAGGCGGGAACCAGAGAGGAGGCCTCTCACAGGGCTCACGGTACTGAGCTGAGCAATAGGACAGCATCATTGGCAAAGCCACAGTCGACTCCCACTCTGTAACTGGTCTCCCTGCCTCCATTCTTGCTGTGCCCTCAACCCACTCTTGGCTCAGGAGCTAGAGTGATTTTAAAATGCAAATCACTTTACTTCCCTGCTCCAACCTCCCATGGCTGCCCATTGCAGGGAGAATAAAATTCACCTTTCCTATCCTGATCTCCAAGGCCCCAAGTGACCCAGCCCCACTTAACATGCTAACCTCATCTGGTGCTGTCCTCCCCTCATTCTCCATATGCCAACCTCATGTGCTTTCTTTCCCTCTTTTCCTTAAACAGACCAAGCTCAGTCCCACTTTAGGGCCTTGGCACTTGCTTTCCTACTTGCTGAGAAAACTCTGCCTCCCAGATTATTATGTGACTGGCTCTTTGTTTGTTAACCGGTCTCAATTCAAATGTCATTTCCTCAGAGATGCCTTCTTGAAACCAGCCAAACTGAAGAAGCTACAGGGCTATGAGCACTGTGTGTTTGTTTACTTGCTTATTGTTCATCTTTTCCACTTGAATGTAAGCTCCCCAGGGCCAGGTCATTGTTGTTTTGAACTTCACTGTATTTCCAGTGTCTGACACTTAGCAGGCACTCACGGAATGCTTAGGGGAGTGAATGAATAATGAATGAATGATGTGTAGAAGTTAACCAGGGAAAGGTAATGGTGAGAAAGGCAACGTGTCCAACCCGCAGCAGAATTAGCCACTCTGGTCTCTTGGCTCTCATGTTGTGATCACGATGTGTGCTAATGTACCTGCACACATGGCCACCTCTCCCAACAGACACTAAACCCCATAAGGCCCAAGATCTTTTCTGTCTTGCTCAGCATTGCATACTTTGTACCTCAATATTCCTGGCACATTGGAGGTCCTCAGTAATCTTTGTTAGGTGACTGAATGACTAATCTGTCCTCAATCAATGGAGCATAGAAAGAACCAACACATCTGTCTTTTATAAATGGGAAAACCAAGGCTCAGGGACACTTGTACATGGTAACACCTGAGTCAGGCCAGAATGCAGGTCTTAGCAGCAGGACTATTTTCCTGTAAATGATTTGAAAGTTGGCCCAGCTGAGATGTCTTTTCAAAGCTGAGTGACTAAACACACCGAAGGCCAATCCATCATTTTGCTTGAAGAAGCCGGGAATCTTGTTATGGAGGCAAAGGGCATACTCGATGAAATGCTACATCATCCAGGACTGGATTAGCCTGGACAAGATACAGGAATAGAGGAGCTACATTGAACCCTGGTAAACACCTGCCCTCACTAATAGGGATCCAGGCTTATCTTCCACTCTGCTAATGCCTCCTCTTCCCAGAAACCCTAGCCAGACGCCCTCATCCTGTGGAAGGTGTTCCTATCTGCTTCAGATGATGGGGTCAGTAACAGGATTGATGTTTACTGAGAGCTCTGCAGAGTTAAGGATTAAAAGAGGCAGACTTTAGAGTCAAAAAGATCTGGGTATGAATCCTATCTTTTCTATTTACAAAACTTGCCCTTCATCAACTGATTTGCTTCTCTGAACCTCAGTTGCCTCCTTTAAAATTTTGGAGTAATAAGAATAAGATCTATCATGTAGGACTTTTTGTAAGAATTAGGGGTGATAATGTGAATACCTAGCAAACTGTGCAGCTTTCTACTCATTCTCTTCTTGGGTCTCTAGGAGTCTGCTCAGTTTGTATTCAAGTGATTGCTTATGCTCTTCAAAAACAAAACTGTTGTGATTTCATCTCTATAGTCTCATGGAAGCCCAGTACAGACCTGGGCACAGAGTGGGTGCCCATGCAGGCTGCCACCCTGTTTGGAGCTCTAATGCTCAATGAGGATAGGCAAAGCTATTGCTAACAGAGGTCTTTACACTTGTGTAAAACACTTGGGTCTTTACATGTATGCAGTTGAGGTCAAGGACACCATGCCCACCTCTAAGAGACAGGAAGACCCTGCTTCTGTGCAGGCAGGATGGGCCATGATAATTCAGTCGGCCTCTCGGCAGTTCCAGTGCATGGAGGCAACCTCAACTCTGGACTCACAGCTCTTCCCAGAAGAGATTCAGAAGGTGTGTTTATGTAGTTACTGACTCTGCTCTTGCTCTAGCTCCAGTCAGTCGTGATGGCCTAGCCTACTAGTCACCAACTTGATGGCAATGGAGATGGGCCAGGAAGCCATGGATCCTGTGTTCCTAGCTGCCAGAAGCTGCTGTTTCTCTTCTCTTGGTGTCAGTGACATCACACTATTCCTTTAGATTGTCTTTGTTGTCTCCTTCATGGATTCTTCCTCTTTTTAAATGCTGTTGTTGCCCAGACTTCTTTCCTCTATCCTCTTCTGTTGTCCTTCCACACAGTATGGCTGGATAGTGCATGGTTATTTGCAGGTTGGTGACTTCCCACCTTTATCTTTAGGCACTTGAATGCAAGACCCTAGGTGGTCTCATTCATGCCCGAGGCTTCATTTATCACCTGTATGCAGGAAACTCAACAACTTCTCTCCAATTCACAAGTCTCTTCTGACCCCAGACCTGTACATCTGTCTACTAGACACCTTCACTTGGATATCCCACAGGCACCTTATATCCCACATGTGCAAAACTGATCTCCTGGCCTCTTCCAGTGTCCCCATCCGAGTGAATCCTGCTTCAGGCACTCAGTTGGCCAAACTAAAATTGAGGTAGCATCCCTTCCCTCTCCCTCTTCCTCTTGCCACCTCCCACTCGCTGCCACTTACAACCATTGCTCTTAAAATAAAGACAAAAATACTATATATGGCCTAAAAGCCTTGCACGTTCTGGTTCCTGTCTATTCATTCTGTCATGTTTTGTACCATATTCACCCTTGATCATGCTGTTTAAATCACAACACTATTATTTCTGTTCCTTGAACACATCATGCTTCCTTTTACCTAAGGGCCTTTACACTTATCTATTCTTCTCCCAGATCTTCATCTCCTTAATCCCTCTTCATCCTTCCGATTACAGATAAAGTGTTAATTTCCTCAGGAGGCCCTTCTCTGACTTCAAATACCCCTTAGAAGGTGTAAGTCTCTTTTAGAGGGTGTTTTAAAAAAGTAATAGACTTTATTTCACGGTTTTTGATTTACAGACAAATTGAGCAGATAGTACAGTGTTCCCATGTACCTCTCCACCTCAATTTTCTTTATTATTCACATGTTACTTCAGTGCAGAACATTTGTTGCAATAATGAATCAATATTGATATGTTGTTATTAACTAAAGTTCGTAGTTCATTCATATTTCTTTAGTTTTTACATAATGTTTTTGTGTGTTTCAGTATACCACACTACATTTAGTTGTCGTGTCTTAGGCTTCTCTTGGCTGTGACAATTTCTCAGACTCCTTGTTTTTGATGACTTTGACAGTTTTGAGGAGGACTGATCAGTTGTTTTGTAGAATGTCTCTCTCGTGATTTGCCTGATATTTTTCTCATGATTAGACTGGGGTTATGTATTTTGGGAGGGGAATCACGGAAGTAAAGTGATATTTTCATCACATCATATCGAGGCAACATACTGTGTACGTGATATATGACATTGATTCTGATTGTGATCACCTGGCTAAATTTATGTCCATCAGGTGTCTCCACCTCTAAAATTACTCTTCCCCCCTTGCCATACTGTACTCTTTGGAAGAAAGCCACTATGTGCAACCCACATTTAAGGAGTGGGTGTTATGCCCCTCTTCCTTTAAGGTGGAGAAGTTACATAATTTATTAAAACTTGTATGCCTGAGAGGCTATCTTTTCTTCCCCATTAATTAATTAATGTATATTGATATATACTCAGGGATATTTATTTTATACTTTGGGTTATATTCTAATATTGTTTTATTTATTTTGTTGCTTATATTACTCTAGCTTTGGCCATTGAGAAGTCATTTTGTTGGCTCCTGTGTCACTTTGATATATTCCCATCATGGTAAAGATTTGTTTTGTTTTAGCACTTTTTTATTTTACTTTCTGGTGCTACAAGATACTTTAGCGTTATCCTGTATATTTTCTAGTCCTAGAATAAGTCTTTTCTCTAAGGAGCTCTGGTTCCTTTTATTGGAGAATGGTATTAGAAACCAAGATCTAAGTGTTAGGTGTGCTAGCATTAAAGCACTTTTATTAGTCACAATTTTATTTCTATTTGTGTGATTATTTAATACACATCTTTATCATCCACAAGGTGTTCAAGGTGGGGGCCATGTATACTTTTGCTCTTGCTATGTCCCCAGAGCCAAGCACAAGCTCTGTTAAGTAATATGCACTAAAATACTTCTACAAGAAGGCCAGTTAATGTTTTACGGAAATGTCTTCCTCTAGGTTATCCAGGACGAAAACATAGAATAATCTAAGTCTCTGTCATCTCTCTCACCCTTCATGTCCGATCACCAAGTTCTGATGATTCTATTTCTGGAATGCATTTCCTAAGTTCCACTCTAATACTACACTTTTTCAAGCACGTATTTCCTGTCCATGGATAACCCCAATAGCATTCCAAGTGGTATCCATGCTTCCAGTCCAACCTATACTTCATATTGCTATAAAATTTATCTTCCTAAAGCACAGCTCTGACAAAGACACTTCTTTAATTAAAAACTCATTACAGAAATGGAAAAATATACCATATACATGAACTGGAAGACACTATTTGTGGAGTGTCAACTCACAAATAGATTTACAAATTTATAGATTTTATTTAATAGATTTATAGATTTAACACAAGCATGTCATCATCATGACAATTTGTTTTGGTAGAAATTAACAAGCTGGCTCTAAGAGCTATATGGAAATGCTAAGGACCTAGAAACCTAGAGTAATTTTGAAAAATATGAGCAAAATTACAGGATGAAACTTAACCTGACTTCAAGATTTGCTCTAAAGCTATGTTAATAAAGATAGTGTATTACTGGCATAAGTCTTGACCAATATATTGTGTGACAAATACAGAGTCCAGAAATAGATTCACATTTATATAGTCATATTATGTTTGACAAAGGTGCCAAAGCAATCTAATAAGAAAGGGAAAGTCTTTTCAATAAATGGCACTGGAAGAACCAGCTATCCATATGAATAAATGAACCTTGAACCTTACTTCACACCCACCATACATAAAATGTAACTGGGGAGAGATCCAGGGACCTAGACATAAAGTAAAAGACCACAAACCTTTTAGAAAAGCATTGCTTCATCCCTTAGGCTAGTCAAATGTTTCTGAGGATACAGAAAACAGAATTAACAAGGACAATTGATCAATTAAACTTCATAAAAATTAAAAACTTCTGCTCATCAAAAAACTGCCAAGAAAATGAATAGTTAAGTTACATATTGTGAAATATTATTTACAAAACATATATTTGACAAGGGACTGGTATTCAGGATATGTAAAGATCTTCTACAATCCAATAATTAAAAGACAAACAACCAATTAAATGTGGGCAAAAATTATTGAATGAACACTTCACAAAAGAAGATATACAAATGGTCAATAAGCACAAGAAAGATTGCTCACATTATTTGTCATCTTGGAAATGCAAATTAAAATCACAATGAGATACCACTACACAGTCACCAAGGTGGTTAAAGATGAAAAGACTGACAATACCAGATGCCGATGAGGATGTGGAGAAAGCCAAATTGTCACACATTGTTGGTAAGAATGTAAAATTATACAATCACTTTGGGAAAAGTCTAACAGTGTTTCATAAAACTCAACATCCACCTACCCTAGGCCCACTCATTTGACCTCCATGTATTTACTCAAGAGCAATGACAGTATATGTTTATAAAAAGAATCATACAAGAATGTTCATAGCAGCTATATTAATAATATTAATAATAGCCTAAAACTGGAAACAAGTCAAGAGTCCATCAATGGGAGAATGATAAGCAAACCGCATAAAGGTGGATATACAAACTGGATATACAAAATGTATGAACAAACCATGGCACATTCATCCAATGAAGCACTGCTCAGCAATAAAACAGAATTGCCAAAGCGCATAACACAATGGATGAATCTCAAAAGCATCATGCCAAGTGAAAGAATCAAGATGCAAAAGAGTGCAGTGTTGTTCAGATTCAGATTTCTGCTTTCTCCAGATGACACTGTGAAAGAGATTAGTATTAGGCTGTGGCTTTATTTTGTTATTTTGCTTTTTTGTCTACGTAACAAGATCTAAGTTAATTTCTCCCCCGAATGTCTCTCCGTTTATCTCAACATACTTCTATGCTGATTTGAGTTGTCTCCTTTATCATATATCAAATATTCATATATTTGAGTCTGCTTGTAGACATATTCTGTACACTAATCTGTCTCTTCTGTCACATCCCATGGTAATTACTGTGACTTTAGAATACATTTTAACATCTTCTGTGGAAAGTATCCCCTTGTTTATTTTTTAAAAATATTTCTGGCTATTATATTATTTATATTCCAGATTAACTTTTTTTTAGTTTTTGAACTCTGTCTTTAATATGAAAATATAAGCCAACTTGTTTTTACTTCTGTGGCTTTCTTATTATGGGCCACATGCCATTCAAACAAAGAATGAGGCATGATCTATATTCTATGCCTTTCCATGAACTGTTTTGAATTAAATGCATGAAATTAACACATGATAATCCAGAATTTAAAAGTTTTGCTACTTTCAGTTTGTTTGAATTGAATTTGTCCAGACTAACTTTAGAATAAACCTACCTAAGCTCCCCAAATTCCAATTGGAAATATATGTTAAGTGCAGATTGATTTGGAGAAAATTGACATTTATTTGGTAATCAGGTTTCCCATATGGGAATAAACTCTCTTCATTTGTTTAAATCTTCCTAAATGACACACGATAAAATTTTCTAGTTTTTGTCATTTTGTGAAAATTGAAGTGGCTAATAAGGCAGGGATGTAGCAACGCAAGGTGGGTCCACTAGTCCAAAGTCGCTCACTGGGCAGGGAGCTAGCCAGGGAATAACAAACCACAAGGATCTCTCTTCCTCTCCTCATGTGGCAACAGCCCCTCTCTTCTGGTCTGGCCCCTTTGGCTAGTGAGTGTTCACTAGCCATTTGTACATGCTTTATCTTTATTTCAGAAACTCCCTTTGGGGAAAGGCTTAATGTTCTATATCTGCACTGTCCAATATGGTAGTCACTATTAGACAATGATGATCTGGGATGTTGATTTCTAGGTAAGCCTGGGATTTGGGAGGTGGTATTATAATTCTAATTATTCACGTGAATACTTTGGCCACCAAAGTCACAGCATCAGGAGGTTGTTAGCTGTCCTTAGCTCCAATATCCAAACACACTAATGCCATTTATGGAAAGGCCCTTTTTGATCTTTTTTGCTGGTAATAACCTCTGGCTATCTGAGTGCTCCTGGGGCAATACAAGTTCAGTCAGAGAACTCTCTGGTGATGCTTGAGACGGACAGAATTCTCAAGCCTCCTTAGTTTCATTCATGATATGCCATCAGACTTTGGTCCTATGAATCAAGAACTTGGATAATTTGTTTTCTGTAACCTCCACATGAAAGAGGAAGTAAAGTCTTCTCTAGGGCCCTCCATTGTCACTGCCATATGGGCCGACTGGAAAACGGGAAGAACATCCAAGGGGAAGACAGTGGTCTGCACACCGATGTTTGGGCTGGGACCTATACAAGGGAAGGCCTCCAGGAACTGGAGGCCTGCTCCAATTGCTGCGAATAATCAGTGAGGGGGTTCAGCCAGCGGTCATTGCCATGAGTCACAGAGCTAACAGCCAAGGCCAAACCACAGGCCAGGAGTGACACACTGAGATTCTGGGACCAGGCAGTCTCTGCTTAGACTTGACCAGGAGAGGTAGCAGTGGAAGGCTGGAAACAGAGAGCGATGAAAGAAGGAATGCTAGCAGATACCAAACTTCTGGGCATTCAGAGTCATTCCTGAGATGGTTGGTCATGTAGTGTGGAAGAGGACTCACCTGCAAGGTTCCTCAGAGTGGATCAGCTAAGACCAGAAGCTAGATGAGTGGCTGAGGCAGGCAAGAAACCCCAAACGGCAAAGTTAGCAGCAGGGATGCAGGATAGGGGCTGAAATGGAATACAGGCTTCTCTGGGACTGGGCTGAAGATCTAGGTTTCTAGGTGTAGATGTCTGGCCAGACAGAGGCTGATTAGGGGAAAGAGTGGGGCAGAGATAGGCATTTTAGGAAAATCCACGCCAGTCCAAAGTGGGCAGAGGCCCTGTTGGAAGCTGAGTCCCAGACTGGTCATGGTAGAAATGGCAGGTGTGATTGCAAGGACTCACAGGGTCTCAGATAAGTCTATAGACAGAGATGGACAAAGGGCTAATAGGGACCTCTGGGTTCTGTGAAACTCTCCAGGTGTGTCCTTGTGACTGGCCTTCTTCCCAGAACTCCCCTCACTTCCTTTCCATTGGCTCTATGGCCATTGTCAGCTTGCACTCCACTCCTCTTTCCCTTTTGTGCTCCTCTCCTTCGTTTGGACAATGACATGTGAGTCTTCCTGGCTCCCAATTTCATTTCTCCTGTCCTAAAGAAGTAACAGGCTTTTTGTACTGAGGACTTCTGGGAGATATTCTGGAATCTTTCAAAGGCCTCCTATACAACCCTTTTTGTCTGGTTTTCATCTCCTCACTTTTCCTTAACTTCCTTTGTGATAGTGCCCATAATCCCATGCCTCAGAATTTCTCTACTATCCCGGATGGAAAAGCTCATCACACTTTTCCTATTTCTTTGAACTCTCCCATTTCCCAGAGTGACAATTTCTTGTCTCCAAAGCCTTCTTCCTAGTTTTTATCTAAAAAAATTTTATAAACCACAATGGATGCCTATCTTCCAATCAGACTTAAATGAGTCTTTCCCATCTCAGAGGCTGTAGATGAAGCAACTCTCATGTCCCTGGAACCCTATTCCTGCCCCATGGAAAAAGCCACAGTTGGGCATTTCCTACAAGGAACTAGAGTAGAGCTACAGTGGAGGACTCTGACGCTGGGTCTGATTTCACAGCACATGTGGAAAAACATTTATGTATGCTTGTTTAGAAATCTAATTATGGTCTTGGAATATTCTTTTAAACATTCCATTCTGGCATTATTCAGTTTCCCAAGTCCAAATCCTAACAGAAAAAAAGTTTAGGGAGTGGTAATTTCTAAGGGATCATCCAACATATATTATGAATACCATACACTCTGGCTTAGAGGGCAAGGGACTTAGTTTTAAAGAAGGAACATTTAATCCCTCTTAACTGAAGAAAAAACAATCACAGGGTTTCATGCTGGAAAGTAGCCCATACATGGCTATCTTTATTTCTCTTTTGGCTTCTTTCAGATTCCTTGGAAACAAAGTCAGGAGCACTATAATGAGGAGAAAATGACAGCTCTGATTAATGACTTCAGAAGATGGCTATTAGAAAAGAGCCACAAGAATGATTCCTTCAACGTTGCAGCTCATGACCAGGGGAGAGTGGTGTCAAAGGAAATACGGCCAAGTCATTCTTCTTTCTTAGATTCTTTGCTTGAGATAGCAGACAGTCAAAAATTTGAAGGAAGCTTAGTATAAACCTGGCATAGAAACCAGTGGATTAAGTAAGAGAAAGAGAGGGAAAGTACTAGAATTAATGAATTTAGGCTTATCAAGTAAGTGTTTTTTTTTTTTCTTCAAAGTTCTTAGGGGCTTGTGTTTCCCTAAATCTTGCTTTAGTTTTGTATCACATTTAAATAGCCATTCTAGTTTATCTTGTTGCTTCGCCATATTAGTAAAGTGCTTTCCTTGTTAGGTTAAAATTTAGTAGTAAAGCTTATTAATCTCATTTATTTAGCCATTCCCCAACAAAGTCCCACTGTTTGTACCAGAAAGACATAACCAAGGCTCTGATACCTACTACTCGGTGGCCGTCCTAACTGTGGGATGATACTAGAGAGGAAATAGCCATCTTCTTAGAGTCTGCCCACACAATCTCACATTTGTACAATACTGGCAATTCTAAATCTGTTTGATGGACAAGGTGCCCACTTAACGTCCTTGTGATGGGGATTTGTGGGAAACAAGACCCAGCTGAGACTTCCAATCCAGAGAACCTCAGGTAGCTCACTGGCCCCATTTCTGCCTTTTGGGGGATTATCAGTGTGCCTGACTTTGCCTTGGAGATTGGCCCCTTGCTGATAAACTACGTATGGTCTTGGAGGTCACAGAAGGAAGAGACACAATAAATTATCCTCTAATTGACTAGAACCAATGAATCTGACCTTTTCTGAACAAAGCTATGAATCTTTCAACAGTGAAGCAGCTACTTGGCAGATTAGTCATTGTCAGGTTTGTAAAGGGCTGACCTACCCAGACAGAATGGCTCCCCAATATTGGCAAGATGGAAGAATCTGCACTCACACAGCTAAGCCCACCTCTGCATATTGTCAGGGATTTGGTTGCTTATGTGTTTTGGAGGGAGGTGCATGTGGGGCAAACTAAGGAATAGGTCAGAAATGGTTGACAAATTGGCAAAGATCGAAGGCTAGCTAGGTCATCAAGGCGTTAAAGTGAACATAGAGTACCAGATTTCAGGAATGACCAGGAGACAGGTGGGCCAGACAGTGGGGAAGAAAGCCACAAACGAGGAAAAAAACATTTAAGGCAAACTGAGGAACATAGGAATCAGTAGGCTCTCTCCATAGTGCTCATGGGGCCTCCAATTCTCTAGCAGAGAGCTGTGTCTGGCTCAGGTAGAGCCTAGTCTTCCTAGGGTCCTGGAGAGACCTGCATAGAGAACTGCTTTCCTGAGCTGCAGAGGACATGGTCAACCATTCCTGTTGGCTACAGTCAATTCTGCTCTGGTGGGAACAAGCTAGCTTGAAGTTCCAACTATGGAGTATATCTCATCAATCAAATAAACTTTTATTTTCTGACACCTACATTGCTCAGAAAACTGTTTGAGGCCAGGCCAGGCCAACGCAGTTGGAAGGCACTGGCTATAGAACAAAGCTCAAGACCTTCATCCACCTTGAGACTCTCTGAGCTGGTCCCAGTCTATCTTTCCAGGTTCACCTGCTACCTCCATCCCTCACTAGTGAAACCTTTTCTTTAGTCGCATGGATTGACTTGCTGCTCCCCAAACTCATGCCCCTCCCTGCTACTGTGCCTTTGCTCAAGCTTTTCTTTTCATCCCTCTGACAACTCCCCCCAGACCTCACACATTCATCACCTACTCATTCTTCAAAGCCCAGTCTAATGCCACTTCTTCCAAGATGGCCGCGCTGATATGTGCCTCACAGTTGGAATAACTTTCCCTTTTTGTGCTCCCCGCTTTACTTGTCTTCTGTTTGGTGGCAGACTTAGGTATGTGCAAGTGCCCTGGGGGAGCTGTTGGCAAACAGGGACCAAGGCTGACTCAGCCCTGATCCCTCAACAGAGCTTGCCCAAATCCTCATCTGGAACAGGTTCGAAATACACGCTTGGTGGAATTAAATGCATTTCTTCCATCTCAGAGAAGTAGAAAATCTTTTTTTCCTTCTTCTTCTAAACTTTCTCAGTTTTGATTTATGGAGTTCATTAACTTAGTTATTTTCCTCTCTTCTCATCCTTTGTGCCTGGTTCTCTAGAAGGCTGATCTTTTAGTTCCAAGGTAGAATTAAATAACTAACCTTTGTGGAGCACTTTGTAGTTTTCAAAGCACTTTCCCATCCACTACTTAATTGATTTCCTCAGCCACCCGTGAATTATACCCAATTTAGAGCTGAGAAATCTGTCTCCTATGTGAAGCAACTTGTTCAGGTCAGAGCAATTAAGGGGTCAGCCAGGGACTAGAGCCCAGACTGTCTGCCTCTAAGTCATGTCCTCCCCACTAACAGCAACCACACAGCAGAAACAACTGCCCTGAGCATTTATTGACCTCTCACTCAGTGCCAGGCACTGTGCTGTGCACCTCACATGGGTTATCGTGTTTTATTCCAACAATAATTTTGTGAGGCAGGTGCTATTATTATTTCCAGTTGAGAGAGGATTTGATGGTTTAGAGAGCTTGGGCAACAGATTGAAGGGCACATGGTCAATAAGTGGTAGAGCCGGCACTTAGATCCAGATATGGCAGACTCCAGTGAGCCTGGTTGCGCTGAACTGCAGCTTCTAATCTGTGCTCCCCCGTGCACTGGTGAGAGCTGGTGCTTTGGCATTCCCAGCTATCTGTGTGCACGCACCTGCTAGGCTAGAAGAACTAGCATTGCCCCTGGAGTCAGAAGCCTTGAGCACCACTCCTGGTTTGGCTACCTGCATGGAAAAAATCACTGACTATTTCTGAAACTCAGGTTTTTAATAGGCAAAGAGAAATTATCTTTCTATGTGTCTGGGCATTGAAGAAAGGCTGGAGAATACAAGGCAACTGGGTTTTCCCTGACTCTTGGCAAGGCTGCCAGTCACATTTTATTTGCTAGTCACATCTGGTTTAACCCAAACTTCGTTCTGTGTCCAAATAAGTTATTCTGAGGCCTTTTCCTACGTCTCTCACACCCAATCACAGCCTCACCTCCTTTTTCATCCACCCCAGGAGACTTATCTCCTGTTTTGACTCATGTGAAGCCATTAACATGAAACAGTGTGCAGTGGTCCGTAAGAACTTGGACCATGCTGTCTCACAGACCTGGGCTTGAGTCCTGTCTCTCCCACTGGCCAGCAATGTGATATTTGATCTCTATGAGTTTTATTTCCTTCCTCTGTAGAATATGGGTAATCACTGTACCTACCGTACGGGTTCTTGTGAAAATGACACCAAATAATACCCAGACGACACTCAGCACAGCACAGTGTATATGCTTAAAAGGTGGTGGTTGTAAGTGGTATAATTTATGCTGTCAAGCCTAAAATGCTGACATTTTCTCCACCTCAATATTTCTTCTTTCCTTGATCCAGTGGTCCAGCCCTCTCTACTGGAACTCTCTCCCAGCTTCCTGAGGTCCCAGCTTTGTGAGTTGTCACCACCCATGCTTATTTTCAGCCTTTCTGGCTCTGCTGGCTCTAGTCTTGCAGCCTAGAATATGCTTAGGTAGTTCCTAGTTTCCTGGAGAGTGAAGTTTGCCTTCAAAGTCATCTCTTCCTTGCCTTGGCTCCCTCCTCAACTCCCAGCCATCTGTTCCTGGCTCTCAGTACTCTCCAGATCATGATCCTACCACAGTTACTGAAGACCTAACTGGCAAATTCAATGGCTTTTTCTTGGCCTCCACTTCCCCAAGCCCTCTGCACAGAGCTGCTAACTTCACCCTCCTGAGATGAAGTTCTTTACTTCCCAGCTCCTTTCCCTCACTCATGTTGTAGTCGTGGTTTTCTTCTCTTTCACCAAATACACCTTGCATTTGAGTTGCCCAGAAAGTTTCTGAAAACAACCATGAACAAAACACTGAGACAAGATTACTGGGTTCTTTCGAACCCTGTTGACTCCTTTGGCTCCTCTCCCTTCTCCCATCTCCTAACAGATGAATTTCTTAAGCTTCTGTCCTTGGACCAGGTCTCTATCTTGACACTTTCTCCCTTGGAGATCTCCAACACTCCCACAGTTTTTGTGCTCATTTCTGTGTGGCTGGTTCTCAGGTCCTTATCTTCAGTCCCATTCTCATCTGAGCCCCAGATTCCCATCTCCACATGCCTGTTGGATGCCCAACCAGACACAGAATCTTCATGCATCAGAAGAAACACTGTCTCCCCCACCAAACCTGCTCTGCCTGCTTAGCCTATTTCTGATCATGGAACTAACACCCCCTAATCACCAAGGCTTTAGACCTATGAGCCATCTAGGAGAACCTCCTTTGTATCTCCCCCCACCAGAAAGCAGGTCCTAGGAAAGCTGCTCATATAGTGGGGATACTCTTCACCCCTTCTTTCCAAGTCTGCTAGCCTTGCCTTTTTCAAGCTTTCACTATTCTCACCTTGTGTCTCCTGCGTGGTCCCCTGACATCCAATCTTCCTTCCTCCCAACCCCTCCCTCACATCAGCAGCTAGAAGGATCTTCTTACAACCTAGATCTGATTACTTCTTTCCTCTTGTGAGATGCCTCTTCTTTAAATTATAGGGAATTTAAATTTCATATATTTCCAGATAATATCTACACATGGATACCATGGAAAATTGTTCACCCCTCTCTCTGTCTCTCTATCCATTCTCATCTCTAATAATGAACTTAAAGGCAAGATTGGAGTAAGGCTTGCCTTGACAATCATTATTGTGTGGGGGTTGAAGTTACTTTTAATGTTCTTTGGACTTGTCTATATTGATTTAATTTCTAATTACGAGAACACATAAATTTTACAAAAATAATAAAGTCATTCCTCAGGAAAAAAAAAATAAACCACCAGTTGTTCCACATTATCACTGTAACTGGGACAAAGTTCAAACTCCTTCATGTGGCTTAAGGTGCCTTCCATGATTGACCTCTGCCAACCTTTCTTTCCTCACTGAAGGCCACTCCCCACTGCTTGAGCTCCAAGCACATTGACATTGCAGTCATTGGTCAGAATGGTCACTTATTGTCACCTCCAGGGCTTTGCTTGTGTCTGTCCTCTTGTCTCCAGTCCCATTGACCTTGTCCCAGATCTGTTCCTATCACTTCCTGCCTGGGCTATGGAATGAGCCTTTTTTCCTATCCAAACTCATCTCGTTCCTTTTCATTTTGCACACAATACTGGAATCATCTTCCTGGAGCACAGGAAAAATCTTCCTAGTTTACCTCGCTGATGCTGAGCCTGAGGCCTGATTCCTCATTGGGAACTCCTATAATCTGGTTCTAGTCAAGTTTTCAGCTCCATGCTCTTATCCTGCACATTTTCCTGGGATTCTGACACTCTTACAGACTCATTCTTCCTAGTACATGCCTAGCCCTTCCTCTTTCCTCTTCTTCACTACTTTCGAAAGTGGGTTTATCCTGCCCAGTGAGGCAGACAATGGGCAAAATAAGGTGACTCTGTGGACTACTGGGTCTTGCTTCATTCTTAAAGTGCAGCCCTGGTTTCAGAGGTATTCACTGGCAACCAGGAAGTCAACCTTCCCCTTGAGTGCAGCCAAAGTGCTGCGGGAGAGTCAGGACTGGGAATACAGACCCAGACCAGGGACCGAGACAGTGGCTAAGAAAATACCCAGGTGGGGGACCAGGTGGCCAAGGTGTGCTTTGCCACCCCTTGTTTGTCTGCTGTTTGCAGACATGATCTTGTACATGATCTTGGTGACTCACCTTCTTTCCCAGATACACCACAGGAGGCAGAAGGAGTGAATACCTTCAGGCATCAAACGGGCCTCAACCACTCAGGTCCTAGGAAGGCCAGCTCACCACAAACATAAGTGTGCTGCAGAATCACAAAGCCCTGCAAACAAAAGGCACTGCCATGGGTAGCCTCCACCCCCTTATCTCAGTCCTGCTAAGCTCCATTGGTCTTATGCTACTGAGAAGGTGAAGGGCAAGGTGCCTAGGTGAGCCACCATCACCATCCCTCCTAAGCCTGGCTTCATCTCCACAAGAGAGCTCTTTGCAGAGATTACTTAACTACTACTCAGGCACCACAAACACAATATGTCCAAGACAGAGTCCAGCACTCCCTCCCCCCTACCTGCCACCACCACCACAAGCTGTTCTTCCTTTTGCATCCCAGATCACAGCTAATGGTGCCACCATCCTCCTCATCCCTGGCTCCACTTATGCATCATGCTGTTTCACATCTCACTGCCTTCACGCATGCTGTGTACTTGCTTGCAGTAACTGTGCCGTTCTCCTTCACTTGGTGCCCACCAACACTTGGCTCAGTGGTTAACTCCTATGCAAATTTCCCCCTTTGCCTTCCCATGTTCCTGAAGCAGGATGTGGAGCCTCTCCTTTGTGCTCCTCAGCAACTAGGGATACTTCATTGTCATTGGCACTTTCTTGTCCTGTTTTTCCATTAGACCTGGAACTATTTGTGTGCAGGCACTATGTATTATGTACCTGTGTGTTCCTATTTCTAAACACAAAACTCTGTATATACATGACGTTCGGTAAGAGCTAGTTAATGTATTTTATATATTCATAAATTATAATGTATTACATGGATTAATAAAGCGTCACCTATTTCCTGGCTCTTACATCCTGAATTCAGTCATTCACTATGTTCCATCCCTTTATCTTCTTAATTATCTCTTGATCCAGTCTACTTCTCTTCAGCCTAGGACCTTCCTTCTAGTTGAGGACACCACCATCTCAATGCCCAACCATCCCCACCTCCTGAGTAGTCTTCCGAACACCACTTTTTGTCTCCTGCAGTCTGTTCTCCACACTGCAGCCATATGGAGCCTTTCAAGTATAAATTTGCTTATATCATCCTTTTGCTCAGAACATTCCAGAAGCTTGGCACCACCCTCAGCACAAAGTGCAAGCCCTCAATGGCAGCTCAGGCAGCCCTCCCTAGCCTCATCTTCCACACTTCTTTTCTGGGGTCCTGGAGTCTAAGCAGACAAAACAACTTGCTGTTACCTTCAATTGCTGTTTTTTTTCCACCTCCATTCCTTGCTCGTGCTGTTAGGTCAACCTGGAATCCCCTCCCTTATATCCCATCTGTCCATATCATTCCCCTGATTTAAGGCTCTACCTCAGTGCCCTCATCCAGGAGGCCTTGGGGAGCCTGGCCACCAATAGATCAATGGCTTGCACCAGGGATATAAGTCTCTGAGAAAGGACAAGGCACTGTCTGGGTGGTTTTTCATGAGATCAGGAGAAGCTAGCACCCAGAGATTTCCTTGTGCACAGATAGATGACTTGGCCAGAATTGCAAGGAGACTTTTAACAAAATGAGTCTTTTAGGTCAGGAAGGATGACAAGGCAGTGACTAAATAAGGTGGGAGTGGAAGGAGCTCCTATGCTCAGAAATCTGTCAGGAAAGGTAGAACTTAGTACAGGGCACATCTCTGGGCAGGATTCAGGGGCTGCTAAGTCAGGGCTGGGGGATTCCTAAGAAAGCAGCTTTGTTCTGAATTCGGGGAGGGGGTCAACAAAAGCAGTATTTACGGAGTGCCTACTCAGTGCCAGGTACTGGGTAGGCCTTGCAGACATGGAAATGACGCAGAGTTGATTCTTGCTCTGTCTCTTCCTTCAAGAAACTTCTGGTCTAGACTGGAAGGGGTTACATCATCAGTCGACTCGTGAGCTGAAAAATCTCCTGTGTGTCTGGAATTAGGAGGGAGAGAAAGGGTGGGAGGGAGGGAAGGATGGAAACTGGGAAGGGTCAGCAATGTCCCCAAGCCTAGCCTGTGGAGACATGGAGACCCTACTTCTCCCCCCATCTCAAACATGCAGTGATTTATTCTACCAAACTTGGGATGATTTAGTGCTGGTAATGCTTTGCACTGTGGAGAGGGGTGGAGGGAGGGGCCATCTTTTGGGTTGCTTCCTCAGTTCCTATTTTCTCATACTTCAGAGGTTTGGAAGTTTTGAAACAGCTTATGTGGAATTTCTGGGCCTATACTCTTCTTTCTCTCAATTCCCCTAGAATGTCTTAAACGTCTACCCTCAGCCCTGCCTTCTTTCATTGATAGATGTGTCTAGAGGGCCACTCTGGCTTAGGAGGTGAAAAATGAAACACAGTTGGTCCTAATTACTTGCTTCGTCAGGTGCTTTATTGACCAGGATAGCTATGGCCTTGCTTCTGAGCCTGTCTTCAAGTCATTGTGGCTGTGTCGATAACAGTGCCACCAACTTGTTGTCTTAATGGCTGAGGCCGATTGACCGTTTGCTGACCTAATTGATTACTTGATTCCCAACTAGAATCTGTCCCAAATAGCACCTTTAGAGACCACGTGGCTCCCTCTCTGTGCTTTCAGCACAATCACTTCAACTTTCTGTGTTTTGGTTTCCCCGTGAAGTCAATAGGTTTGTTGTGAGTAGGTGTACCGATTTTCAGAGATTACCCAAAGGGTTTAGTGGACGCTGAGGACAAATGTACCACAGTGAGTAAGACTTGCTGGTTCCAAGCTGTTCCTGGAGGTCCCTTAGGACCTCCAAGGATAGCAGAGTGGGTGCAAACCATGTGTATGCACAGGCACCTGTGTTTGAACATGAGGTTGTCTCTCCCTGGAGTGCTCCCTCCATTGCCGCGCTACCCACTGCCATGGACTAGGTAACTCTGATCTCAGCCTCCCTATCCGTTCCTCGAAGAAGCCTCCTATGAGTGCCTGGATGAGGTCAGGCTTCTTGGGCTTCATTCTGAGCAGCTTGCAAATTTCTTCCTTAGCAGCTACCACAGTTGGTAATATTTATTTGTCTGAATATTTGGTGAATGTCTGTCTCTGCCACTGACAAGTTCTATAAAAAGATGAGCACAACTCTTGCACCCCTGGGACCCAGCACAGAGTCCAGAATATGGGATAATCACCTTTCTTTCCACCCCTGGAGTTGCCACTGTAATCCATGCACCTCTTTCTCCCTTCCTCCCCCTTCCTCTTCCACCTTCACTGGCATGCAGTTTAAGTTTAGCCACCAGTCACCAGCCCTCCTTTGCCCAGCTTGTTCTATCTTCACTCCCTGCACCCCATTCAGATATGCGGAGGCCGTATTCATCTTCCAAAAACATCTGGCTCTAACCATCCTCAGGGGCTCCAGGATCTGCTGAATGGGTATGTCCCTTCTGCTATTGATTTCACCCTCACCTCTCTAGCTGCATCTCCACCACTCTCCACTTCGATGTTTTTGTTTTAGTCAAACCGTTCTTCCCAAGTACTCTATTCCATCCGTCAGTTCCACAATTTTATGCCAATCTAGGTCCACCATCCCTTTCTTGTCTGGCATAAAATATAATTTCCTTCCAGGAGTTTTCCCTGATTAAACCCACTCTCTTCAGACATCTTCTGGTTCAGTTTGTCAAACACAGTTCTCCCCAACAGATTTAATGCAGTTACAGTGAGGTGTCTACCATCATTTAAATTTTATTTAACAATATTGCTGAGCACTGACTGAGTGTCAGACACTGTGCTGGGCCCTGAGGATATGCTATGACCACGACTGACTGATACAGCCCTTTCCCCATGGAATCCACAGTCCTGTGGGGTAGCCAGACATGGGCCAAGTAACTTCAAGTGTGATGACTACTTCCAAAGGCCAAGGGCAGAATGCTCAGAGAGCTGACCCAGCCTGAGGTCAAGGAAGGCCTCCTTGAGGAAGGGCCGTCTGGACTGTAATCTAAGGCTAAGTAGGAGTTAAGCTGGCCAGGAGGTAGGACAAGGGCAGGATAAGAAGGAGTTCTGGGCAGAAGGATGGCCTCATGAAACAGAAGCAAGGGAGACTTTGAGGAGTCGTTTTTCCGGCTGGAAACTGGTGGCACCTTTGCCCAAGTTCTTGTCCTGCATCCAGGAAGAATGAAGTATGCAGACAAGTGGAAGGTGAACAAGATGAAGAGGAGCTTTATTGAGTGTTACCACAGCTCAGAGGAGACCCGCAGGGGGTAGCTCCTCTCTGCTGGCAAGTCATCCTTCTGTCTCTGCAGCTCTCAGCAGACAGGGTAGCTCCTCTCTGCAGCTGGTCATCCTCTGCCTGATCTTTCCAGGTTTTTGTGGACCTTAGAGGGGAGGAAGTGTGTGCTGATTGGTCCATGGGCGGCCATGAGTGGGCTGGAAAAGGCACCATAAGTCCCCACTCTGATCCATGGGACCAGCAGCCCAGCCTTCAGCCTTCAGGCCCTCCCTGGCCTGAAGGTGGGGCCTTACTGGGGACCCGCCCCCTTCTGCCCAGGAATCTGTCTGCCTTCTATTGCCGTTCACAGTTCACAGTGCCCCAGCTGGGCCCTGACTTTGCTCCAAGATCAGAGCAGACACCAACAGCAGGGAGAAGCCAGGCAGCAGGAGCAGGTGCTTCTGTTTCTGAGCCTGCAAGGGCAGGAGGGCCTTCCCAGGCCCCCAAGAGTGCAGGGATGCCTGAGACTGCGGCTGCTGGTTTGGGCAGCTGCAGCTGTACCATGGAGGGCATGGGGCTACTACAGCTGCACTGGGGAGTGCAGGAATCCTGCCTGCTCTGGCACCCCCTCCCCCCGACCAACAGCATATGGAGGTTTGGATCCGTAGCCACAACTTGGGTAGCTGCAGCTCCACCCAGGAGGTTGGGGCTCCTGCCTGCTCCATGGAGTGGGAGGCCATGGTCTACAGTGAGGACACCTGGGGAGCTCCCACTCCAACTCAGAAGGGACAGGGCTACCACTTGTCACTGACTCCTGCCAGCTCCACACAGTGTGCAGCCCTGGCAGGGCCTCCCTGCTGCAGCCAGCGTGATGGCAGCGGCAGGCCATCTGGAGCAGTAGCTGCCATCAGCAGGAAAGGGAGACAGGGGCCAGAACATGCAGAACCTTTAGGCCACAGAAGGAGTTTGAATTTTATTCCAAGGAAAAGTGAAATGATGAGACAAGCCTTCTATTTTAAAAAGGTTACTGTGATTGCTATGAGGTGAACAGGCTGCCGATGGGCAAGAACAGAAGTAGAGAGATTCGTGAGGAATCATTGATTTATTGCTCCTCAGCTCCAAGCTTATCCTTCTTGCTTGCTCTGTGGAATTGGATCTGGGCCCTTTAAATATTTTTTTCCTTGTCCCTGCTCGCTGAAGCTCTGTCAGGAGAGGGCACTGGAGAGACATTGCCAGAGGGAATGGGTTTTTCCTCCTTGTTCTAGCGTGCTGCCTCAGCAGGCTCTTGGTGGCCCTTGCAGATGGCTTCTCCATATCTCACCTCTGTAGCACACATAGATTCCCAGTACCTGGCTTCTGCAGGGCATATGACTTCTCCGTGATCCAGTACCTGCAGCGAACATGGCTTTTCTAGCGTCTGATTCCTGAAGCATGTGTGGCTTCCCCAGTGCCCAGCTCCCACAGCATGACCAGCTTCTCTTGCAGTACTTGCAGCTTTTTTATAACTCAGATCCTGCAGTGGACAGTGATCAGCAGTGCCCAGCAGCCAGCACCTTCCTCTGGCACCCAATTTGGGCACTTTTGGTGAGACACCTCCCAGTGAACAGCTTTCCTCAGCATCCTAGAAGGCAGTTTCTGACCAGTTCCAGAGAATGGATGTCCAGCAAGTTTACCAGCCACTCAATGAGCCATGGCCACGTTCTCTCTAACAAGATGTGCGTCTCAGCCTTGGGGGATACAAGAGAGCTTTTATTTATTTCTCCCATTTAAAAAACATTTTTCATTATGGGATGTTTCAAACATGTATATAAGTAGAATAATATAATAAACTCTTTATACCCATCACTCAGCTTCAACGTTTATTGTCATGTGCCCAACTTACTTTTATCTATAAACCTCCCCAATCCCCTATCCTCCCATTGTTTTAAAGCAAATACAAAATACATCATTTTATCCTTAAATAATTCAGTATATATCTTTAAATTATTAGGGCTCTTTTTTTCCCTTAAGCTACAGTACTTTTATCCCATCTAAAAATGGTTTCTTACTTATAATCAAATATTTACTTAGTATTCAAGTTTCCATGATTGTCTCATAAATGTCATTCAGTAAGTGGATCCAAAATGTCATTTAATAATACAGATCCAAAAGATCTACGTATTGTATTTGTTTTACTCATTTGTTTTAATCTCCAGGTTTCATCAGCCTGTTTTAATCTCCAGGTTTCCTCTCTCCGTCTCCCATTTTTCTTGCTATTTATTTGTTGATGAAACCTGGTTGTTTGTCCTTTAGAATATTCCACAGTCCAGATATTGCTAGTTGCATTCCCACAGTGTCATTTAACATAACCTTCCACCCCTGAATTTTCTGTAAACTAATAGCTATATAGAGAGGCTTGACCAGATATAGATTTGAATGTTGTAGTGCAAAACACTTCATAGATACTCATACCGCAGGTGTTTGTATTATATCCAACTCGGGGGAGGGTTGGGGCAGGGGGTATGTTTTTTGTGATGTTGAAATTGCTTCCTGGGTTTGGGCATTGTCAGGCTCACACATCCACAATAAAGTTGCCTGAGAGCCTTTCACCTAATGATTCTATTAACAGCTGCCATTGTTGATCATTGTCTGCATTCTTATTTCATTGGAAGCTGCAAAATACTGATATAACAATGCTGTCATTCCTTCTACATTTGTTAGCTGGAATTCTTTATGAAGAAGATCTTCCCAGTATGTCTTTTCAGAATATGTTGGTTTCCTGACATCTTCCAAAGGTGATATATGAACACATGGGTTTGATTTGTTTAAATCTATTGTAGTTATTTGTAGTTATCTTTTCTTTGGTCAGAGGTAGCCCCTCTGTGTTGGTTTCTGTGTCCTTTTGAGAGGAGCCCAGTTGGATTTTGTTTTGCTTTGTTTTCTTTTAAAGTATTATTTGCATACAATAACCTCATTGTCTTTGATAGATGCATTGCTTTTGTCAGCTTTATTGAAATATAATTGACAAATAAAAATTGTATATATTTATGGGGTACAATGTGATAATTTGATATACATATACATTATGAAATTATTACTATAATCAAACTAATTAACATATACATCACTGCATACACTTGTCTTCTGTGTGTGTGTGTGTGTGTGTTGTGAGAACATTTAAAATCTACTCTTTTGGCAATTTTCAAGTATACAATACATTGTTATTAACTGTGATCACCACGTTGTACAATAAATCTGAACTTATTCCTCCTGTCTAACTTTTATACCCTTTGACCAACATCTCCCCTTTCCCCCCACCCTCCACCAGCCTCTGGTAACCACCATTCTACTCTCTGCTTCTGTGAGTTAAACTTTTTTAGATTCTATACGTATGTGAGATCATGTGGTATTTGTCTTTCTGTGCCTGACTTATTTTGTTTAGTATAATGTCCTCCAGGTCATCTGTGGTTGTGGCAAATGAGAGGATTTCCTTCTTTTTAAAGGCTGAAGTGTATTCCATTTTGTGTGTGTGTGCATGTGTGTGTTTATGTATATATCTCATATTTTCTTTATACATTCATCCATTGATGGACACTTAGGTTGATTCACATTCTATTGTGAATAATGCTGCAGTAAACATGTGAGTGCAGATCTCTCTCCAATATACTGAGTTCCTTTCTTTTGGATATATACCAAGCAGTGAGATTGCTGGATCATATGGTAGTTTTATTTTTAGTTTTTTTTTAAGGAACCTCCATACTGTTTCCCATAGTGGCTATACTAATTTATATTCATGACAGTGTTTTTCACTGGGTACTCTATGACACTCTTAGAGGTTCCTTATATCTGTGATTCCTATGTTCTTTAGAGTTATTTTTACTCGTTCCTAGCCAATCCCTTATTAATCCAGCCACTTGTTATAATTAATAATTATTTTACAAAATAGCTTTATTAGAGTAAAATTTACATACCACAAAACTAGTTTTCAGTGTACAGTTCAATGATTTTAAAACAAATTTACAAAGTTATGAAACCATCTCCATAGTCTAAGAAACATTGTGCCCATGAGAAGTCACTCATCCCCATCCCTAGCCCTGGAGAGCCACTAATCTACTTTCTCTATAGATTAGCCTTTTCTGGACATTTCTAGAATATGTGCTCCTCTGTGTCTGGCTTCTTTCACTGTAGTAAAATACATATAATCTAAAAATTGACCATCTTAACCATTTTAAGTATATAATTCAGTAGTGTTAAGTATGGTCAAATTGTTGTGTTAGAGCTCTCTTGATCTTTTTGTCTTACAAAACTGCTAGTTAATAATTCTTTATATTAAACTTTCCTGTTTAAATGACTGTATAGTTTCACCGTCCTGATTGGATTTAGACCGTACAGAAGTATACAGTGTCCCAGGAAAGAGATAGTGGAGCTTGGACTAGGAAGAGCAGTGGAATTGGAGAGAAGGAAGCAGATGCAGGATTTTTGGACACTGATGAATTGGATAGAAGGGTAAAGGAAAGAGAGGAATTGATGATGATTCCTAGTATTCTGGCTTGGGCACTGGGTGAGGGTAGTACCTTCACTGATGGGGAAGAGCACTTATTTGGCAATAGAATGCTTGAATGAAAGGAGGCATCCTTGTCAAATTTGCCTTTGCTTCTGGCAAATTAGTGTTGTATACCTTGGCATCTTCTATATCACTGGCTCTCAACACTGGCTGTACATTAGAGTCATCAGGGAGCTTTTAACATCTATGGATGTCCTGAATCCATCCCACACCAATTCAATAAAAATATCAGAGGATGGAGTCTAGGTACTGATAATTTCAAAGAGCTTTCCAGATGATTGTAATGTGCATCCAGTTTTAAGATCCATGGAAGTAGATGTACAATTAGAGCCTATAATCAAACTGAAAGTATTTAAGGTGGGGGCCTATTGGATGACCTGCATAATTAGCAAAGGCAAGCTAGTTAAGACAACATTAGAAGCTATCAAATTAGATGGTAAAGATGGTCAGAAATGAATAATTTATTAGGTGGCAGAGTCCTTACTATGCCTTGGGTGCAATCTCTGTGCTTGGGTTCATGTCAGGTGCTTTATACTTGTCATCTACTGTATCACACAGGGTTCTCCAGAGAAACAAAACCAACAAGATGTGTGTGTGTGTGTGTGTGTGTGTGTGTGTGTGTGTGTGTGTGTGTGTGTAGGGAGAGACTTTAGGAAATTGGCTAAAGTGATTGTGAGGACTGGCAAATCCATAGCAAAGGCCGGCAGGATGGAAACCCAGGCAGAGTTTCTATGTTGAAGGCTAGAAAGTAGAATTCCATCTTATTTGGGATACTTTAGTCTTTGCTCTTAAGGCCTTCAAATGAGTGGATGGGACTCACTCACAATATGGAGGATAATCTACTTTATTCAAAGTCTATTCACTGTAAATGTTAATCACGTGTGAAAAAAATAAACCTCACACCAACATTTAGACAGGTGTTCGATCAAAAACAGGGCACCATAGCCTAGCCAGGTTGACACATAAAATCCACCATCACATCTACTTGATTTTCACCATCTTGTGTGGAAGATATCATTGTGCCTACAAAGCAGAGAAAACTAAGGCTCAGCGAAGCCAATTAATTCATCCCTAATCACCCAGCTAGTGGATGTATGACCGGGCTAGAATGAAAACCCAGGTCTCTGGGATGCCACAGCCTCTCTTGAGACCAGAGAAACCAAAAATCTATTTCACCCATTCTCCTGAGCCTTAGGCTGTCTTGAGCTTTGAGTGGGGACTTTAGCAGTACTCTTCTTGCCTCAGTCAGAGGGACACTAGGCTATATTTTCTCTTTCTCTTTTTTGTATGCTCCTTCCTATGGATCTCTGAAGCCAGCCATTCTTTGCCCTTTGTGAGGGTACAGAGTCTTCACAAAAACTTGTCCAAAAGGTAGCCTTCCTTCCTGAACCAGAAGCTAATCTCATCTGCCTCCCCCATTTCCCACTAAGAAGTCAGGATTTTGCTAATACCTTGAGAAAAAAAAATGTGTTTGTGTGTCTGGGTTCTGCTCTGAGAAGCAGAGAGGCAGGCATCATCCCCAGATCTCATGTTTTTTCTCTGTCACGCTGGTATCTTTTTGGCAGGACTTGACATGTCTCTGCTCTCCTTTCCAAAGGGCTTTTACCTCTCCTCCTTCAGGGAAGCCTGAAATCTGAAGTTCTCTATTTAGAATGACTCTAGATGTATCCTTCAAGTACCAACTTGCTTGTGCAGTGATAAATGTTATAAGAGATTATTGCAAAAGGAAAACAAATTTCCATTTGCCATCTAATGGGACACTTTTCTATAATCCTTGCCTCTGGCATAATGGTTTCTGTAACAGCTGTTTGTTCAGGTATGTGGTGTGAGTGATCATTTCCTCAGCAGGAGAACTGACTCCCTATAGCAGCCTGTACGCCATTCAGGGTCGCTGAGAGATGTTGGGAAAAGCTGAAGCCTGAGCAAGAAAGAGGATGGTGGCACGCGCTCTTTGAGCTGAGCTGTAAATCTGGCCACTTTTCAGTCAGACAGTCTGAAAATTTCCTAATTCCTGCTCTAGCTGTCCCTAGGGTTTAACTCTCCCAAACCAGCTCACCAGGACACACGGGGGCTATAGGCATGGAGGTTTTCCAGCTGTATCAGAAATTTCATTCAGTTTTAACGAACATTCCCTGAACACATACTCAGCACCTGGAACAGTTCTATGCACCATGAACGCAGGGAGACTCAGACATGACTGCTACCCCTAAGGAGCTTATAGAGAGGAGGCATGAATGCAGGAAGGGGCAAAGGAGAGTAAGGGAAAGCTGCCTGCATGGTATGTTGCTTGAAGTGAATATTGAAGCAGGGCACAGTGAAGAGTCTAGAAAAGGACGTTCCAAGAAGAGGGATCAGCTCAATGGTGTGCCGGTAAATATTCGACAATCAGCTTTCTGGAAAAAAAAGAAGAAATCTTTGATGTGTAGTGTTTTCCAATTTCCGTGCTGTAAGTAATCCCACCATGGCCCATTTTAAGCTACTAACTTGGCATTAGCTGAATGCACAGTTGGGAAGAGATACATACATTAAGCTGTCAGGACCTGTTATGAGTTGGCTCCAGCACACACCACAGGATCAGCCCCCACAAGGGCTGAAAGTAGCCTCTCTGGGCTGCATGGTGGTCCTAGAGGCTAAAGAAGTGGGACTTGGGCCGATGGGTGATAGTGCTGGAACAGTCAGCAGAACGCAGTCTGGAAAGGTTGGCAGGTTATGTAGGAAAATATGCTACAGGCAGTGAAAGACCACTGAAGGATTTTAAACAAGAGAGGGAAACAATCAAAACAATATTTTAGAAACATCTACTTGGTGTTCACAATCAAAATTTTTGGTTGCCTGTCTTATCAATAAAATATTTTTGAAAATACATGCTTACAGCATATAAACATGCACAACTGAGCCAGATACACTGTGTACAAAATACAGCTGAATATAAAGGGAAATGACCTAAACAAAGGTGAATGAATGTTTACATCTTTTTAGCCTGCATCCTAGTGGGTCACCATAAGCACCTCATAACACTTGTGTGGCTGCTGGGGTTGAGGCTGGAGGCTGGGTGACCTGTTGGTTTGTAATTCAGGTGTGAGATAATACTGGCCTAGACTTAGGAAGGAGAGAAGTAAGATTTGAGCCTCTTCATGTAACAAAATCCACAGGACCCAGTGACGGAAGGGTTGGAGGATGTGGAAGAGGGAGGCATGACTCACTGAGATGGAGAACACCGAGGAGCAACCAGAATCTTTTTCAGGTAGAGGAGAGGGGCGGTGACTCATGACAGTGACCATAAACTAGACAGTAAGTAGCCGCCGTGTGTACAGCATCGTCCAAGGCAGCTGTAACCAGCAAAAGGCTTCAGACTTGCCTTAATTTTCCTCAGTAGTTATTTACTGGAACAACAATATTATAACACCATTAGACAACATTACAGGATGTTTACAAACAAAAAATCACCCATAATCCCTGCATCCTAGTCCATAAGAGCTCATTTTCTATCCCACATTGCCTCCAAGGCCTTGGCCACAGGTGTGCATTTATTTTTAGATTGCTGTGATTACAGTATATTTACAGTCTTACAATTGGCCTTTTCACTTACCATCGAATTTATAAGCCTTTTCTATGTCACAACATTGTCTTCATAATAATCATTTTTAATGGCTGCATAATATTCCTTGGAGATAATGTGCAACAATTTTCTTAACCCTGTTCATATTGCCTAACATCTAGATCGTGTCCAATTTTTTGCTATTACAGATAATGTGACAACCAATTACTTTGTGTCTGGGTTCTAATTTTGGCTGACCCTAACTTACTCTGAAGTAAAGGACTGCCCTAGTTCTCTCCTCTTAAAAGGAAGCATTATGCAAGCATGGTTTCCTACTGAGGGGCCAGAACAACCTACTAGATCCCCATGCAGCTTGGACTTCCATTTTCTAAGGTAAAAAATAACATGTCCCTTTACCTTTAGAGGTAAGTAAAAGGTACCCAAGGGAGGAAGTGGGACCAGGTGAGGAAGGGAAAGGACTGAGACCAAGGATGGAAAGTAGAGCAGCAGTGTGGGTGTGTGTATGAGTGAGTGTGCATGCACACATACACATGTGTGATGATGGGGTTGAAGAGCAAGAAGCAGGCCAGAGTGAGGTTGTGTCCTAGCAGGGCACATGACATTAGGCAAGGCTACTGGGCAGGAGAGGGGTGTATCTGATATTTGGACATTGTGACATGTCTAAAGAAAAGGAGACACCCTTAAGATGTCAGCTGTTTGAATACTATGTACGTTTGCACAGCAACCTCCCATCTTTCCAGAAGTATGCACTGCGCATGCTATTTGATACCTCTGCCTAGTCTTAGCGTTCTGCAGACATCTCTCATTGCAGACTCTGCCTCAGAAGCTGCAGTCAAAGGCCTCATATGCCCTAGATAGGTTCCTCAACTCTGGTTTCTGGGCAGGGTCTGGGCAGGGTCTGGGCAGTTCAAGTGGCAGAGCCAGTGGACAGAGCAGCCTCTGCTTCTCTTTCACCCTGCTGGAAAGATCTGACCTGTCCGTTTTTGTTCAGTCTCATAGTCCTAAAAGCTCTGCTAATAGGAAGGGATATTAGTTAGCTATTGTGGCTTTGGCCACAGGGAGATCGCCCAGACCTGATATGTCTCAGTCACTTCAGGCGGTGCAATTTCATCTTTCACATTAGGAACAGTTGAAATTTTTAATAAATTCCAGGCATTAGGATTAATCTGTTGCTTCTGCTCCCTTTGGTCCGAATGAATCCCAGGTTATTAGGCAGATAAGATCTTTTCTCTTGGGGCCTGAGCCATCATTTTGAGAAATTACTTTGCATAAAAAAAGGGAGAGAAGGTGGCACTGCAGTCAGTCGTGGTTCCGGGAATGACAGGTCTGGGGCAGGAGCAGCCTCCCTCTACCTTATCCCCAGTGAGTGGGAAATATGATGGCTGGTCCTTGACACAGCCTCTGTTTCTACAGAGTCAAGGTGGCCATGTGATTAGAGAAGAGGGAGGGGTTGACTATATGCATACCTGGATTTCCATCCCAGCTCTGATATGATAATGATAATAATAATAGTAGTAATAAGAATAAGAATAATTTTATTATCTATTATATGACAATGTATTCAGTAACGGTGATAAAGCAGTCAACAAAACACACAAAAATCCCTGTTCTCATGAAGATAGATGACAAAGAAATAAAAACATGTGGAATATCAGATGTACTTGCAATAGAGAAAAAAATAAAGCATGAGGTAGGGTTGGAGGGGCATTACAATTTTAGACAGGATGGTTATAGAAGGCCCCACTGAGCAAAGCTCTGAAGGAAGTGAGAGAGACAGCCATGTGGCAAGCTGGGCGAAGAGCCTTGCAAGCCAAGGGGGCAATATGGGGCTCACTGTGACTGTAGAAGTTAAACAGATACATCTCGGCTCATAGGCATCCTCGCATCTCCACTCATTAAGTGCAGACAAACATGAGGAGAAAGAGCCTGGATGACCAGGTTTTGTCAGTAGACTGCTTAGAGCTGCAAAAGGTCAGTGCCTTGCAAATCACCAGCTGAGGAATTCACCAATAGTCACCCAATGTAAGTTATGTTTTATAGCAGGAGTTTTTTAACATGCTTGCTCTGTGACCTTGAGCCAACCATCTGCCCTCTTTGGGCCTCATTTTGTTTTCATCTAGGAAATGAGTATATAATTGTTTCTATCAAGAGAGAAACCCGCTCAGCTGGGGTGGTCTCTGTGAGACCTCTGTGAAACAATGACAATGGAAGCATTTTGTGCACAGCTCTCTGAAAATAGCAGGGATTGTTCCTATTAGCCTGAAAGAAGTTCCAGCTTTGGGCAAGTCAAGTGGGTCTCTTTCCAGTAGCTCAGCAACCAGAAGATCACACGGAAGCCTCAGCCCATTAGCAAAAGTCGGTGACACTGCTCAGGGCTGGAGAGGGGAGCAGGAACTTCGTGTGCCCACCTTGGTTTCATGCATGCAGAGGGCTGAGATGTAGGCTTTGGAAGTACACTTTGGGAGTGCCAATTAGATGTCCTGCATTAGTTTTCTACTGTAGTGAAACAAATTTAGCGGCTGTAAATGACACCCATTTATTCTCTCATAGTTCCCATGTGTCAGTAATCTGGGTGTGGCTTAACTGAGTCCTCTTCTTGAGGTCTCGCAAATCAAGATATGTGCTGAGCTGAGTTGTCATCTGAGTTTCTAGGGGAGAATCTACTGCCAAGTACATTCAGGTTGTTGGTGCAGTGTAGTTCCTTGCAGTTTTAGGACTGAGGTCACAGTTTCCTGGCTGGGTGTCAGTTGAGGGCTGCTCTCAGCTTCTAGAAGTCACTCTTTGGTTCTTGCACATGAGCCCCTTCATCTCCAAAGCCAGCAAGAGTGCATCAAATCCTCCTCTTGCTATGAATCTCTTTGACATTCTCTTCCGCTACCAGCCAGAGAAAACACCAGCTCAGATAATCTCCGTATCTTAAAGTCAACTGACTTGAAAATTTACATCTGAAAAAATGTCTTTATGCCAGTATATAGATCAATGTATGATTGAATAGCCAGGGAACAGGTATCTTGGGGGACTATCTTTAGAATTTTTCCCACCACATGTCCCCACTGTTATTAGAATCATGTCAACAATTTCTCTTGCGGGCTACTTCAAGTCCCATTAAATGAAACAAAGATCACTTCTCATGATACTAAAAGTCACTGGCTTCCTGATAAGCAAAGAAGGGAAATAATACATCCCTCCTTTTATTGTTGTTGTATTTTTTTTTCTCTGGTGGCCTGGCCAAGGCTAAGCCCTGGGCACAGATACTTGGTATGTCCAGAAGGAGTTGCAACTCAAACTGTTAATCATCATCAGCAGGGAAGAGTCCATTTCTCAGGCAGGAAACTGAAAGTCCAAGACAGCCCCCAGGAAGGTGGTGGGAGACATTCTTTCAAGACAGGACAAACCAAACGCCAACTGGGCCAAGATTTTCCTGGCAAAATACCAGTAAGAGATTTTATGTGAAAATGCATCTACAAGAGTTCTTCCAAATGGAAGACTGGATCACCCAGGGTACAAAAAGTACTAGACTAGGCAGGCAGGAACCATCTGGCAACTGTTATTCTCTCCCTTCCTCTTCTCTTTCTTTATATCTTTTTCATTTGTATCTGAGCTGAGTTAACTGCTGTTCTTAAGAGACAAGAGTGGACAATATCCTTTTTATCTACAGTACCATTAAAGATCCACTAGTCCAACTCTTTTAAGAGATGAGGAAGACTTTCCTGCTCTCCGTTTCTTCACTTGTCTAAAGAATGGCAGACTCAGAAGCAAAACTGCAAGCCTGGTTCCTCGTTCTTTAGGGATGGTGTTATGAGAAAGCTGATGCTAAAACAAAAGGCTGAAAGCCAGAGAGTAAGCAGATGTCTTGATTTTTTTTTTATGCTAAACTGGGCTCTAAGAAAATGGAATAGGCCAATGACTATGTAAGATTGTAGTGGAGGTTGAAAGCTCACTTTCCTGCATAAGATCTTGTTCCAGAAAGTCTTACAGGTCAATAGTCATATCAAATTTTTCATGAAAAGATAATCTTTTTCCTCTATAAGTTATTCCAGCAATCAGAAAAAGTGGGAATGTGTCCAGTTGAGTAACAGAGCTACTGTAATATTGATACCAAAAGTGGAGAGGAATAACATAAGAAAAGATTTACAGGTCACCTATAATAAACAAAATATTAACTACATCTAAAGAAAACATTAACTAAATCTAAAGATGCATTAAAACAAAACAGCAACAAAAAAATTACGTCACGACCAAGTAGAGTTTATCCCCAGGATGCAAGAATAGTTAAGCATCAGGAAATCTGTCAATGGCATCTATTATATAAATGCACTCAGAGAAAAAAATGAAAAATATTTGTATAGATGCATAAAGCACATTTAATAAAGTTTAACACTATTCGTGATAAAAATGTAAAATTCTTTATAAAGGGATCTCCTTCACCTGTATCAATAATACCCATTAAAAACAGCAGATATCATACCTAGTAGAGGAGAAGCTTTAGAAGCGTTCCCTTTAACATAGGAAACAAGATGAGGATGCTGCCATCACATCCCAAATTAGTATGGTAAGTCCTAGAAAGAAATAAGAGGTATATAGATTGTTAAGGAAGAAACAAAATGGGCATATTTGAAAATTATGTTATTGTTTACATGGAAAGCCAAGAGAATTAGACAACCTGTTAGAACTAATGAGAATTGAGCACATTTGCTAGATAGAAGGTCAATATTCTAATATCAATAGTATGTTCTACACCAGCAATAACCAATTATTAGTAGAAAATACAAAGGCACCAATCTGGGACTCGATAAATGAAGTATGAAAGAGAAAAATGATGGAGACATGTAGCAGTGAAAGGAGAGAACAATGAACACGGGTAAAGCTGACAATGATCACATGTAGTGACAAGAATAGGGTGTAATCAAATCATGCTACTGGCTACCATTTTTTGTGTACCGTGTTCTGCATGCTGTTCTAAGTGCTACCCAGGTAATCCTCATCACAACCCTATCAGGTGGGTATTAAGATGATTCCTTCTTTATAGGTAAGAAAATGAAGGTTCTGAGAGGTTAAACAGCTTGCTTGAAGTAACCCATCTGGTGAATTGTGAAGGGAGGATCCAAATCCAGACAGCTCGACTTCAAAGGCTGTGCTTTTAACCATTGTGCTAGGATCCAGTACTGCTTTCGTGGCAGGGGTATGAGGTGGCTGGACTAAATACCGCACCTTACTATTTGTAAAACACCTTCTCATTTAAGACCTTATGGGGTCCTCATGAACCATTTACAGATGAGAAAAAGGGAGCTCGCAGATAAACAACTTGTCCAAGGAAATAAAAGAGCCAGGCCAAGCACGCTGATCCTTTGACTTCTGCCTCAGCGCTTTGCCCACTACACCAAAGGCGGGGGCAGGGGGGCATGGCAAGGCTGGCAACCATGGTTGCCACCTATCTACTGTGAAGCACCTACTTTTTGTTTTGTTTACTTTTTTTATTAGCTTGTTAGATTTCCAAAGAGCATGGACAAATACTCTGGTAAAACACAATAAAACAGAATTACTGGAATAATGAGAATAAAGACATAATTATTTTTAAATTATTTTTTGTTATTAAATTTAATAGGCATTATCAACTTGCTATAAAAGTTTAGAACCACTCTGCACTTTTGTTCTTACTTCCTTGCAGACTGGCACAGATCCATGGACCTCCTAAGTAGCACTGTTCTAGGTTTGTACCTTCTTTCAGCTTTCTATCCCTGTTGCTCTCCTCACATGCTCTCAGAAATACAGCAGGGAAGCCTCCCTCCTCCCAGACTTACCTGAGAGATTATCACCCACTAAGGAGATGGTTACTGTCAGGATGCAGGGTATGGCTAGAAAAGAGGGTGCAGATCCCCAAGGCTCAGTAGGCTTCTTGGTCCCTGTCCTAGAGTACCCTTGTGCTGGGGGTTGATGTGTGGAGCGCAGGGGTTGGGAGAGTGGAAATCACCTGGAGCAGTTAGAAAAAGTAACAGAAGGAAGAAAGTCAGTTGCTGGTTGATTATAGTGAGAGGGAACAGAGTTGTCCAACAGAGATGCCTTTCCAGAATTCTGACCTTGAAGGATTTATCTGTGGATAACTACCTGGCATCTACCTGACTGGTTCTTGGGAAAAAGAATCAGGAGTGAGCTCTTTGCCTAGTGGTATCTCTTCCAGTGGAATTTTTTTTTTTTTTTTTTTCAGATGAACCTATGACTCTGTTGTGGGCTCTCCTTCACCAAGATCAGAGCATTGGGTATGGATTCAGGGCAGGGCCCACATCACAGGTGTGTGATTAGTGTAGTTCCACAAAGCCCTGTGCTCAGAAGAGTCCCATGCTGGGTTTAATGCTCTACTATTGCTATCTTGAGATTCTTAATAATTTGAAGAAGGGGCCCTGCGTTTTCATTTTGTACTGGGTTCCGCAAATTATGTAGCCATTCCTGATTTGGAGTTTGTGCCCAACAAGGCAACCCACAGAGTGCCACCATGGGAGACATTGGGTAAGTGACAATCAGGCTGGATTTCCTCCTACACAACAGAACAAAAATGCTGAATCCCCCATGGAGCAGAAGAGAAATTGGCAGTCACTGTGAATCACATATTTTTCCTTGTAAGTCAGACAACATCATCTGTGTTGGTTGGGGGATAAAACTGTATTGGGAATACCTAATGAGATGTTAAGATCTGCTTGTTTCCAAGCTGAAGTGAATCAAATACTGTGGTCTTATTTCCTCTGATGAGATTTTAGTGACCTCTGGAGAAAGATTAATTAACAAAGAGAGTTGCTTTGCGTGGATTATCTCTTTTAATCCTTATGCCTCTTCAGGGTAAACATCATTAGTCCCATTTTGCAGACAAAGAAACTGAGGCATGGAACGGTTTAGTGGTTCAAAGCCAATTCTTTCACACACTATACCACTTGCCTCTATGATGTCCTGGGCTCTATGTAGAGGTGGCGGTGGGAGAGAGGAAGGAGTGCCTCCAAATATCAGCACCAGCCTCTTAGCAGCGAACTCAGGCGAGAGAGTCACCACAGGGACTGTAGTCAGTCAGGAATCCACGCCTCTGGGACTGAGAAAAGTTGTGGGATGCTGGGAATTTGGGGAGGGGGACAACCTCCATTCATGTCATACATACGCATGTTCTCTTAGCACGGCCAGCCACCTGCCTGCTGCTGAGCAGACCTGTTGTGTGCCCTCTCCTCTGCCCTTTCCCTCTGAATCTACTTGGTCTGTCACCGTCTCTCTTCTTAGCCTAGTGGAATCAAACATTTCTCTCACTTCCTCCACAAGAGCTACACATTTGATCCTGTGCTTCTGGTTCCCTCTGAGTTCCTCTGAGTTAGCTGCTGCTAGGCAGCCCTGGGGCAAAGGTGCTTGGAGAAGGAATAGGTGGAAGGCAGTATGGGAGGGGCTACAGGGCAAGAAGGAGGCAACTAATACTACAGAGCTCTACCCTGCTCCTCCCTAGAAATGGAGATGTGCAAATGTCCTGTTTCCATGTGGCCTGGAAATTTGTCACCTTTGATCCAACCACCCAGAGCAATGTTTAGAACTAATGATAACAATAATGTCTAGGATCTAAGAATGATTATGTGTAATTGTTGGTGAGTGTATGGGGAGTAAATCAAGTAAATTCTCAGACTGATCCACCATGCTTTTTGGTAATTTGTCTGAGATTCTCCTCCCTGCAATTGCATATTTGCCAAAGCATTTGCTTTTTATTGGCCTCTGATGTTGATACTCCTGTGTCCCACCCAGACTCTCCTTATCAGTTGTCCCTTCTCTCCAGAATTTTCTCTCTCTTCCTTTCTCCTGCTCTTTCTCCTAACCCTGTAACCATTTTTATCTCCCTTATCTTGTAAAGAAAACTCCACTTTTTGTGAAGGTTGCCTCTCTCCACGAGATTGAAATTTTGCAAGAGTAGGTCTATATGTGATGCCTCCTATTCCCTCTTGCAACTTTTTAAGGCCTTAGAATCTGCTCTCATCCCCACTTCCCCCAGGGTTGCTCATGACTCCCTCATTGTCAACATGCCAAGCTTCATTCTGCAGAATTTGTTCAGCCTCATGTTCTAGTTTTTCCTAGAGCCGCTCTTATTCCTTAGCTCCCATTGTGCAGCAAGCTGCTTGTTCACATATCCTTCTTGGACAGCTTCTTGCTTTCTCTTAGAGACCACACCTATATCCCAGCTTCAGCCATTATCTCTGCAGTAAAATCAAGAATCTGTCTCAATCCAATTCTCCTTCCTAAGCTCCAGAGTCAGATATAGAGATACTCGAGAATCTCCACTTGCATATCCCACAACCACCTATAATCCTATCTGGGTCAAATGGAACTTCTCATGTTCACACTTCTCTCAAATACTTCAAAGTGTTCTTCATTTCAGGAACAAACACCATCATTAGTCTATATACTGAAGCCAGACATTTGGAATTCATTTTTGACTCTTAATCAGTTCCAAAGTTGTCTCCCCTTCTCACTTTCCACACTCTTCCTGCATGATCTAATCTATTCCTTTGGCCTTAACCATCCCAAATCAATTTTCAGCCCAGACCTTATTTCAAGCCTCCAGATACATGTAACCAATGCCTAGTAGACATCTTCAGTTGGACAGCCTACAAGCTTCTTGAATTCATCATATCTAACCCTTATCTCATGTTCTTTTCTACACAAGTCCCCTGCCCTGTCCTACTCTATTATCCCCTAACTTTGTAAATGACATTATTAACCAGCCAGATTTCCTCACAGACACTTGGAAGATTCCTCTTCCACCAACATCTAACCCACTACCAACAGGTGTCAATTCTACCATTAGGATATATCTTATAGGCTCCCAGAAGTTCACTTATGTACCCAATGTTAATAATTTCTGGTCAAGAGGCTAATCAATGTGACACAAATATCTATCTCTAATAATTTAGGCTTCCTTCTTGTGCTCTAGGCCTATTGTCCAATTGCATGCTGAACACTTTCATTTGACTGTTCCTCAGGCTCCTTAACATATCTACCACCAAACCCATCACCCTTTTCCCCTTGTTCTTTCCTGCTTCTCTCTCTCTCTCTCTCTCTCTCTTTCTCTCTCATAATGGCACCACTATACTCTTGGTATCCCATTCTAAAATCCTCTTGAGTATCTCTGACTAGCTCACTCTCATCTTTCCCATTAAGTCTGTTTTGTTGATTCAGCCTCCCTGCAGCACTCACATTCAGGTTTGCCTCGGCTTTTCTCTCCCTACTCTCCAACTTTGGTCCATCAGTACCTCTGGCTTCTTCAATGATCTGATTGCCCCAAGGCTCTATGATCTCTCCGATCTAACTTCCAAGTTCATCTCTTGAGCCCAGCTGTCATCATAACACAAATCTGCTCAAAAACCATCCATGTCTCCTCCTCTTACCCACACAACAAAATCCCAATGGACGTTCAAAACCTTGCTCAAGGGCTAACTCTTATTTCCACCAACTCCCTCAAACATATCCTCTGCTTTAGAAAATTAGGACTCTACTATTCTTCAAATATACCTTGTGTTTTCTACCCACGGATCATACTTGAAGCATTCTCCTTTTATCTACATTTGTCAAACAAAATCCTACTCCTCCTTCAAGACCTCAGACCAGGGTTGACTGTTTCATAAGTTTTCACTGAACAGAGCTCATCACTAGTTGATCTTTGCACTGTCTCCCAGCAACCCAATGCCTCCCATATTTTATAGCAATTGTTTGGTCCTGTGTCTCTTTCCACCTTTGGATTTTGAGCTCCAGAAAGGCAAGATCATGTCTTAGTTCTCTCTGTATTCCCAGGCCCTGATGCATAGTAAATGCTCAGGAAAATTCACTGAATGGATGCCTGCATGCAGCCTTTCTGTCAGAATTATGTATTTCCTCTTTTGGATTCTTGTATCTAATATAAGCATTTGTGAAAACGCTTATCTCCCCAAGTTGACCACAAGCCAGGTGAGGGTGTGGTCAATGTCATCTGTCTCTTGCTACCTCTGCACATATTGAACTCTCAAGCAGTGTGTATTGAATAAAAGGAGTGTGGTTCAAGTTGGCTAATTGTATGAAAGTTCATCATTTTTTTTGAACACTGAAGGTACTTTTGGAGAAAATCTATAAAATCAGCTAAAGCCCTACGTCACCATGGGGCTATGGGTGTTATAGAGTGAGGGAAGGAGGGAGGGAGGGAGGGAGAGATTCTGTCAGTGTGTGAACCAGTGAGTGAGCATATAAGAAGGATGAGAACAAATAAATGAAGGAGTGAATGAATGTGTGACAGAGTAAGTTAACTAATTTAATGACCAAGCAAATGTGTGATTGTGTGAATAAGCAAATGAATAAATGAACAGATTATTTCTCCTTGGTATTTGGGGGCCTTACTTAGGTTTTTGCATTGCTTGATCCCTTGGTAGGGGTCTCATGCATCATTTGGAAGGGTCTCTGCCTCCTCAGATTTTAAATTGCAGATTTTAAATTACATATATATTTTGAAAAATTGCCACAAAAGCAGCGCTACTTGAAAACTCGATTAATTACTAATGTTCTTTTTATCAAGTGCTAGTTGTTGCTTGTAATCTTTAAAGGTAGCGAAATTAAAAGAATTAAGAAACAATTATGTCCGGAAAAAAAAACCCCTATCCAAATCTAATCACCCTCTGATGGAGAGCTTCGTGCTGACATGGCTGGGCTGGAGAGTGGGGAGATGTGGAGGGGGAAAAGTGCCCACGCATCACTGAGGCTACTGCAGCTGGCCTAGGGGGAAATAAATCGTGACCTGGCAATGTGATGTGACAGAGGGCAGTTCTTTATGAGGGCTCAGGAAGTAGAGCTGTGCCCTGCTGGACTACCAGGTAAAATAGAGCTATTGCTTGCAGGAGTGAGGGTTCCTGTGCTTCCCCAAGGAGGTTCCAGGCTACTGAGAAGCTGGGGATCCCCCTCCCACACTCTCCTTTCCCTCATCATGTGGGGAAGGAAGAGGTTTGGGTTAGGGCAGTTGAGGAAGAGCAGAAGTCGTAGGGCAAGAGATCACCAGGAAAACAGCCACTTGCAAGAGTTACAGGCTAAAAGTGGGGCTCTGAACTTCGACCATTTCCCATGCTTCCATGCCAACACAAGGTCAGCACCCGAGAGTGATAGCTTCTGGGTAGACAAAGGCACCCAAGGCTTAATGTGGGGCTCCTAACTTGGGCCATTTCCCATCCTTTGAGCGCGCCACAGGCATCAGCTAACAAATGCACAGGCTGGCCACTGTGGCCCAGGTTTACTGTGGCTGGTCCCCACTGTGAGACAACTGCAAGGGCCTAAGAACCTTTCTTTTGGCCAGATATATCAAAGAGCTCAGGCTGAACATGAGACTCTGATGATTGCTCCTTAAAATGTGCAAATGGAGCATTTCTGAGTGCAAAGCCTATGGCTGGAAGAGAGGCTATTTCTTAGGGAGATACCTGTGAGCACTGCAGAAGCTAGTGTCCTACCAAGAGCACAGCCTGGGAAACAAGAGACCTTGTTCTCACATGTACCCTGCTGGGTAGTTTTTTGTGTTGCCTGGTATAAAGCAGTGTCCCATATGTTTCTTCATCAACTTCTGCAAAGAACCCCCTGAGCTGGGGAGTCTCTACCCCTTTTAGAGATGGAGAAGGAGGTTCGGTCCAGTACCCAGTCTTGCCCCAAAACCCATGGCTATAGAAAAGTGAAGGCAGGATTTAAAATCAGGCCTTCATTTTCCATACCTTGCTCTGCTTCTCCCATACCCCATGGTCTAGGGGAATCCCTAGCTTACTTTCCAGCTCCCACAGTTGCCACTCCTGTTTGTGGTGCTGTGAAAATGACAAGAATCATAATACTGATATAAAGCTTACTACACGTTAAGCCTCATTCTCAGAGTTTTATAGATAGCACAGCATTTGATTTTCACAAAATTCTAGGAAGTTGATATGCTGTTATTACCTTCAGTTTAAAGATGAGAAAACTGAGGCGCAGAGCTGTTGCTCACTTTCCCAGGGTCAGAGAGCTAAGAGGTACTGAAGCCAAGACTCAAACCTGGCTGCTAAGTCACTGCTCTTAGCACTGCATTCCAGGGACAATGGTCCTCTTAGAAGGCTGCCTTGGGTCTCTGCCCTGCAGGGAAAGGGAGCTCAGGGAACAGGCTCAAGCTCCTGACAGACGAGAAAGATCCTGGGTCAGGTAGGGCCTCCTTGCTATGGGATTTTCTACAACTTTTCACAGAACGCCTGTTCTGTGGTCCGTGTCACTGTTCGGGCTTCCGGTCTCTTTCCTGCATCATCCTCGCCAGCCCCCATACCATTGGGGCTCTATGGTTAAGGGAGCCCAGGCACACTCAGCAAGACGTGAGATGTACTAGTCTGGGTACGCGTACGGGCATGTGGACCTGCCGGGCTGCCTGCAAAAGGCTTGATTGCATAATGGCATTTAGAAAATGGCAGTTGTCTTTTCTTCAAAGGCCTTCAGGATGATGAATTGGGGCTTATTGAAATGGCCTTAAATCAAACCTATGCACAACAGCTTGCTCAGACTCATGCAGAGTGGATTTCTAAGGGGCTGATAGTAGCAGCTCCTTAGCACTGGCTGTCTTCTGGGCTTAGGGGCTGTACCGGGAACCAGAGTCACAGGGAGAGCTTGGAAACAAAACTACCTCACAAGACAGAGAATGTGAAATCCCTGTGTATTTTTGGGGACCCCAAGGCCCTGAGGGGAGGAGGTATTGACCCAAAGGTACCCAGTAAGTCAGTCAGGAAGCCGTCTTTGGAGCCCTGGGCTAGGGTTCTTCCTCCTGCTTAGGACTCTAGTAATAGCTATGTTCCCATGGGGCCACTCTGGGGTCTGCCTCTCCACCTGCAGGCGCTTACTGTCTGGCAGCAATCTTGAACTTGCATGACCCTGAAAGTAAATGTATCCTTAAATTTTACACCCTCAGTGCCTTGCTTGTCTCACCCTAGCCCAGTGCGTTGCTGGAGGCTACCCTGACCTCCTGTTCAGCAAGGAGAATTTTTCTGAGAGGCATTAGTGACCCTTCCAACCTTTGCAGTGCTTCAGTTTCCTCATCTGCTAAGCAGGAATAATGGAGTCCTTGCCTTCCCTCCATCAGTGAGTGATGGAAGGGGCCTGTGGTGGGAAAATGGGAGAAAAGTCTTTTACACTGTTGAGTGCTGTGCTGATGCAGTGGCTGTGGCTGTTGTTCTGCTATGTGGCTGAGTGGTGACAGGCTCCCGTCGAATTTCGATTAGGCCTCCAGGGGCTGGCAGCCATGACACTATAGGAATAACATAAAACAAAAACAAAATAAAACACAACAAAACACAAAAATATCAGAAACAATATAATACACATAGAACTCATTGGTGAGATTTGACAACAAAATTCTAATATTTTTAAGGGTGGGAAAACTGCAAGCAGGGAAGGATTATACATAGACAGGGACTGTGGAGACAGATGGAGGAAAACATGAAACTGACTGTGTGTGCCTCCTGTACACGTGCGTCTCCTGTACATAGGGACACACACATGGGGGGCAGAGATGACAAAGCAACTCCGACAAGATTCCTGCGTTTGAGGATCCCCTAGTCCTGGGAACAGATATCCGGTTATGACTGCATGAGTGCTCTGGTGAGGCTGGGACCTCAGATACAAGGAGTGGTGGGAGGAAGACAGGCTGAGGTTGCCTAGGGTCAGGTCCTGCAGTGCCTTGAATGCCAGTCTCAGGAGCTTTAACTTGATCCTGGGAACACTGAGGAAGAAGCCCCTGGGGGAGTAAAGCACAGGAGAGCTACGGCCAAGCTCCATGTTTTCAGAAGATCCCTTTTCCTGCAGCATGCTGAGAGGACAGGAGAGTGGCAAAAGTAGAAGTGAGGACACCAGAGAGGAGGCAGTTGCAGAAGTCCAGGTGAGAGATGATTATAACCTGGACTTAAAAAGTGCCACTAAAACAGATGGTGAGAAGGGATTAAAGCTAAGAGACTGGGGAGAGGTAGAATGTCCTACTCTTAGGGACTGATTGGATAGGTGTGGTAAAGGAGAGAGAGGTGTCAAAGGTGATTCTCAGGTTTGTTGCTTAGGGAGCATAGTGGACGGGGGCCACTGGGGGTCAAAAAGCCCTGGGAAGAAGATCGAGAGTTCAGTTTTGGACATTGAGGCATTTTCTGGTACATTTAAGAGAAAATAGCTAGTAGACAATTGGTTATATAGGTCTGAAGCTCAGAGCTGATGTTTTAACCAGAGATAGAGGTTGAAGTACAGTAGAGAAGGAGGGGCCAACTGAGGAGGCTGATAATAAATACACAGAGAGATATAAAAGAAACCAGACAAGCTTGTGGATTCCTCTTCCCAATGTTCCTAAAAGGTCAAGCAAGATGACAGAGAAGTGACCAACGGATTTAGTAATGTGGAGGTCACTGGTAATGTTCAAGTTCAGTGGAGTGAGTAGTGGAGCCAGTAGTCAGATTGGACTAGATGAGACTATATTGCAATAATCAGGGGTGGAGATAGTGGTGGCTTGGAACGCAGTGGTGGCAGTAGAGGTGGTGGGTAGTGGTTGAATGCTACATATTGAAGATATTGCTCACAGCATTTGTCAATTTGTAGGCTATTGGAAGTGATTGATCGAAAGAGAGGAATCAAGTTTGACTCATAATTTTGAGGGAAGCCAAAGCAAATGAGTAAATGGTGGTGCCCTTTGGGGAGAAACTGAGGGAGGAGCAAACTTAGTGATGGCAGAAGGTGGCTAATCAAGAATTGTGTTTGTTATATGTGAAGTCTGAGATATCTATCACACACGTGGAGATGACAAGTAGGTATTTTGATACATGAGTCCAATATTTAGGGGAGAGATCATGATGGAGAGATAAATCTGGAAGTTATCATTGCCCAAACAATATTGCAAATCAAGTGATCTCCTAGGGAGGGAGTATAGATGACATGGAGAAGGTCAAGGATGGAGCCCTAGGGCACTTTGACATTCGGACAGACATCAAGAAGAAGAAGAAGCTCCAGTAAAAGAGAAGAAGCTACAAATCGGTTGAAAACTGGGTGAGAGTAATTCTAGGTCTTGCCCAGAGAAGAGAATATTTTAAGAATAAAGGAGTGATTACCATGTCAAATGCTGCTGGAAGGTCTAGAGTGATGAGGACAGAAGTGATCATAAGCTTCAGGAAGATGTGGGCTTTTGCCGATTGAACCCATTTATGCCTAGTTAAGAACCATTTCAGTGAAATAGTGGATCAGAAGCTGACAAGAATAGGGAAACAACTTGAAATACAGAAGAGGAGCCAGAAAGGAACACAACTCTTTGTAGGTGTTTGGCTCACTTTGGGGTTAAGAAAATTGGTAGCTGGAGGAGACAGGATCAAGGTTTGGATCTTTTGAAGATGGTAGATAGAAGCCATGTTTGCATGTGGATGGAGATGATCTAGTAGAGAGGGAAAGTGGCATGATGCAGATAGAGGAGAAAACCACTATAGTGATGTCCTTGAGTAGGTAAAAAAGCATAGGATCAAGGGCACAATTGGAGCGGCTGCTCTAAGATCAGAGAAGGGACAGTTCATCCAGAGTGACGGGGGAAGGCAGAGTCTATGACAATGAATGTAGGTAGGTTGATGGATGTGCATGCAAAGGAAGAGGAGCAGGACTCAGGAAAAGATTCAGAGTTCAGAGGTGGGGCACACAGGAGTCTCTAGTAGATACCTGGAGGACAGGAAATAAGATAAAGGTCAAGGCTACAGACCAACTTGAAGGTCACTGGAGAAACTTCTGTTCACAGAAGGAAAGAGAATGATGCAAAGTTGCGTAGATCTTAAGTGGCAGCACTGGGAGGGGAACTTAGGTCTGTCTGATTCCAGGGCCTGTGCTCTTTCTTTTCCAACCTCTACCTCTGGATGGAGGTAGGTTTATGAATTGCAGTGCCCAGCAAGACATTCTTCCTGCATCATGTTTATAGCTGCTGGTCATTTGACCTTAGTGTAAAGCTGAAATGTGTGTGGTCAGAGGCAGGAGGCTGGCTAGGTGACCTCTGGCCTTTCCCCTGCCTTACCTCCCTAGCCTGAAAGATCAGAGCTTGATGCATATTTTGCCCTCATAAATTGTTCATAAACTCTGATGGCAAGCTTCAGATTTGTCACTCCCTAATGTAGCAGTGGCTACAGCCAGCTGACATCAAGCTCTGGGGAGCGATGCAGTAAATCATTTTCCCTTTTGTGCAAGAAGAAAAAGTAGAAAATTACATTCTTCTCAGATTTCGCTTTTGAGTGTGCTGGTGCCTCTGTCAAGTGCTCCTTCTTGCAAACAAGAAAACGGTATGACCCCCAGGGAGCAGGCTTTTCAATAGGAGCTATCTGTGTAATCCCCACACAAAGAGGGAGAATGGTGAGCAGCAATCAGAACCTGTTGTCCCATCAGATCACAAGCTAGAGGTTAAGTTCTCTATTCTGCAAGTTGGGGACTGAGATTCAGGAAGGTTGGGAATTCACTCAAGTCATCCCATTCACCTGGAAAGAGGAAGAGCTGGGCCTGAAATCTGAGCTGGAGTTCAGAGTCCTGCACTGGCCCAGTGGTCCATTTGGTCCTGGGTGCAAGTAAGGACTGAGGGCCATCAACCTATGTAGGGCTAAAACCCACCTAAGTAATGAAAGTGCAAAACAATGGTGCTGCTGAAAATGATGATGATTATAATCTTTTCATTAACTCCTTGGGAAATCAGAGAAGGAAATTATACACGCAGAAAAGCCTCAGCTGCACTCACACTTTATGCCCTGTGGTCATAGCCAAATCCAGCACCTGGGACCCTCCTGAGGGCCCCAGCATGCCCCAAAGGGGATCCCTGGCTGCTTCTGGCATCCGTACAGACATTTCTGGCTGCCCCTCCTCAAGGCTGCATTATTTATTCTTGTGTTTGTTATGACAAATACAGCAGCATGGAGGAGCTGTTGGCTAATTTGAATAGTGCTTCCAGAAGCATCTTCCAAGCCAATTGGTTCATCTCTGGTCAAATAGACATGAGTTGCCAAGGGCAAAGAGCAAGAAATTAGCCAGTGACTCAGCACTGAGCTACTCAGGGGTCCCACTAGGGCATGTCCCTTCTCTGGGCCTTGGCATCTCCAACAGAGACAAAGGAGCTGGGCTACAGGGCCTCTAAGGCCTCTTTCAAATTTAATTCTCTAAGATTCATTCTCTCTCTCTCTCTCTCTCTCTCTCTTTTCCGCTTGCTCTCCCTGGCTCGCTCACTCTCACGCTCGATCTCATTTTATGTCATTTGCTTTGTCTGCCAAACTCCCTGGGGCTTACTGTAAAAGCATAACTGATTTTGTAATGAACATTCCATGCTATATCCAACCAGATGTGTGTGCTTGCTTCACAGGGCTCCACTAGGGTGGGGCTGGCTTACTCCAACAAGGCAGAATTGTGACCTTTGTCTGAATTCCTTTTCAGTCGTGGCCTCTGGAACCAGTTGACAAAGATAGGAGCAACCCCCTTCCATATCCAAGGATGGTCCTGTGAGCATGAGGACCTGTATAGGAGCTGGAAGATTGTTGGATTTGGACCTGGACTTGGGATTGAACTTCCCCCTACCTGGTCTCCAGAACCGGGGCAGATAACTCAGCAGGCCCACCTTCTCATGAATGCTCGAGAGAAGGAAGAACAGAGTTATTTTGTGAGCTGGCCATCAAGAGTCAGATAACACTTTCAAGACACATGATGAGTAGGAAACCTGGGACTAGCTCTCTAATCATCTTGTCCCAAGACCAATGAATTCCCATTGCCCATCAAACAGGACCCCTGTGATCTTGGGAGGAAAAAAATGAATTTCTATTTTCATCAACTTCTAATTGAAATTTCTAATTTCATTCAATTTTGAATGTAGGCAATGAACCACAGTAGCATTAGTAGTACGTGAGGCTTTGCCACTGAGAGAAATCAGAGGGATTTTCATATCACATTATTATTGTAGCTATCTCCAGACAGCCCTTATAGTGGACAGTAGTTTGAAATTATAGTAGTAGTTACAGTCACCACTAGATTTGATTTCATGCATTAATACAAAAAATTTATATTAGCATCTCATACAAGTTTTGTTTGATATTTGGATATAATTTGTTTCCTTTATAACCTTGTGTATTTTTATGCATTTCAAGTATTATTGTCAGAAGGAATCTGTGGGCTTCATCTTTCAGCTAAGGGTCTGTGGCACAGCAAAAGGGTAAGAATACAGCGGCCCGTGAAGCACAGGGCTTAGAGCCTGCTGCAGTGGACCCTGCTTCAGGTGCCTACCGTGTCTCTATGTCGGATGACAGTCTGGAAGTCACCATTCATTGTCAACAATCAAGGCAGCTCACTGTTCCCACAAGGGCTGCTTTGAGGTGTCATTTCGATCTCACCGAAGCTTGTTTGCCCTCACTCTCTGCCCCTCAGTCTGGGCTCTGCTAAAAGGCTTGCACCTCATGACCTCTCCCCTTCTCTGCCTGTGGGACCTCATCCTCCTCTGCCCTTGGTCATGATTCCCTGGGTTCATTAATACTCTCCTCCCCTTGCCTCCTTCCCTGGCCTCTGGCAACATTATTGTGTCGCCTCCTCCTTCCTTCCAGGCCCACAGCACGTGCCCTGCCTCTTCCCATAGGACTCTCAGGGTGTTCAAATGGAGAAAGCAGGATTGGGGTTCCAAGGAAGTGCTAGGTTGTTTTTGCTGCTGCTGCTGATTGAGCTAAGGCAGCAGTAATAATAGCAAGTGGGAAAATAGAAACACGCTGGCTCTGAGCCAGGACATTCTTACCCACTCCACTGTCTCTGGTCAGACCACATCTCTTTGGAGTCTTGAGTCTCTTAATAGGCAGTGAATAAGATGTTTCCTATAGGGGATCCATCGCAGATCTACCCAGAGGGCAGGTGCTTGTGGAATGAGGCAGGCGAGAGAGTTGAAGTAGAGGCTACGCGGTTTGGAATCCTGACTGCCATTTACCAGTCATGTGACCTTGGACAAGTTATTTAACCTCTCTTTGCCTCAGTTCCTTCATCTGTAGGATAAAGACAGTAACTCCACACTTCAAAAGATTATTGTGAGGATGAAATGAATTATTTCCTTTAAAGTACCCAGCACAGTGTAGGCACTCAATCAATGACAGTATTATTGTCATTGTTAACCAGGTGCATTTGCAGGGAGTGAACAATGTGAGGAATTCTGAGTTGAACGTACTTCCAGATTCCTGGAAGCACAGTTTGATATCTGCTACCTCTGCTGCCTCCCAGAGTGCTTGCCTTGAAATCCAGGAGACAGGTGACCTTCCAACCCACTCTGCTGTCTCCGCTGAGACCATGTGTATTTGGAGTTTATGAATCCTTAGCAATTCCTCCTTTCCTCCCAGGGTTGTTGTGGGCATTGAATGAGACTTTGCCTGTACAGGGATGAGAGCTCCTGGAAGGGAGGAACCCTGTTGCAGACTGCCCAGGAAATTCACTTTTGCAAGGGAATTTATTTGTTGAGTTCTAGATTCACCTGGCGCACAGCTGCAACCTAGTCCACTTACCCAGAGGCACTGAGTCAGAGTTCCACATCATCCTTGCCCCGGCAGCCAGTCATGTGATCACTCTGATTCCCTGTACAGACCACCCCACCCCTGTCAGAGCCAGACCTCTGCACTTGGATCTAATCTCCATCTGCCTCCTTACCTTTGCTCTACCATTCCTTGTGCCCTGAACCAGAGCCATTCCCTCCTTCAAGCCCAGTTCTTCTCATCTTTTAAGGTCCAGTGCCAATCCCACCTCCTCCAGGAAATCTGTGCTGACTGGAGTCATATTATAGATTCTCAGACATCAGTGCTCCACCCACCCACAAATTACTCAGCCTTCATTGACTGCCCTTCCCCTGGATTCCTGCAGCACTTAAGGCCTGTGCCAGACAATTTAGCACTTAATTGCAGACTGTCATTGATTGTGCCTCAATTTTTCCTTATGCATTATTCTGTAACCCCCAACTCTATCAAAAGCTTTTGTAGAACAGAGAAAAGTAAAGACACCAGCATTTCTTCCTATCACTGATTTAGGAATATGACTGTAGAGGCACCTATCGAGTTGAAAACGAAATATTTGTTATGCTATCCCTTAGCCATACTACTCCCTGACATAAGTCTTATTTCATAGCTTCTTTCTGCCCCCAAACCTGGCTGAAAACCTCTTCTTGGAGCACAGGAAATGGAAAAGAGCAGTCAGTTCAGCTTGTCAAGGAAGGCTTGTGTGGCCCTTAGCCATTCCATCTCTAGGAGTCCCCTTATCCCCTGGACTCCGTAGCTGAGACCTGAGTGCTCAAACATCTAAATTATCCACCCAAGGGCCTGCCCACTCACACTAGGGCTTCTTAATACAAGCGCCAGGGGTGGAGTCAGCTGACCCAGATGCATAGCTGCCATACACAGGAACATGACCGGTCAGGTTGCCGGTAGAAGGGATAGTTTTATTTGTGTAGGGCTTTCTCCAGTTGGCCTTGGGCAGGCTGTTGTGGTCTGAGGGAATGTCTGTCAAGTGGGCCCTTGATATATACACGTTGGGCAAAGACTATCCCCGTGTCACTCATCCATGGTGTTTGCTCTGTGATGACACCTCAGACTGCTTTCCCAAAACCAACTCTGCTGAACCAGTGATCTGAAGCTGCAAGGAAATGCATGAGCAGTAGCTGGCCAGCTGGCCATGAACTTGTTCACACACACTTATTGAATGCTTATTATGTGATGCTGAAGTCACAAAGAGGAGAAAGAGAGTCCTTATTATCCAGAAACTTATGGTCTTATGGGAAAAGCAATTTATACAGCCAACTAAATGCCATGATGGGGGCGACACAGGGATTGTAGGGGTTTATACAAACAGCCTATCTTCCCAAATCAAAACCAAACTCAGTTCCATACTGACGGTGCTTTCTCCCAGCTACCTGCCCTTGCCAACCTCCACTGCACTCCTTACTCAACTGCAGGTGCGATGGGAGCTCAAGATGGACAGAAATTCATTTGACACACAATCAGGGAGGCAGTTTCTAGGATGACAATAGAGGATAGGAGTTCTGGGGGTCATGATATTGCTAACAGAGTTGCCATCATACTGGCAGTGACACTTAGGCTCCAAAGCAAGAGCTGAGGGAGGCCCCTGAGACCCTGGTCATAAACTGCCTTGTCCCAGAGAGGCACTTACACTATGGGAGCTATAATTATTAGAGCTTGCCTTTGGATAGTCACTGAAGACATTACATTAGGGCAAATATTGATAACCGTGGTCTAGTGGTCTCTCTCTCTCGCTCTCTCTCTCTCTCTCTCTCTCTCTCTCAGCTAGCTGAATCCCTTAGCAAGCGGACAGCAGAGAACCTGAGAGTATAAACAGCGATGTTGTCAGGTGGGTCCAAGCAGCTACCTAGCAAAGAATTGACAGTTGTTGCCAGGTAGAGGACTTCCGGAGCGGAGGAGGGTGGGGAGGACAGAATTCATGTGCTCAGATTATGGTCTTCCTCTGAGGAGGTTAACTGGTACATTTTATCTAATGAGTGTGTTAAAGCAGTAAAGAGGTCCATGCAGTCCTTTTTCTGGGGCTTAATGAATGGGGAGAAAATATGGTCCTTTTTGCAGCCATTAGTGCTGCACTATTACCGATTCCAAGAAGAGCTACCTTAGTGCTCTGGCGGCGGTATGGGCCCAATGTTTTCTTGGATTGGCTTATTGCCTATGAGGATCCACTTGATGCTTTGAGCCTCAATGTCCTCCCCATTATCCACCAGCTGCATTATGTTATTTTGTCTGTTCCATGCTTGTACTAATAATGTTTGTACATTTGGGAAGATTTTAAGTAATGGGTGGCCAATGCCATTGCCAGGCCCCAAATTGCAAAGTACCCTTTAAGTGGAAGGCACTTAGCTTGAACACAAAACATTATTTGAAAGAGAATGAATGATGGCTTTGGTTGCCTTTGGTTACCTCTATTTAACCTGAGAGTGGGAGTCACAACGTCTGGGTTTTGGTATGCAGGAAGCTAGTAGCAAGCCTCATTCTTCTTTACTCTGCCGCGGAGCTCTGTCTGAAGCTCTGGAGAGCTATTGACTTTAAATGACCCCAGGGGCTGATTTGGCTTACTCTCCCAGTAGAGGCCTGGAAGCATTTCCTGGCATTGTTGCAGCCCTCAAGTGCACGTGAAACTCATGGTGGCAAGAAGGAAGGAGAGAGAGGTAATTATTTCCATCTTACAGATGAATAATTAGAGGTTCAGGGTTTAAATGGCCTGTCCACGGTCACCTTGCCTGCCAGTGATAGAGCTAAAGCTGGCATCAGGGTTTCTGCCTTCAAGCCCAGAACAATTTCCACTACCTAGCTACACCAGGGAGGCTACAAATCCTCAGGATAAGTGCTCCTTAAAGTACAGGTTGGTTACAAAATGAGACACTTGCTGTAGAATGTAAATCAATGCTCTAACTCCTTCATTGAGAAAGTCTTGCTAGAAAATAAACGTCAGCTGGGCAGGGTGCAGTGGCTCACACCTGTAATCCCAGCACTTTGGGAGGCCGAGGCAGGTGGATCATGAGGTCAAGGCATCGAGACCATCCTGGCCAACATGATAAAACCCCATCTCTACTAAAAATACAAAACTTAGCTGGGCGTGGTGGCATGTGCCTGTAGTTCCAGCTACTCGGGAGGCTGAGGCAGGAGAATTGCTTGAACCTGGGAGGCGGAGGTTGCCGTGAGCTGAGATTGTGCCACTGCACTTCAGCCTGACAACAGAGCAAGACTCCAAAAAATAAATAAATAAAAAAGAAAATAAACGTCAACTGTATTAAACAGCGTGCTTAGTGATGATTTGGTTTACATTCTGTTACAAGCTCCCTGTCCCATCAAGGATAAGTAGCACTCTCTGGACCACACTTAGGTTAGTACTGGCCTAGTAAGCTCTGTAGAGAACAGAGACCATTTCTGTCATAATAATGGCAATAACCAGCTGTTATTGATTGATTTGAACTTTCTTAGTGTCACGTATTGTGCTAAACAATGCATATCAAATTTCTCTAAAACTTTATGGGTTGGAATTACTATTATCCCTATTTTACATGTGAGGAAACTGAGAGACAGAAAGTTAAATTGCTTGTCTATTATCATGAATTTCATCAGGAGTCAAGATGAATTTTGAACTGAGACCACTTGACTCAAGAAAGCACACTGTTTCCTACATTGCTACATGCCTCTCATGTCACTGTGATATCCATAAGGGTGAAGTTTAGAAGTAACACATACTTTTTGTAAAGAATGAATGAAAGAGTTTTTTGGGATGGGTAGACAGTGCTGGAGAACCTAAAGATACATCATAGGAAGAGTCAAATGGCAAGATAGAGGCTATAAGAAAGAATGACCAAATTTGTCTTCTAATGCCAACATTCATGAGTTAGGAGAAGATTTTGAAGTTTGAAGAAGGACATTTTAGGAGAGATAAGAAAGGCACTCATAATCAGATAATATAAGGCCAATAGCTTGATAACACATGAGGTGGGAACAGGATAAAACAGCGAGCCAGCCCCAGGATATTTGTCATGCTATTTGGCAGCTCAGGAGGCGCTTGGGCCTGCTTGGCCCTGGTTGTACATCAGGTAATGTTGGGAGCATCTTGCAAAGGCCCATGCTTAAGCCTCACCTATGAACAGTACTGTCCTGGCACTAGGCACCTGCTTTTACAAAACCTTCCTCAGGTGACTCTAATGTTTAACAAATCTGGGAGAAGGCAGATTTGTTAAATTGGGGTGAGATAAATCCGGACTCAAAAGAATAACATAAGAAAAGTTAAATACATGGGAAAATTTGAAAAATCAATTTCCCCCCTCTTGTTTCACAAACATATGTAGCATATAGCATATGTATAGCATATATATGTATCATATAACATATATAGCATGTAGTACATATATGTGTGCGTGTGTGTGCGTGTGGGTATGAAAACTATAGCAGGAAGGGTGGTGAAGTGAATGGACCAATTCAGTTGCAAGATTTTTACATTTTGTGTGACAGTATTTTGTGTAGAGCACTAACTCTAACTAAACCACGAAAAATTAGGGGCGTATATTAAGCACTTAGAGTAACATTAAAAAGTAATACAAATAACAATCTGAATAGGCCTATATCTATTGAAAAATTGAATCAATGATTCCTAACCTTACAAAACAGAAAGCACCAGGCTCAGATGAGTTCTCACTGGTGGATTCTACTAGATATTTAAGAAAGAAATTATACCTATGCTTTACAATCTCTTTCAGAAGACAAAGGCAGAGGGAATATTCCGTAACTCATTCTATGAGACCAGTATTACCCTAATACCAAAACCAGACAAAGGCATTATAAGAAAATAAAACTTCAAACCAATACCTTTCATTAATATAAATGCAAAAATCCTCAACAGATATTTATATTAATAAATGGAATCCAGCAATGTATAAAAAAGAATTGTACATCACAGCCAAGTGGGATTTGCTTCAGGTATGCAAGGTTGTTTCAACAATAGAAATAAGTTAATGTAATCCACTACATCAATAGGCTAAAGAAGAAAAAAATCATATGGTCATATTAATGGATACAGAAAAAGTATTTGACAGAATCCAGCATCCATTTATGATGAGAACTCTCAGAAAACCTGGAATAGAAGGGGCAATCCTCAACTTAATAAAGAACATCTACAGGAAACCTACAGCTAACATACCTCATGGTGAGAAACTAGAAGCTTTCCCACTAAGATCAAGAAAAAGGCAAGGATGTCTCCTCTCACTACAGCATTTCAACATTATACTGGAAGTCCTATCAAATGCAATAAGATAAGAAAATGAAACCAAAGATATATAGATTGGGAAGAAAGAAATAAAAATTTATTTCTTCATAAATGATATGATTACCTATGTAGAAAATCTGAAAGAATCAACAACAACAAAACCTCCTGAAGCTAATAAGTAATTACAGTGAGGTTGCAGGATGCAAAGTTAATATGCCAAAGTCAGTTGTTTTCCTATATACCAGCAATGAACAAGTAGAATTTGAATAAAAAACACAGAACTTCCTAAAAATGAAATACTTAGATATAAATCTGGCAAAATACGTACAGCATGTAAGGAAAACTGCAAAACTCTGATGAAAGATGTCAAAGAAGAACTAAATAAATGGAGGAGATTTTATGTTCATGGATAACATAACTCAATATTGTCAAGATGTCAGTTGTTCACAACTTAATCTATAATTTCGATGCAATCCCAATAAAAATCCCAGCATCTTATTTTGTTGCTCACAAAAACTGATTCTAAAGTTTATATGGAGAGGCAAAAAACACAGAATAGTCAACTCAATATTCAGGGAGATGAACAAAGTCAGAGGACTGACACTACCTGACTTCAAGACTTACCATAAATCTACAGTAATCAAGGCAGCATAGTATGATAAAAGAGTAGACAAATGGATCAGCGGAAAAGAACAGAGGGTCAATAATAGACCCACATAACTCTACTCAGCTGATTTTTGACAGAAAAACAAAGGCAATACAATGGAGAAAAGAGTCTTTTCAATAAATATTGGTAGAAGAACTGGACATCTACAAGGAGAAAAAAATGAATCTCGACACAGAAATTACATCCATCACAAAATTCAATCAAGATTAATCACAGACAGTAAAATTCAAAACTATAAAATTCCTAGAAGATAACAGGGGAAAACCTAGATGACCTCAGATATGGAGATGATATTTTAGACACAACGCCAAAGGCATGATACATGAAAAACCTAGTTGATAAGCTGAACTTCATGAAAATGAAAAACTTCTGCTCTGTGAAAGACAATGCTGAAAGAATAAGAAGACAAAGCACAGATTGAGTGACAATATTTGCAAAAGATATATATGATAAAGTATTGTTATTCAAAATATAATAAGATTTCATAAAATTCAACAATATGAAAATGAACAACCCAATTTTTTAAAATGGGCAAAAGACCCAAACAGACACTTTACCAAAAAATATATGAATGACAAGTAAGCATATGAAAAGACGCTCAACATCATATGTCATTAGGAAGTTTTAAATCAGAATGATAATGTGATACCACTATACCTTTTAGAGTGGCCGATCTAAAACACTGGCAATACAAAATGCTGGCAAGGATGTAGAGCAATAGGAACTCTCATTAGTTGCTGATGGAAATGCAAAATGGAACAGCCACTTCGGAAGACAGTTAAGCAGTTTCTTACAAAAATAAACATGTGCTTACCATACAATCAAGCAATTGTGTTCCTAGCATTTATCCAAGTAAATAGAAGACTTATGTCCACACAAAACCTGCACATAGATATTTATAGCAGCTTTATTGATAATTTCTAAAACTCGGATGCAGCTAAGATGACCTTTAGTAAGTGAATGGATAAACAAACTGGTACATCCAGATAATGAGCTATTATTTAGCACTAAAAAGATGTGAGCTACCAAGTCATGAAAAGATATGGATGAAATTAAGTGAAAGAAGCCAATTTGAAAAAGCAATATACTGTATGACTCCAACTATATGACATTCTGGAAAAGGCAAAAACGTATACAGTAAAATGATCAGTGTTTGCTAAGAATTAGGGGGAAGGATAAATGAATAAGTGGAGCATAGAGGATTTTAGGGCGGTGAAAATACTCTGTGTGATACTATGATGGTGGTGTGATACTAAAATGGCGGCTACATGTCATTATGCATTTGTCAAAACTCACAGAATGTACAACACCAAGAGTGAATGCTAATGTAAGCTATGGACTTTGAGTAACAATAATGTGTTAATGTAGGTTCATTAATTATAACAACTGTGCCACTATGATAGAAGATGTAGATAATGGGAGAGGCTATGCATTTGTGGAGGCAGGGAGTAGATGGAATATCTCTGTATTTTCCTGTCAATTTTTCCATGAATCTAAAACTGATTTAAAAATAAAGTTTATGAATGTAAAAAAAGTAACATAAAGACAGTTGTACGTAAATGGGCAATGGATAAAATGAAAGCAGAAAAGTAACTAAGCCAAAAAAAATACAAGAAAGGAGGAACATAAGGGGAAAAAATAGAAGAGACACTGAAACAAAAACGATTAAATATGTCAATAATTACATTAAATGTTAATCAGAGGATGCTTGAATTAAAAGGCAGAGATTGCTAGACTTGTATATAAGCAATATCCTACTATATACTATCTATAAGAGATGAATTTTAAATGTAAAGAGATAAAGATACATCTTGCACAAAGTTACCAAAGGAAGGATGGCATTGCTATTACATTAGCAAAATAAACTTCAATAAAAAGAGTATCATGAGAGATAAACCGTAATGTTTCATAATGATAAAAGGGCCAATGTATGAGAAAGACATAACGATCATAAATACATATGCATTTAATAAAAGAGATTAAAAATACATGGAGCAGAAATCAACAAAGTTAAAAGAAGAAAATAGACATATTTACAATCATTTTTGAAGGTTTTAACAGTCCTATCTCAACAATTGTGAGAATAACTGGAGAAAAAACTTAGTAAACATATAGATCATATGAATAACATGAAAAGGCATTTTAAAATCACAAAAAGAATTATAATTTATTTTGAATTCTGAATTTTGAATTCGGAATGATAATGATATGCAAGATATCGAAATTTGAGTAATGTAGATAAAGCAGTGCTTCAGAGAAATTTATAGCATTATGCTTATATTAAAAATGAAAAGACAAAATACAATCTATTAATTTATTATAAAGAAACTAAATAATAAAGTAAACCCGAAGTAAGCAGAAGAAAGGACACAAAAAGAAAAACAGTCGAGAAAATGAACCAAACTAAAATTTATTCTTTAAACATATCAATAAAATTGATTAATTTCTACTTAGACAATTACTTAGGGAAAGAAAACAATTTACTAATATCAAGGGTGAAAATGAGTTTATCACTACATGTCCAATTAGCCTTTTTTATGTCTAAAAGACATAACAAGTTAATAAAACTCATGAACAAACTTATGTCAACAATAATTTGAAAACTTACAAGACATAGACAAATTAATTAAAGAATACAACTTACCAAAACCGACATAAGACAGTATATTAAATCTGCATAGGTCTATATCTAATAAAGTAATCAAATTAATTATCAAATACATTCATGCAAACAATCTTCAAGTCCAGATCGTTTCACTGGTAAATACAATTAATCATTTAAGAAAGAAATGACACCTATCTTACACAGACTGCATCAGAACATAGAGGAAGAGGGAAAATTCCAGACTTGTTTTATCAAACCAGCATAACCTTAGTACCAAAATATAACAAAAGGTATTACAAAGAGTTACAAAACAATATTCCTCATGAATATTGATTTTGAAATACTTACCAAATGTTAATTTAATCAGATCTGTATATGTGTGTATGCATATATATGTATATACATATATATATGATAACATAATAATCAAGCATGGTTTCTCCTTGAAATGCAAGATTGATTAAACACTTGAAAAGTAATCAATATAATTCACTGTGTTAGAAGGAAAAAGTAACAATGATCATTTCAATAGACAGAGAAAGTATTTGACAAAATTCAACAATCTTCTTTTATAAAAACTCTCAGCAAACTTGTATTCATAAGATCATACTACATCTGACAAAAGGCACAATGAAAATCTTACAGCTAGCATCATATTTATGGTGAAATATTGAATGCTTTCAATGTAAGATAAGGAAAAAGAAAAGATGCCCATGCTCACCATTTTCATACAATATTGTAGTGGCAGTTATAGCCAGTGAAATTTGAAAAAAATTTTAAAAGAAAAGTCAAAATATTTGGAAAAGAAGAAGTAAAACTGTCCGTATTTGCAGACAGCAAAACTTTTAATGTGGAAAATACTAAGGAATCTAAAAGGCATCTCCTCTAAATAACAAGTGAATTTAGCAATATCACTAAATATAAAATTAATACACAAAAAGAAAAATTGAAAATTTCATTTATTGTAGCATCAAAACCAAAATAGGAATCAGTTTAACAAAATAATATATATAAGACCTCTATTCTGAAAAATGACAAAACATTTCTGAAGACTAAATAATTGGAGGTATGGACCATTTTATGGAATAGAATACTCAATATTGTTAAAATATCAATTTTACCCAAATTGATTTATAAACTCAGTGCAATCCCAGTCAAAATTCCATCATAATTTTTGTATAGAAATGACAAGCTGATTCTAAAATACGTATGAAAAGACAAAAACTGTTGCATGTATATAGGAATCTTGATAAAAACAAATTTGGAGTAGTTACATGACCTGACCTATAGAATTACTAAAATGGCTATAATGATCATAAAAGTGTGATACTGGCATAAAGATTAACAAACAAACTAATGGAACAGAATTAAGAGTACAGAAATAAGCCCATACTACATGGTCATTTGATTTTATTCTATATCATTCTCAAAGCAATTTAGTGCAGGAAAAGAATTTTTTTCGACAAATAATGCTAACACAACTGGATAGCTATATAGATAAAAATGAACTTCAGTCACCTCCTTCACACTCTACACAAAACTGAATTTAAAATGGATTACTACAGGAAGAAGTAGAAATCCTGAACAGAACAATAAGTAGCAGTGAGATTAAATCAATAATTTAAAAATTGCCAACAAAAAAAATAGCCCAGGGCCTGATGGATTTGTAGCCAAATTCTACCAAACTTTCAAGTAATTGGTACCAATTCTACAGAAAGTATTTCAAAAGATTGAGAAAGAGGGATTCCTTCCCAACTCATTCTATAATGCCAGTATCACCTTAATACCAAAAGTAGGAAAGGATATAACAACAACAACAAAAACTACAGAACAATATCCCTGATGAACATAGATGCAAAAATCCTTGACAAAAATACTAGCAAACTGAATCCAACAGCGCATCGAAAAGATTATTCACCACAATCAAGTGGGTTTCACCCCAGGGATGCAGGAATGGCTTAATATACATAAGTCAATAAATGTGATACATCACATTAACAGAACTAAAAACAAAAACCATATGATCATTTCAATAAATGCAAAAAATTAGATAAAATCCAGCATCTCTTTATGATAAAAATCCTCAAAAAACTAAGCATAGAAGGAACGTACCTCAAAATAATAAAAGCCATATATGACAAACCCCCCAACCAACATCATATGGAATGGGAAAAAGTTGAAAGCATTCCCCGAGGAACTAGAACAAGACAAGGATGCTCACTCTTACCACTCATATTCAACATAGTATTGGAAGTCCTAGCCAGAGCAATCAGGCAAGAGAAAGAAATAAAGGGAATCCAAACTGGAAAAGAGGAAGTTAAATTATCTCTGTTTGTCGATGATATGATCATATACTTAGAAAACCCTAAAGACTCCTTTAAAAGACTCCTAGATTGGAAAATGAACTCAGTAAAGAATCAGGTTACAAAATCAACGTGCATAAATCCGTAGCACTGCCATACACCAACAACAACCAAGCTGAAAATAAAATAAAAACTCAATCCCTTTTACAATAGCTGCCAAAAAATACCCAGAAATATGTTTAATGAAGGAGGTGAACATCTTTATAAGGAGAACTGCAAAACACTGTTGAAAAAAATCATAGATGGCACAAACTAATGGAAATATATCCTATGCTTGTGGATTGGAAGAATCAGTATAATGAAAATGACCATACTGCCTAAAGCAATCTACAGATTCAATGCAATTCTCATCAAAATACTAACATAACTTTTCACAGAATTAGGAAAAACAATTCTAAAATTCGTCTGGAACCAGAAAAGAGCCCAAATATTCAAGGTAATCCTAAGCAAAAAGAACAAATCCAGAGGTATCACATTGCCTGACTTCAAATTATGCTACAAGGCTGTTGTTACCAAAACAGCATGGTACTGGTATAAAAGTAGATACATAGACCAATGGAACAGAATAGAGAATCCAGAAATAAAGCCAAACACTTACAACCAACTGATCTTTAACAAAGCATACAAAAAATAATTTGGGGAAAGGAGGCCCTGTTCAATAAATAATTCAATAAATACAATAGGAAATTTGGATAGTCACATGTAGAAGAATGAAATTGGTTCCCTAATACTCAGCATATAAAAAATCAACTCAAGATAGATCAAAGACTTAAATCTAAGACATGAAACGATACAAATTCTAGAGGAAAACTTAGGAAAACCTCTTCTGCACACTGGCCTAGGTAAAGAATTTACAACTAAGACCCCAAAAGCAAATGCAACAAAAATAAAAATAAATAAATGAGACATAATTAAACTAAAAAGCTTCTGCACAGCAAAAGAAATAATCAGAGTAAACTGACAATTCATAGAATGGGAGAAAATATTTGCAAACTATGCATCTGACAAAGGACTAATATCCAGAATCTACAAGGAACTCAAACAAACCAGTAAGAAAAATAATAATCCCATCAAAAAGTGGGCAAAAGACATGAATTGACATTTATCAAAAGCAGATATAAAATGGCCAACAAATAGATGAAAAAATGCTCAACATCACTAGTCATCATGAAAATGCAAATTGAAACTATGATAAAATATTATCTTACCCCAGCCAGAATGTCCATTATTAAAAAGTCAAAAAGCAATAGATGTTGGTTTGGATGTGGTGGAAAGGGAGTGCTTATACACGCCTGGTGAAAATGTAAGTTAGTACAATCTCTATGGAAAACTGTATGGATATTTCTTAAAGAACTAAAAGTAAATCTACCATTTGATCCAGCAATCCCACTACCAGATACCAATTCAAAGGAAAATAAGTCATTATATCAAGAAATATCTGTATGCATATGTTTATTACAGCACAATTCACAATTGCAAAGATATGGAACCAACCTAAGTGTCCATCGACCAATGGGTGGATAAAGAAAATGTGGCATATATACACTGTGGAATACTACTTAGCCATACAAAAAATTAAATAATGTCTTTTGCAGCAACTTGGATGGATCTAGAAGCCATTATTCTAAGTGTAGTAACTCCAGAATGCAAAACCCAATACTGTATGTTCTCACTTATAAGTGGGAGCTAAGCTATGGGTATGCAAAGGCATACAGAGTGGTATAATGGACTTTACAGTCTCAGAATGGGGAAGGGTGGGAGGGGGGTGAGAGATACAAAACTATATATTTTATATAATGTACACTACTCAAGTGATAGGTGCACTAAAATCTCAGACTTCACCATTATATAATTCATTCAAGTAGCCAAAAAACACTTGTACCCCAAGAGCTATTGGAATATATATATTTATATGCACACACATATATTTATATATAATAAAAATAAAATGAATAATTAGCCAAGATAAAAAAGTTAAAACCATAATTCATTTACGAGAAAACAAAAAAACTTTGTAATTTGGTATTATGCAAATATTTCTTATGCACATCACAGAAAACAATAACAATAAAAAGAGAAATCATGAATTAGATTTTATCTACATTAAAAATTTCTAATTATCAAAAGAAAACAAGAGACAATAAGTATGCAAGCCACCTACAGGGAAAATATATTTTAAAAACAACTATATGGAAAGGTCTGATAGCCAGTACATATTTAGAAATCTTAAAACTAAGATAAGACAAGTAACCCAATTTTATGATAAACAAAATATTTCAGCACTCACTTTAGAAGAGAGTATGACTGGCCAATAGGCACATCAACAAGTGTTCAACAAATTTAAACCATGGTGAGATACCACTATATACGTACCAGAATGACCAAACTAAAAAGATTGAAACACTACCAAACATTGGCAATGATGTGGAAGAGCTGAAAATGTCATAGATGGCTGTTTGAAAAGCAAAATTGTATACCTCTCTTGGACAAAAGACCTAGCAGTTTCTTATAAGGATTATCGTACACCTGCCTAGTGACTCAGAAATTCAGCTTCTAGAAATTGACCCAAGAAAACTGGAAGCATTTATCCACTCATAATAGCTAAATTATATTCATAATAGCTAAAAATTGAAAACAACCCAGGTGTCTTACAAAAGGAGAATGCATTTAAAAGCTGTAGTATAGTCAAACAAATGACATATTACTAAGAAATATAAAGGAATGAATTGTTCATACATTCAACGACTTGGATTAATTTCAAAAATATTATGCTAAGTGAAATAAGCCTTACATAAAAGAGGATATTATAGGATTCCTGTTATGTAAAGTTCTTAAATAAGTAAAACTAATTTATAATAGAAAAAAATCAAATTAGATGGGTATCATGGTGATTGACTGGAAAGAGACATATGGGAACTTTCTGGGGAGATGGTGATATTCTAAATTTTGTTATGGATTTATGTTATATAAATGTATTTATTTGTTAAAACTCAGAGAATGTACACTTACAATTTGAGCATTGCATTTCATGTAAATTTATATTAATGGATAAAAAGTCATAAACAAGCATCAAGTTTTCATGATCTGATTGCTGAAGTATTTAGTGAGAAGTGTACTAACATCTCTAATCTATTTTACAATGCACTGAAAAATGGATTGATTAATGGGTGGAGGGATAGATAGATGGATGCATAAGTATGTGATAGAACGATTATAGTAAAATCATAATAGTAGAAACTAGGTGGTGGTTATACGTGTGTTCCCTGTAAAATTATTTCTATGTTACTATAAGTTTGAAAAAATTCACAATAAAATGTTGGAAACAGAGGTCAGTAATGGAAATGTAATGGAATCTTTTAAAAATCTTACAAAAAGGAAGGCGATTTAGTTTGAATATATGTCCCCAACAAAACTCATGTTAAATTTTAATCCCCAATGTTGAAAGTGGGGCCTTGTGGGAGGTGTTGGGGTCATGGGGGCAGGTCCCTCATGGCTTGGTGCTGTCCTCACAATGCTGAGTGTGTTCTTGTGAGATATGGTTGTTTAAGTGTATGGCATCTTTCCCCCGCTTGCTCCTGCTTTTGCCATGTGTCATGTCTGCTCTTGCTTCGCCTCCTACCATGAGTAAAAGCTCCCTGAGGCCTCCCCAGAAGCTGAGCAGATGTTGGTGGCATGCAGGTATAGCCTACAGAACTGTGAGCCAATTAAAACAATTTTCTTTATAAATTACCCAGCCTCAGGTATTTATTTATGGCAGTGCAAGAATGGCCTAATATAGCAGAAAAAAAAAAGGTTTAGGTGAAGAAAGAACACATGGGACAAATAGAAAACAGATAACAAGATGGTACACTTAAACATATTCACATCAACAATGCTTGTAATGTAAATAATCTAAAAACTCCATGCATGTAATGTAAAAAAAATTGAGTAGATGAAAATGAAAGACAAGACAATAGGCCATTTGCAAGAAACACAGCTTAAATGTAAAGACTCCAACTGGCTGAATATAAGAGGGCCCCAAAAGATATGCCACGCAACTACTACAAAAAAATGCTGGTCTGGCTATACTGATATAAGACAAACTAGATTTAAAATAAGAACAATTTTCATTAAAAAGAGGTACATTCCCTATAATAACATTGTCAACTAATCAACAAGATATAATACAACTAATAATAGAGCCTCAAAGTATGTGAAGCAAAAATTGACAGAAGGGGAGGGAGAATAGATATAGTTGAATATGTTAATATGTCTCATTCGGCAACTGATAGAAGTACACAGACAGAAAGGATATAGAATTGTGAACACTATCCAACAACTATTGACAGATTTTTCACATTTACACAGAGCATTAACCAAAATAAACCATAATCTCGGCCATAAAACAAGTCTCAATATTTTTCAGCAGAAACTGTATAAGCCAGAGGAGAGTGGGATGATATACATGAAGTGTTGAAGGAAGAAAAAGGCCTGCCAATCAAGAATACTTTATCCAGCAAAGCTATCCTTCAGAACTAAAGGAGAGAGAAATATTTTGCCAGACAAACAGAAGCTGAGGGAGTTCATCACCGCCAAATCTGTCTTAAAAGAAATGCTAAAGAGAGTTCTTCAGTTTTCAGGCTGAAAGCAAAGGGCAGTAATGACTAACACTGAAGCATTTTAAAGTATAAAACTCACTGGTGAAAGTAAGTACAGTCAGCTTCACAATACTCTAATACTGTAACGATGGTGTATAAATCAGTCAAATCTTTAGTATGAAGGTTAAAAACAAAACTATTAAAAACAATAAGGATAATTATAACAATTTGTTAAGGGATATGCAATACAAAAGATGTGAATGATGCTGTCAAAAATTTAAAATGTGAAGTAGAGAGTGTCATTAAAATGTAGTTTTTTATGACTATAAAAGCTTACTTGTTACCAGCTTAAAATAACCTGTTATATCATGAGATATTTTTGTAACACTTAGTGTAGCCACAAAGCAAAAAGTTATAATAGATACAATAAAAATAAAATGCAAAAACCCAAAATATACTATTAAAGAAATTCACTTAACCACAAAGGTAGATAGTAAGAGAGGAAGAAAAGATCTACAAAACAACTAGAAAAAAAAATAACAAAATGATAGCAATAATTCCTTACCTACTAATAATCACCTTGAATGTAAATTCAAGACACAGAATGGCTGGAATGGATAAAACAAACAAACAAACAAACAAAAAAAAACCCCAGCTATATTCTGGTTTATATGCTCATTTCACTGTTAAGGACACTCAAGACTGAAAGAAAAGGAATGGAAAATATATTCCATGCAAATGGAAACCAAAAGAGAGCAGAAGTAGCTATACTCAGATAAAATAGACTTCAAGTCAAAAACTGTAAAAATAAACAAAGATTATATAAAGATAAAGGGGTCAATTCAGCAAGATAATACAACAATCATAAACACATATGCACCCAACATTGGAGTACCTAAATATATCAAGCAGGTATTAATAGATCTGAAGAGAAACATTGACTATCCAATACAATAAGAGTAGAGGACTTCAATACCCCACTTACAGGAACAGACAGATCATTCAGACAGAAAATTAACAAAGAAACATCAGCTTTAAACTGCTCTCTAGATTAAATGGACCTAACAGACATTTATAGAACATGCCATCAAACAGCTACATTATATACAATCTTCTCAACTGCACATGGAACATTCTATAGGAAAGATAATATATTAGGCCACAAAACAAGTCTTAATAAACTTAAGAAGATCAAAATCATTTTAAGTATCTTTTTTATTTTAGAAAGAGGGTCTTGCTCTGTCACCTAGCATGATTATAACTCAAAGTAGCCTTGAATTCCTGGGCTCAAGTGATATTCTCGAGTAGTGAGGACTGCAGGTATGTGCCATCACACCTGGCTAATTTTTAAAATTATTTGTACAGATGGGGTCTCACTATGTTGACCAGGATGGTCTCAAACTCCTGGCCTCAAACAATCCTTCCACCTTGGCCTCCCATATCACTGGGATCACAGACCTGAGCCACTGTGTCTGGCCCCAAATATCTATTCTGACCACAATAGTATAAAACTAGAAACTGATAACAGGAGAAATTTTGGAAACTTTACAAATAGATGAAAATTAAACAACGTGCTCTTGAAACCAATGGGTCGATGAAGAAAGTAAAAGGGAAATTAAAACTCTAGCAAAACCTTTTTAATAAAATCTAACAAGCTTAATCACATATATATATATGTTCAAAAGATTTTTAATATGTTAATCTTGAACAAGAAGAACACAGTTGGAGGACTTACACCATCTAATTTTAAGACTTACCATAAAGCTACAGTAATCAAGTTATTGTGGACTGGTGAAAGGATAGATGCATAGATCAATGGAACAGAATAGAGAACTCAAAAATAGATAAGCTGATGTTTGACTAAGATGCCAATGTAACTCAATTGGGAAAATATTTTCTTTCAAGAAATGGTGTCAGAACAACTGGATATCCAAAAATAAATCTTGATTCTTTTCTCATGCAAGTCACAGATATTAACTCGATGTGGATAATAGACCTAAACATAAAAGCTGAAATCATGAAACTTTTGAGGAAACATAGGAGAAAAATTTTTTAACACTAAGTAGGCAAAGCTTTCTTAACTAAGACACAGAAAACCTAAACCATACGAAAACAATAATTTGTACTTCACCGGAATTAAAACCTTCTGCTTTTCAGAAGACATTTATGTTTAGAAAATAAAAGGACAGGCCAGAGTCAGGGGTTATATTCACAAATCATATATTTGATGCAGGACCTGTATGTTGAGTCTATAAAGAACTCTTAAAATTCTGTAATATGAAGAAAAACAAATAAATTATAAATGGGCAAAAGATTTGAATAATAAACTTCACAAAAGAAGATATATGAATAATCTATAAGTACTTGAAAAGATTTTCATTGTCATTAGTCATTAGGGAAATGCAAATTAAAATAACAAGATACCACTAAACAGACAAAAGAATTAATAAAGTTTTAAATAATAAGACACACAATACCAAGACAGAACACACCAAGTGCTGTTGAGAATGTGGACTAACTAGAACTTTCATGTATTACGAGTGAAAATGTAAATTGCACAGGCATTTTGGAAAACCAGTTTGCCATGGTCCAATAACATTTAGCATACATTTATCATACAAGATAGCAATTTTACTTGTAGGTATTTACCATAGTGAATCAAAACATATGCCCACATAAATGTTAATAGCAATTTTATTCACAAGAGCCAAAAACTAGAAACAACCCTCATGTCCAGGAAAATGTCAATAGATTTAAAGAAAATAGTGCATTAATATACTGTGTACCCTATGTGAAGCAATTCCAATTCTAATAATTTACTCAAAAAATAGAAACATATCCACACAAAAGCTTGTTTGTGAATATTTATAGAGGCATTATTTATTATAGCAAAAACTAGAGGTGACCTAACTGTCCATCAGCTGGTGCATGAATAAAAATTTTAGTGTATCTAGAATGTAGAATAATACTCAGCAATATGAAGAAATGAACTGCTGTCACTAGCAACAACTAGATCAATCAACATTATATTGAGTGAAATAAGCCAAACACAAGAATACTTACTCTTTGATTCCATTTGTGTGAAATTCTAGAAAAATTATAACTACTCCACAGTTACAGAAAGGAGATAAATAGCTGCCAAAGGTTGGAGTAAGATTTATTCCAAAGGGGCCAATGGGAATGCTTTATATCTTGATTTTTATGGTATCATTAGGTATATGTGCATTTGCTAGACTGCATCAAACTGTGCACTTAAAGTGGGTCCATTTTATGTAAATTATTCTTTAATATAATTGATTTAAAAATCTGGATGAAGCAGCTAATCAGTGCAAATTTAAGTTATTTTATTACAGAGTCGGTCAGAATATTAGGACACTTGGCAAACTGTCATCAATATAATATCACCAACAGCCTAATAAGGTGGATAATATTGTTCCCATTTTACAGAGTAAGGAATTGTAGCCAGGAGATGTCAGCTTTGCTTTTGTCTCATAGCAAGTGCTCAATGAACATGCTGAAATACCTTGCCCACACTCACAAAGTCAGTCACTTGGTCAGTGGCAAAGCCGGGACTATAGTTTTAGTTTCTAGATTCCTGGCCCGGTGCTCCTTCCATTGCATGGTGATGAAAAGGAGGAGAGAGAGAGAGGACAGTAACAATGCTGGCATGGGGAGATGTCTGGGTGAGTCAAAATGTGTAATGTGTCTACCACCTGCCAGGGCTTGGATTTCTGGTGGCCATCAGTTTCGAGAGGTGGCGTGGGGGTGGGAGTGGGGGTGGGGGTGGGGTCCTTATTGATTCCATGAGTCCTCAGGAGTCGGACCTGAATCTTTGCAAATGGACATAGCAACCACGGCAAAGTTTCAAATATAGTAAAGACACCATGGTGGGCCCAATATTCAGGAGCATAGTGTCAGCTCTGTCTGTAGATATAAGTGTGCATAATGAACAGGGAAATCCAAATGCAAATAGACTCTTCTCCAATATGTGTAAGTTGTTTCTACCTCTTCTCATGTCACATTTCTGAGGCTTTCCAAAGCACTCAGTTGCATCCAGGAAGAGAGGCAAAAGAAAGGAATGGGTGTGCTCATGGTTTCTGGATCTGCAGTGCTGCTCTGGGATGAGAGAGGAAAAAGAGGGGAATCCTGAAGCCCTCCGTCCTGCAGTGGGTGAGGGAGGGGAGAAAGTACGAGAGTGATGTGCGTGGCCACAATGCTAGGATTCACAGTGGTGGTAGTAGGCTCCCTAAGCTGTGGACAGTCTGTCTCAATCAGAGCCTCAGAGCTAGCAAAGCACAAAACCTTGCTGGCCTTCATTCCTTGAGTAAGTGAAGTTCCTCACCACCCTCCATCCCCCACATAGCCTTAGTACATATTAGTCCCTTTGCCTGAAAGGCTCGTCCTCTAACTGCTCACATGGCTAATTACTTCTCATCTTTCAGATTTCAGCTCAAATGTCACCTCCTCAGGAAGGTTTCCTGAACACCAGACCACACTAGTAAACCATCTCTTCCTCTCTTTGTTCTCAATCAGAGCATAGTTCCCCTCAAAACATTTATTTGCTGTAGAAGTGCGCTCTGTGCACTGCCTGCTCCATGAGGGCAGAGGCATTGTCTGTCGTGTTGACTTTGTGGAGTGCTAACACAGAGTAGACACTCAATCACTACTTGTGGAATGAAGGAATTGAACTACTCAAGGGACACAGATCATAGTGTCCATGGATGCCCGAGATTTGATGGGGCCACTGAAGGGGCTGGTTAGCAGCAACCACCTCCTCTAATTTCATGATCTCGTCCCCCACCCCCCACACTAGGAAGACAAGGCCCTGAGATAGCCTGCCTAGCTATCTTGTGTGTGCTCCATTATTGCTGCCTCTGCTCTGGGGTCATCACTCTCCTCACAGCAATTTTTCTCCACAGTCCAGCACCTGTTTCCTATTCCTTCTCAAAATTGGCCCCAAAGGAGGGGTAATGACATGAGTAACATGTCCCTAGGTCTTGGCTGGACTTCTACCTGGCCTCCACACCCTCAGCACCCATATCTAGGCTTGCAGGGATATATCTGAGGAGCACATTCAGTTCTCTCTAGGATTTGAGAAGGCTTAATCATCAGGGAGCAGTTCGGTAAGGGAGGTGGGAGGGGAAGAGGTGGCAATAGGATGGAGCCCAGGTATTGCTATCTGCTAAAGAAATCAGTCACTGAAAGGACAGTTGAGGAAGCTACAGCTGGGGAAGGTTATTGATCAGCAGGATGCATAACATGTAGATTTAGTGCAGACCCCAGAGCTAGGGCAGTGCCCCCTCCCTATTGAACTCATCAGGACATGAGGCCTGAATAAGTGAAGTGTCCTTAAGCACATGGTCAGATGGAAAAGCTTTTCAGAGAGCTGGGAGGTCTCAGCAGCTTAGCTTCATTGCCCAGTATCCAGTGAGTGGCCTCCAAAGCCAAATGTAAACTGTACCCAAACCTGGGAAGGCCTACTGTGCTTCTGACTTGGATGCCACTCTCAGGTGTCAATAAATGCCTTGGGATATATTGCAAATCCACCATAATAAAAACAGTATGGTACTGGCATAAAAACTGACATGTAGACCAATGAAGCAGAATAGACAGCCCAGGAATAAACTTACATATGTATTATCAACTAAACTTTGACAAGGGTGCCAAGAGTACGCAATGGGGAAAGAATAGGCTCTTCAATAAATAGTGCTGGAAAAACAGTACATCCACATGCAAAAAAGGAAAATTGAACCCTTGTCTTACGCCATATATAAAAATTTATTTGAAATGGCTTAAAGATTTAAAAGTAAGGCCTGAAGTGTAAAACTTCTAGAAGCAAACATAGGGGAAAAGCTCCTTGCTATTGGTCTTGGTAATGATTGTTTTGGGGTATGATATCAGAAGCACAGGCAAAAAAAGCAAAAATGAACAAGTGGGACTACATGAAATTACAAGGCTCCCACACAGCAAAGAAACCATCAGCAAAATGAAATACAAGATACGTATCTGATAAGAGGTCAATACCTATTCATGAAACATGTAAGGAACTTACACAACCCAATAACAAACAAACATAAAGAAAATCACAAAACAACATCAAACTCCAAATACATTAATTTTAAAAATGGGCAAATGACCTGAATGGACATTTTTCTGAAGAAGACATACAAATGGCCAATGGATATGTGATAAAATGCTCAACATCACCAATCATCAGGAAAATGCAAATCAAAATAATCATGAGATTTCACCTCACACCTGTTAGTATGGCTAGTATCAAAAAGACAAGAGATAAGAAGTGTTGGCAAGGGCGTGGAGAAAAGGGAGCTCTTGTACACTCTTGATGGGACTGTAAATTGGTGCAGCAACCGTGGAAACCTATGGAGGATCCTAAAGAAAAAAAAATTGAACTACCATATGACCCAGCAATCCTTCTTTTGGTATATATCCAAAGGAAATTAAGTGACTCTCTCATAAAGATATCTGCACTCCCATGTTCATTGCAGCATTATTTACAATAGCCAAGCTATGGAATCAACCTAAATGTCCATTAATGGATAAACAGATAAAGAAAATATGGTATATATACCCAGTGGGATGTCATTCAGCCATAAAGAAGATCCTACCACTTCTAACAACATGGATGAACCTGGAGGACATTATGTTAAATTAGCCAGGCACACAAAGTCTTACATGTAGAATCTAAAAAAGTTGAAATCAAACTCATAAAAGCAGAATAGAGGTTGCCAGGGGCTGGAAGGTGGGGGATTTGGGAGATGACGATCAAAGGGTATAAACTTTCAGTTATAGGATGAGTAATTGCTGGAGATCTAATGTACCGTATGGTGACTATAGTTAATACTGTATTATATCCTTGAAACTTGGTAAAAGAGCAGATTTTAAGTGTCCTCACTGCCTGCCCCCCTCCCGCAAGCGGTAACTATGAGTGGTAATGATTTGACTGCAGTAATCAGTATGCGATACATAAGTATATCAAATCATCATGTTGTATACCTTACATATATACAATGTTTGTCAATTAAATATTTTAAAATTTAAAAATAATGACAACAAACAAAAAATGCCTTGGGACACCCTCACCATACATTTCAAATTGATCTTGGAATTGAACTGTACTTCTCTGGGCCAGGGGCTGGGGCTAAGGTGAACACCCTATGCAGGGCAGTCTTGCATGAAGCCACAGTAGCAAGGCCACTGATGGAACTTACCTCCAGGATTCAGCACCTTATACCTGTGAATTTGCTACACCCCCCATGACCTCTCTAGCTCCAGAATGCAGCCAAAGTAAGTGTGTAACTATTTCTCAGGTGAGAAAACCAAAGAGGGGGCATAGAGAGGATTTGCTCACTGTAAAAAATGCACCAGACAGGGTCAGAGCTCCAGTCTGAGCCTCCAGGTGCCTTGAGCTAAACTCTGGCCCATGCTCCTTACTGCTTTTGCCTATTAGAGATGACCTATGTCTGAACCTGTTTTTTCACCTTGACCTGGGTCACAAAGTCTCAAATAGGGGCCCTGGAGGCTGCCATGGAAGGAAAAGAGAGAGAGCTCAAAAAGGCAGAGAGCTGAATTCCTTCACTTGTATCTGTTCTACAGAACAATAATTCTTCAGCTAAATCAAGCTGAAAGTCTTGGGGTGGAGTGCTCTGCCTTAGAGTTCTATGGTTTTCATGGCCCTTAGATTTCAAAGAATTGTCTTTTCTTTGCTCTTGTTTCTCCTCTCTGTGCTCCCACTTCCCTCCCTCCCTCTCCACTAATTTCCCCTTCTCTCACTTGCCCAAACCCTGTCTCCTTAGAGATCACTTTCCAAAATTGTAAATTCTTTTAACTGAGACTGGCCCAAATTCTTGTGATGGGGCACTGCTGCCTAGATTAGGGGAACAATAGTGGGCATGTGGAGCCCAAGGCCCACCGACCAAGCAAGCAGTCTGCAGAACTGAGGGACAGGCGGGCTCCTTACTGAGGACAGCAGTCAGTGAAATGGCAGCAGCCAGTAGCTAACTCAGGAAGAGCAAACACATTATTTCCCTCTGAGCCAAAACTCAGTGGGCCTGTGGAGAGTAGGGAATGTGTGCCAGCCCCCAAATGCTATTCAAAGCATTGAAGTCAATGGGTATTTATTGGGTTTTTACTTTGTGCCAGGCCCAGTGCTGAGCACTCCAATGTTGCATGAGTCTCAAAGCTCTCCCAGCTTTGCATGGGAGTGGGAAATGTGCACTGGGAATTCTAATACAGGAGTCGTAAGGGACTCCAGGTGAGCAGCACACAGAGCAGTCTTTAGGGGTTGGAGTGAGGAAGAATCGCCAGTGGCTGGGCACAAGGAGGAGAAGAATAGCAAGCTAGGCCTCTGGATGGGGTGGCCTTTTGGATAGATTGGGAAGACAGTGGAGATTTTGAGAAGCAGATATGGGGGAAAGCATGCCAGCAGGAGGCGCAAGCATGCTGAAAGGCACAGCAGTAGGGATGGACACAGTGAGATGGAGGGCCTGATTGGCAATCAGATGCCATATTGTATGAATCCTACCAGGCTCAGGGATCTGTCTTATCAATTCATTATCTTTTCATGGACTCTTTTTAAAGCCCCCAGTTGACTGCTCTGCCTCCAATCTCCCCCACCTCTGACCTCACATCTTGGGAGTTGCCGTAAAATATAGCATGAATCATGTTTTATACCATATCCAACTCCAAGTCCAGAGATGAGGGAGGAGCCTTGAGCATTCACAGGGGCAGGAATTGAGGAATCTTACAGATCACATTATGATTCTGTGAGCTGGGGATGGGAAACTTCCAGCTCACCAGGGCTCCTCCACACCTTTAGTATGGATCTGGGTTTATCTTACTAATACCTGCTCTACAGCTGGGAGACACTATAGAACACTGCCCAGCTGTAGGCAGCTGTTAGTAAGATATCTCCTTCAGTTCAGGCTCATGTGTTGGAATCAAGGATTGACTGACATTCCAAAGAAGACTTACCTTTGAAAAACAGAGTTTTTATTCTACTTCAAACTCTCTGAATTTGGGAGAGGCTAAGAATGTTCACAGAGCCTCAGCTGCCACTGGTGTCCAGTCCAAGGTGTGCTGCAGGGTTTTGAAGGGATGGCCCCAAGGCTATTTGAGATTATCTGGAAGCCCATCTTGGGACTTGGGCTTGAGCTTCAGAGGGCAGGAGGCCCAGTGAGGAGGTGATGGTCATCCCCAGTTTCTTTTCTTCTGCTCTAGTTTCACTGAGAAGCTAAGAGAAAGGGAAGTGGCCTGGGGAGCTGAAAGAACCAGCAGATAGGGGAAAGGGGAAGGTGAAGAGGCAATGAAGTACAATGGAAGGGCCCTAGACTTTGGACTCAGGTGGTCCAAGGCCCAATTATGCCATCCACTAACTGTGGACCCCAGGAAAATCACTTCCCTAATCCTAATCATCCTCATTTATAAAATGCGGCTAATAATAGTACTTCCGGCATAGGGTTATTGTGAGAATTTAAGATATAAACCACTGGATGCCTGAAACAAGGTAGACCCCTATAAATGAAAGCTATTGGCAGAAATGGTATTGTTGTTTATCATTATCACCAACAGTATCTTCATCAACAAGTTTGATCCTTTGGGGACCTACAGTAGGTGACGATGAGCATGCTTCCATTTGAAGCATGTAGTTCAATTAACTTGTCTTGATATGGATGACCCAAGAAGTTGTAGAAGTCTGGGAAAGGGCCTAGGTATAAACTTATTAAGGGAAATAAAAGTTGTTCTGGAGTAACTCCTACATAAAAAGAGACTCCTGGCCTTCTCCTGGAAGAGGGATGGTGTCCAGAGGTTGTAATGGTCAGAATGACCCCGTCAGTATCTCTGTGGCTCACACTGGACCTGATCCTCTTTTAGGTCAACCTTGTGTGCATTCCACCCCCTGCCACTTTTGTCTTTATGGTCTGTTTCCTGATGGCTCAGTGAGGGAAGGAGCAACACAGTAGCCCGACTCTGATGCATTCACGCTGCCTTCACAGCGGTGGCTCACTGAGGATGCTGACTGTGAGATGATCTACTTAGGCTGGAACATGCTGCCCTTTTGTAATGCTTAAGTACCCACTCTATGTGTTTGGGCTGATGTATCCCTGTGTGGTTTAAATGCCAGGTATTTGGGTGTGTAGGAGGGTGGTACAGCATTGCAAGGACAGATCAGCAGATGAGAACCCTATGAAACATTTGCTCTATTTCTGGCCTTGCTGAGCCATTCTCACCCAAGACTGCAGCAAGACCAGGAGCTCTTTGGGCTGATATTCTCTTTCCCATCCGAAGGGTCTGGAAAAGCTATGTTATTGCCCAAAAGATAAACAGGACCCTTGGAAGGTCGGTGGAACAACTATTATTCTTCCCATTTTACAGATGTGCTAATAGAGACAGAGAAATGAAGTGAATTCCCATAAGGCCACACAGCTAGTAAAGGAAGAGAAAAAATGTGATATCAAGGGGCCCAATGGGCTCTGAATATTGAAGAACCTTGTGCAGCAATCAGACAAATGGCACCAAAGGTTACCTGCTATATGTGATTCTCTGCCTATGTATTTATTTATGTTGTGGTAAAATGCACATAACTTCAAATTCACCATTTTAACCATTTTAAAGTTTACATTTCAGAGGCATGTAGTACATTCACAATGTGCAAGCATCAATGTTATCTAGTTTCAGAACATTTTCATCATCCCAAATGGAAACACTGTATCTATTAAAGAGTCGCTCCCCATTTCCCCTGAGCCCTCCAGCCCTAGATAACCACTCATCTGCTATATGTCTCTACGGATTAGCTTCTTCTGGATATTTCATATGAATGGAATCACACAACATGCAGTCTTTGTGTCTGGCTTCTGATTTCACTGGGCATAATGTGTTGCAAGATTCAGCCATGTTGCAGAATGTGTCAGAGCTTCATTCCCTTTTATGGCCAAATAATACTCCATTGCATGAATGGATAAACATTTTCTTTACCCATTCATCAGTTAATGGTTATTTGTTGTTGTTTTCTCATCTTTGTCTATTGTGAATGGTACATTTCAACAGAAAAGTTAAAGTTTTAATGCATACTTATTATTGTGCAACACAGTGATGGATCATAAATGAGAAGTCAGAAGAATATAACTCTGAGGCAAATCAAGTTTAAAACATGTATCCACACTGAATATTGTCACAGAATGCAAAACTCAGTACCTTATGCTCTTGGGAAACAGTCATGCATTCATGGAACGGAGCCACTCATCCAACAAACATATATAGAACATAATCTGTGTGCCAGGCACTAAAGGAAAGCAGTTGAACAAAATATATAGAAGCCACTGCTTTCACAGAGATCACAATCTTATAAAGGAGAGAGACAGCAGACGTTGGCAAAAGAGTGTGATGAGTGCTACCTTCTAGATAAACTGGTAGAATGGGGAACACAGGAAGGGAGGGAGCCGGAAACACCCACCTAGAGGATCTAAGAATTGACAGATGAGAAAAGTGTGGAGAGAGGCAAGGGAGAGTGTTCCATGCAGAGGGAAGTAACATGTTCTAAGACATAGAGTGATACAATGAAGAACCAAAATAAATAATCAATGGGGAGCCATTGGAGAATATAAAAGAAGAAAATGTCATGACAAAAATCCACATTTTAGAAATATCACTCTGGATGCAGAGCTATTAATGTACTTGGGGGGAGTAAAGGGTGAATGTAGAAAGACAAGTTAGGGTGAATTATGGCAATATAGGCAAGTAATGATGTTGGTTTGGACTTCGATAGTAGGGGCCGAGATTGACAGAAGAGGACAGATTCAATATTTATTTATAAGGTAGATTTAACAAGTTATGGTATGTTTCCTCATTTGAATTCTGTAATATCTCACTTTCTTGATTTTCCTCCTACCTCACTGTCTGCTCCTTCTCAATTTCTATTGCCAGATCCTCCTTCTGTTCCAAAACTCTTAGATTTGGAGTGACCCAGGACTCGGTACTTGGACTCTTCTAGTCTTTCTCTTTACGCTGTACCCCTTGGCGATCTTATCCAGTTTTATAGCTTTCAATATTATCTATATGCTTATGGTTTCCAAGTTTATATCTCTAGTGTGAACCTCTCCCCTAAACTCCTCACTCACATATCCCATTGCCAACTTGACGTCTCTACTTGATTATCAAATCGTACTTCATTGCTTTTGTAAAATTCTAGTCAGACAAATTTGGCTAGAAAAAAGACATCTAAATTGTAAAGAAAGAAGTAAAACTATCTCTATTCACAGATGTAATGATCTTATATATATAAAATCCCAAAGAATCCATAAGAAAGCTTCTAGAGCTAATAAAAAAATTCAGCCAAGTTTCAGGGAACAAAATCAACACATAGAAACCAGTTGTTTCTATACACCAGCAATAACCAGTTCAAAGCAATAAATTAAACTTAGCATATGAAAGGCATGCAAACTGCGAACTGACTGAAAACTGCAAAACATTGCTGAAAGAAATTAAAAACCTAAATAAATAGAAAGTCAGCCTGTGTTAATTAATGAGGAGGCTTAATATCGTTAAGATGGCAATACTACCCAAAGCAATCTATAGAGTCTACACAATCTTTATCAAAATTCTAACAGGACCTTTTGAAGAAAGAGTAAAGTTGATCCCAACTGTGGCCCTGAATGGAACAGACGGTTTGGCAGCCATTTAGAATCAACTGTTTATGATTAAAGCCTCAGTGGGTAGTGCAGGGCCCTGCAGACGGAAGCCTGTCACTTCTGATCACGGAATTGTAAGGGTCCCCAAATAGCCAAAAGAATGTTGAAAAAGAAAAACAATTTAGAGGGCTCACACTTTCCTGATTTCAAAACCTAATACAAAGCTGCAGTAATCAAAATAGTGTGGTGCTGACATAAGGATAGACATATAGACCAATGAAATAGAACTGAGGTCCAGAAATAGATTTATGACCAATTGAAATTTGGCCATTCAATGAGAAAACAATAGTCTTTTCAACAAATGATTCAGGAACAACTAGATTTCTACATGCAAAAGAATAAAATGTGGACCCACTATCTCACACCTTATAAAAATTTAATGAAAATTGATCAATGGTCTAAATGTAAGTGATAAATCTTAAACTTTTTAGAAGAGGACATAAGAATAAATCTTTATAATATCAGATTTGGTATTAGCATCTTAGGACACTAAAGGCACAGGCAACAGCAACAAAAAAATAGATAGATTGGACTTCAACAAAATTAAAATAAACCTTTATGCATTCATGTACACCATTATGAAAGTGAAAAGACACCCTACAGAGCGATAAAAAATATTTTCAAGTCATATATCATCTGATAAGAGTTTGATATCCAGAATATACAACATAATACACTGTTACAATGCAACAACAAAAAGACAAAAACCCACTTTAAAAATAGGCAAACTGGACAGGAAAACACAGAAAGCTTTTCCATTAAAAACTGGAAAAGGAAAAGGATGACCACTTTCACCATTGTTACTCAACATAGTACTGGAAGTCGTAGCCAGAGCAAGTAGGCAACAGAAAGAAATAAAAGGAATCCAGATTGGAAAGGAGGAAGTCAAATTGTCCCTGTTTGCAGATGACACGATCTTATATATTAATAAAAACCTAAAGACTCTGCCAAAAACCTCTTGGAACTGATAAATGAATTCAGTAAATTTGCAGGATACAAAATCAACATAGAAAAATCAGTAGTAAACTGATATACATGAACAACAAGCTAGCTGAAGAAGAAAACAAGAAGGCAATCCAATTTACAATAGGTACAAAAATATATACCTAAGAATACATTTAACCAAAAAGGTGAACGGCCTCTACAAGGAAAACTACCAAAAAAAAAAAAAAAACTGATGAAACAAATTGAAGAGGTTACAAAAAAATGGAAAGACATTTGTTCCATGCTTATGGATTGGAATAATTAACATTGTTAAAATGACCATACTACTCAAAGCAATCTACAGATTCAAGGCAATCCCTACCAAAATATCAATGACTGTCTTCACAGAAACAGGGCAAAATATTTAAATGTGTATAGAACCACAAAAAATCTCAGATAGCCAATGTAATCCTAAGCAAAAAGAACAAAGCTGGAGGCATCACACTACCAGACTTCAAAATATACTACAAAGCTATAGTAACTAAAAGAGCATAGTACTGATATGAAAACAGACACATAGACCAATGTAACAAAATAGAGAACCCAGAAATCAATCTATGTATTTGCAGCCAATTGATTTTTGACACAGGTGCCAAGAACACTCGTTGTGGAAAGGCCAGTTTCTTCCATAAATAGTGCTGGGGAAAATTGGATACCCATGCACACAAGAATGAAACTAGACCCACACCTCTCATCCTACACAAAAATCACTCAAAATGGATGAAAGACCCAAATGTAATACCTAAAACTACAAAACTAGTAGAGGAAAATATTAGGGAAATTCTTTAGGACATTTGTCTGGGAAAAGATTCTATGAATAGGACTTCAAAAGCATAGGCAGAAAAAGCAAAAATAAACACATAGAATTAAATTAAACCAAAGGCCTTCTGCACAGCAAAGGAAACAATCAACATAGTGAAAAGACAACCTACACAATGAGAGAAAATATTAGCAAATTATTCATCTGAAAAGGGATTAATAACCCGAATATATAAGGAATTCAACAGCAAAATAATAAAAGCCGAACTATCCAATTAAATATAGGCAAATGATCTAACAGAAATTTCTCAAAAGAAGACATACAAATGGCCAACAAATAGATTAAAAAATGCTCAACATTACTAATCAAAAGTGAACTGCAAATCAAAACCACAATGAGATGTCATTCACATCTGTTAGAGTGGCTACTATAAAAAAGACAAAAAAAAAATTCTGGCAAGGATGCAGAGAAAAGGGAACTCTTACACACTGTTGGTGGGAATGTAAACTAGTATAGCCACTATGTAGAACAGTATGGAGATTGCTCAAAAAACTACAAATAGAACTACCATATGATCCAGCAATCCCACTACTGGGAATTTATCCAAAGGAGATGAAATCAGTATATGAAACAAACATCTGCACCCCTATGTTTATTGCAGCACTATTCACAATAGCCAAGATATGGAATCAACCTAGGTGTCCAACAACAGATGAGTTGGTAAAGAAAATGTGATACACATAAACGATGGAGTACTAATCAGCCATAAAAAAGAATGAAATCCTGACATTTGCAACAACATGAATGAAACTAGAGGACATGATGTTAGGGAGAACAGGCCAGGAGCAGAAAGTCAAACAATGCATGTTCTCACTCATATGTGGAAGCTAAAAATGTTTATCTTATAAAAGTAAAAAGTAGAATAGAGGCTGAGAAGGGTAAAAGAAAGGGGTGGGGGTAGGCAGAAGTTTGTTAAAAGATGCGAAATTACAGCTGGATAGGAGGAATAATTTCTAGTGTTCTATACCACAGTAAGATGACTATAGTTAACAATAATATATCGTCTTAAATAGCTAGGAGAGGGATATTGAATGTTTCCACACACAAAGAAATGATAAATGTTTGAGATTGTGTATATGCTAATTATGCTGATCTGATCACTCTACATGTCTTGAAACATTACTATGTACCTCATGAATATGTATAATTATTATATGCCACATGTTCTCACTTATAAATGGGAGCTAAATGATGAGAACACATGGACACATAGAGGGAAACAACACACACTGGGGACTTTCAGAGGGTGGAGGGTGGGAGAGGAAGATCAGGAAAAATAACTAATGGGTACTAGACTTAATATCTGGGTGAGGAAATAATTTGTACAACAAACCCCCATGACATAAGTTTACCTTTGTAACAAACCTGCACTGTACCTCGAATTTAAGGTTAAAAAAAGAAAATGTAAAATCAAAATCTTAACGAGATGCCACTTTATACCTACCAGGATAGCTGTGTTTTTTTTTTTTTCTTTTTTAAAAAGAAAAAAGTGTTGTCAAGGATGTGGAGAAATTGCAATCCTGGTATATTGCTTATGGGAATGTAAAACACGTCAACCAACCACTCAGACCAAGATCAAGAGCATCGCCTGACACCATGGCAACCAACCGTGTGCTCCTTCCCTAGCTCATCTCTGGTTTTCCTCCCCATAACAGAGACAGTGGTACTTCTGGTTACAGTGGTACCAACTTTCTGGTTATCATACACTTGTCTTTTATTTCTTAAGTTTTGAAATACATATTTCTAAATATATATTAAAGAAGCTATTGCTTACTTTTACTAGCCTGATATCTAAAAATGGTATCATATTCAATATGATACACCATATTAATAGAATAAAAGGAAAAAACCCCACATGATCTTGTTTGTGCCCAGAAAAAGTATTTGACAAAGTATAACATCCTTTTATAATAAAAACACTGAACAAACTAAGAGTAGAAAGGAACTTCCTCTACCCGATAAAGCATTCTGTGAAAAAAAGCCACAGATAACATCACACATGTTACAAAACTGAACTTTCCCCCAAGTCAAGCTCCTGACGTGAAGTGGGAGAAGTGCTTGTACAAACCCCGAGGATAATAGATGTGATCCTGCCTTGTAAATTGTAAAGCACTGTGTCCACAGAAGGGCTCAGGGTTCTGTTCAATGTTTCTCTGCCTGGGGCCAGTCCTTCTCCCCTGCATTTTGCCCCTGAGTGTGCTGGGTAGGTTGGAGAGATTAGCTCTGTGGAGTGTTCAGGTTTGGATTGGAAGCTGTGGCCCTGAATGGAACAGACGGTTTGGCAGCCATTTAGAATCAACTGTTCATGATTAAAGCCTCAGTGGGTAGTGTAGGGCCCTGCAGACGGAGGCCTGTCACTTCCGATCATGTTCCTACTCCATCATCTGTGGCTGACTCCTTAGCATGCTGATGCAGGGCTAGAGCCTGGAACCCTGATTTAATTCCTCAGCGCCCATTGGGGTGTTCTGGGCCTTTGCGCATGTCAAAGAGGGGAAACACTTCCTCCTTTTTAGATGCAGCCAGTTTTGGCTGTCCTTCATTTCTCTTCATGCACAGCAAGCCAATTCCTATTGACACTTGCCTGGACAATTGCAACAGCCTCCAAACAAGTCTCCCTGCCTCCACTCTTGTCCTTTCAGGCTACTTTTCACATGGCAACCAGGGTGAACATGTGAAAATGAAAATACAACCACATCATTGGCCTACTGAAGAGTGCCCTCAAGACGAAGTCAAAGCTGCTTGGATTTCAGAAAGCCTTTCAGGATTTTTTTTGTTTTGTTTTAAAGTGATTAGCCATTGCTTTGTTACTAAGTTACTGAGTTTTTTATTTAGATGCTAGTCCAATATTGTCCACAACATGATGACAACAACAGCAGCAGGTCACCTTCATTTAGCGTGCCAGGCACTGAGCCATGCACTCTGCATGCATTGTCTCCTTTAATACTTACGGCGGGAAGCCACTGACAGTATTTCCACTTTACAGATAAAAAACTGGCCCCAGTGAACCTGTGTAGCTTCCCAAAGATTACCCAGCTAGAAGGAGCAAAGCCTGGATTTGAAGCCTGCCTTGTGTCTTAATCACTGTGTGTGGAACTTCCCCAAGTCTCTATCCAATGGCTGACCTGCGTGACAGGTTGCTCACCACCATAGGACATCCTGTTCCAGTGGGAGGCACTCTGCCTGTGCTATTGCTTTGGTTGAGTGGCAGTCTGCCTCCCTGGCCTCAGCACAGCCCACTAGAGCCCTTCAGAACAAATCTCTGCCCTCTGCTTCAGTCTTGCCCTGTGGGGACTGTGAGCCAGTCACCAAATCTCCTCACCTCACCTGCCCAAAGCTTTCTGGGGCCCTCAGCCATCTGGTCAATTTCCTCTGGAGTGCTCAGCCTATCACAACTAACTCATCCCCATTCACTAGAGAGAGCTGTTGGGGAATCAAATTTGTTTCTTGGTTAAGGGCTTTGGAGCCACACAGACCCAGGTTCAAATCTCCACTAGACTCGTTATTGGCTCTGTGACACAGGAAATGTTGCTTAACTTCTTCAAATCTAGTTTCTACTTTGTAACACTGGAATAACCATAGTACTTTCCTTATAAGTTTATTGTGAGAATTAACTTGAATTAATTTATGTAAGATACTTAAAATACTGCCACGCTCATAGCAAACTATAAGACTGTATTTGTTGCACTATATATTTTCCTGATTTGCCTGAGAACAGACATTTTCTTTTTTATTTTTTTTTTAAATATTGAGAGGCGTAGCTTACATATAGGACAGCATACGAACATTAAGTGAATACTTATATAGGTATAAACCTGTATAACCATAACTCAGCTCAAGATAGGGAAAATATTCATTCCCTAATGTCCATTCCCATTCAATGCCCCATTCTTAGATGTATTTAATAATCTGATTTGTGTTCCTATAGATTATATTTGTCCCTTCTAGAGTTTCATACAGGTAGAATCATACAGTTTGTATTTTTTGTCTGGCTTCTTTCACACAGCATATTTTTGAGGCCATCCATGTTGTAAAATGTATCAGTGGTTCATTTTTTTTATTGCATCATGTCACACTTTATTATCTATTAACCTGTTGATGAACATATTTTTCCAGTTGGGAGACTATATGAATAATGTTATTATGAACACTTGAGTACAAGTCTTTGTGAAAACATACGTTTTTGTTTCATTTGGATATATATCTAGGAATGGAATTGCTGGGTCATATGGTAACTCTATGTTTAACTGTATTAGAAACCATCAAACTATTTTACAAAGTGTTTGTATCATTTTACCAGCAGTGCGTGAGGGTTCCAGTTCTCCCCATTCTTGCCAACACTTGTTATCACTCTTTTAAATAGGTCTTTAGTAGCCATTCTAGTGGATGTACAGTAATTGGAAGTTATTAAATGACTATACACTGGGCTCAGTCTTGATGTAGGCATTGTATGTGACATTGATTGGACACAGTAGGTGTGAAAACTACAATTATGAGGATACCTTATATTCAGTAGCATTATCACTCTGACTTCGGTACATAACAACACTGTAAGGTAAGGTAGGCATCTCAGAAATCATTATCTTCATTGTACAGATGAGGAACCTGCAACTTGTTCACTCATTAAACAGTGAACCTCTGCTATGTGCCAGATGTCAGGCTGGACTCTGGGAGACTTGTGGACCAGCCAGACATTTTTGCCAGCCACAGTGAGGGTTGCAGACCATTGGGAAAGATGGCTCCTGGACAAGTACTAAGCCACACAACCCAGACACAAAGATTCAAATGAGACTTGATGCCATGCTAAACTCGACCCCAGCCCTTTTGACGTTGCTCTCTATTTTGGCTCAGCCTAGTCCAGGTTTGAGAGTCTTTTCTGAAGAGGACTTATTTTTCAAGCACAGTTAATGATGTTGTCTTATCAGAACTGAGGTAAAGAGAAGGGTCTCCATGGCTGGCACATAGCAGATAACCAGCAAGGGGTACGGTGGTCATTAGGTATTGACCCTTTGGCCATCCTGGTGTCACTCAGGCTCATTCACCCATTACTGGGTGAAAAATCATTTGTAATGGGGAGGGTCCACCCTAGGGACTTTTCATTGGAGAATGATATTTGGGGACACTCTCTGCCCAATGCCTCTTAGAATCACTAGATACTATGTACTAATCACCACCCAAGGCAATCTTTATGCATCGTACAAGGCCTATAACTTCTCCAAACTTCCCTTAAACTGCATGGCAATACATCCAGCAGTTTTCAAGTGATACAGAAATGGTTACACAGACACAAACTAAACTGGCAATACATCTAATTGAAAGGGCGGAGTAGGACAACACGTGTCTCCTCCCACACATGTATCCCACTCCCTCTGTTTGTTCCTTTGGATAGTATGCAAGGAAATTGGGGGACACTTCCAAAGGGGCCTTTCCTGCCATTTCCCTGGGAGAAGTAAGGCATATGTTGTTTTCGTAAAAAGCTGATTCTTGGAGAGTTTTGCTTTTCAATAATTATGCATCCATGGCAGATTCATCAGTCTATAATATATTCCTTAGTGACGAGCAATTTGTTGTTCTTCTTCTAGCACAAATCACAGCAGCCTTGGTAAACTCGTCTTCTTCTCCCGCTATCTTTCAAAGGGTGACTAACGTGGGCCATCCAATAGGTAATGTAAACATGACCCTGGGGTTGCAATGGGACAGGTGGGTGCTGATTTAAACTGAATTGCCACTTGAAGGGTTACCAACCACCCAGAAAGCCATGTTGGAGGCATTGTTAACCTGTGCTCACCCACTGCTAAAGGTCCCACTTGGAAGATCCCAACAACTCTTTCTTCTCAAAGGACTATATGAGTTCCTGCTTCTCTTTTTAATGTTTTTTAATTCTTAATTTTTTGAGGTACGTAATAGGTGTATAATTTTTAGGTAAATGAGATGTTTTGATCCAGGCATGCAATGCAAAATAATCACATCATGGAGAATGGGGTATCCATCCCCTCAAGTATTTACCCTTTGTGTTACAAACAACTCAGTTACACTCTTTTATTTATTTTAAAATGTAAAATTAAGTTATTATTGACTATAGCCTCCCTTTTGTGCTATCAAATAGTAGGTCTTATTCATTCTTTCTATTTGTTTGTACCCATTAACCATCCCTACCTTCTCCCCAGCCCCCTACTACCCTTCCCAGCCTCTGGTAACCATCCTTCTACTCTCTATGCTCATGAGTTAAATTGTTTTAATTTTTAGATTTCACAAATAAGTGAGAACATGCAATGTTTGTCTTTCTGTGTCTGGTTTATTTCACTTAACATAAAGATCTCCAGTTCCATCCATGTTGCTGCAAATGGCAAGATCTCATTCTTCTTTATGGCTGAATAGTACTCCATTGTGCATACATACCACATTTTCTTTATCCATTTATCTGTTGGTGGACCCTTAAGTTGCTACCAGATGTTAACTATTGTAACTATTGTAAATAGTGCTACAACAAACATGGGAGTGCAGATATCTCTTTGAAATACTGATTTTCTTTCTTTTGGGTATATACCCAGCAGTGAGATTACTGAATCATAAGGTAGCTCAATTTTTAGTTTTTTGAGGAACCTCCAAACTGTTCTCCATAGTGTTTGTACTAATTTACATTCCCACTAACAGTGTACAAAGATTCCCTTTTCTCCACATCCTCTCCAGCATTTATTATTGCCTGACTTTTGGATAGAAGTCATTTTAACTGGTATGAGATGATGTGTCATTGTAGTTTTGGTTTGTTTTTCTCTGGTGATCAATGTTGTTGAGCAACTTTTCATATGTCTGTTTCCCATCTGTATGTCTTCTTTTGAGAAATGTCTATTCAAATATTTTGCCCATTTTTGATTGGATTATTAGACTGAGTTTTTTGAACTCCTTATATATTCTGGTTATTAATCTGCTATTAGATGGGTATTTTCCTGCTTCTCTTTTTCAAAGTTGTTTTGGGTATTCTAGGTGCATACATTACCATATTAATTTTAGCATCAGATTTCCTATTTCTACAAAATACGTGTTTTGTGATTTTTGATTGGAATTGCATTGAATCTATAGAACAGCTTAGGAAAATTAACATTCTAATGATATTGGGTCTTCTGATCCAGGAACACAGTATATCTATTTTGGTATTTCATTTTCTCAGCAATGTTCTGTAATTTTCAGTGTCTAAGTGTCTCATTCCTTTGTCAGATTTATCCCTAAGTATTCCATACTTTTCGAAGTGATTGTATGCAGTATTTTTAAATTTTAATTTCTCTTTTTTATCATTACCATATACATCTACAATTGATTATTGTTTATTGATCTTATATCCTGCAAACTTGCTATATTAGATTCTTATGACTGCTATAACAAATTAACACAAACTTGGTAGCTTAAAACAATACAAATTTATTATATTACAATTCTGGCAGTCAGAGTTCCAAAATTAGTCTCAGTGGCCTAAAATCAAGGTGTCATCAGGACTGTGCTCCTTCTGGAGTCTTTGGGGGAGAATCTCCTTTTTTTTCTAGCTTCCAGAGGCTATTCATATTGTTTGACTCATGGTTCCAGTTTCCATCTTAAAGCCAGCAGAATAACATCTTCCAATGTTTCTCTCTTTCTGACTCTGCCCCTTTTGCTTTCCTTTTATGATTGCATTAGGCCCACCAGGATAATCCAGAATAATATTCTTATCTCAAGTTCCTTAACTTAATCACACCTGCCAAGCCCCTCTTGCCATGGAAGGTAACATATTCACAGGCTCTGAAGATTAGAATATGAACATCTTTAGAAGACTGTTATTCTGACTACAGCACTTATCAAAGACACTAGTTTCAGACTTTTAAACAAGATTCAGTCAGATTTTCTATGTAGATTATAATAATGTCTGCAAATAAAGGGTTTTTATTTTTCTTTTTCAATCTACATGCTTGCCTGCCTGCCTGCCTGCCTGCCTGCCTGCCTTCCTTCCTTCCTTCCTTCCTTCCTTCCTTCCTTCCTTCCTTCCTTCCTTCCTTCCTTCCTTCCTTCCTTCCTTCTTCTTCCCTTATTTTTCTTCTGGCTTTATTGCAGTGGTTAGAATCTCTAGTACAATGTTAAATAGACGTGATGAAAGTGAACTCCTTATCTTGTTCCAGATCTTCAAGCAAGGTCATTCATTCCTTTATCATAATGTATTATGATTTCTTATAAGTTACTTTTATCTGGTTGTGGAAGTTCTCTTCTATTCCTAGTTTGTGCAGAGGTTTCATAAGTAATGGATTTTGAATACTGCCGAATGCTTCTGCTGAGGTCATCATATGGGTCTTTTTAGATTTGTTAATATGATGTACTACATTGATTAATTTTCAAACATTAACACAAACTTGCATTCCTGGGATAAATCTACTTGAACATGATGTAGTATCCTTTTTACATGTTGCTGGCTTTTAATTTGCTAAAAATATTTTAAGATTCTTTTTAAAATTATGTACTTGAAGATATTGGTCTTTAGTTTTCGTTTCTTGTAATGTCTTTATTTGCTTTTATTATTAAGATAATGTTGGTCTCATAAATTGAGATGGAAAGTATTTCTTTCTCTTCAGTTATAAATGTAGACATGCAAAAACTCCAACAACATAATAGCAAACCAAATCCAGCAACATTTAAAAAGAATTATAAAGCATGACCATGTGGGATTTATCCCAGGAATACAAGGTTGGTTTAATATCTGGAAATAATGTAATATATAATATTAATTGGTTGCTAGAATCACATGATCATCTCAATAGATGCAGAAAATATTCAGCCCCCTTTCTTGGTAAGAACACTTAATAAACTGGGAATAGAAGGGATGATCTGTTAGTGCTGATGTCTTTCACCTTTTGTATGTCTGAAAAAAGCTTCATTTTTCATATCATATCATACCATATCATGTGATTTTCATATCACTTCCTTTTTGAGTGACATTTTTCCTGGGTGTGGAATATTAGGTTGACATGTTGTTTTCAATACTTTAAAAATATTGCTTCACTATCTTCTCACTTGCGTTATTTCCAACAAAAATCTTATGCCCTTATCTTTATTCCTCTGCTACATATTTCTTTTCTGTCTCCTCTAGGTTTTCTTATTATCTCTGTTTTTCATAATTTGTTTGTGATGTGCCTTGGTGTAATTTTCTTCATGTTTCTTGTGATCCCTGTTTGCTGAGCTTTTTGGATTGGTGGGTGATACGGTTTGGATGTTTTATCCCCTCCAAATCTCATGTTGGAATGTGACTTCCAATATTAGAGGTGGGCTCAGTGGGAGGTGTTTGTGTCATGGGGAACAATCCCTCACAAATGGTTTGATGCTGTGTTCACAGTATTAAGTTAGTTCTCACTTTATGAGTTCATGCAAGATCTGGTTGTTTAAAAGAACCTGGACCCTCTTCCCTCTCTCTTGCTCCTTCTCTCTTCATGTGACACACTGGCTCCCTGTTTGCCTTCCACCATGATTGTAAGCTTCCTGAGGCCTTACCAGAGGCACATGCTGGCACCACCATGCTTCCTGTATAGCCTGCAGACCCATGAGCCAAAATAATCCTCTTTTCTTTATAAATTACCCAGTCTCGGGTATTACTTTTAGCAATGCAAAATGGGCTAACACAGTGGGTTTATATTTTTCATCAAATTTGGAAAAAAAGGACATCATTTTGTTACATAATTTTTCTGTTTGCCTCTCATTTTCAGAGACTCTAATTATATGTATATTAGAGCACTTGCAGTTTTCTACAGCTCAGTGATGCTCTGCTATTTTTTTTAACTTCTCTTTTCTCTCAGCTTCCCATCTTGGATAGTTTATTTTGCTATATCTTCAAGCTCACTTTTCTTTTTTTCTGAAATATCTAATTTGTTAGTTAATCTCATCTAGTGCATTTTTATCTCATTTTTTTAAGTTTTCATCTGCAGAAGTTTGATTTGTGTCTTTTTATATCTGTCACATTTCTACTTAACTTTTTACCATATGGAACACAATTATAATTATTCTTTTAATGTCCATGTTTGCTAATTCTGATATCTGTATCACTTCTGGGTTGGTTTCAACTGATTAATTTTTCTTTCTGTTGTTTGGATTTTTCTAGTTCATTGCATGCCTGCAATATTTGTTTGGAGCCAGACATTTTGATTTTACCTTGTCAGGTGCTAGATTTTACCTTGTCAAGTGCTATATTTTTGAATTCCTATAAACATTATCAATCTTCATTCTGGAATGCAGTTAAGTTAATTAGAAACAGTCTGGTCCTTTTGATTTATTAGGTGGGAGTGGGACATTGCTCAGTCTAGGGTTCATAATTCCTCACTTTTGAAGCAAGAATACTGTGTACTCTATCCATTGTCAGGTGAATTACGAATTTGTCTAGTCTGGCTGGTGGCAGCAGGTACTGTTCCAGATTGTGTGAGTGCTATGTCCTTCACTCTCATCCTTTTAGATAATTCTTACCCCAGCCTCCAATAGTTTCCTCATATGCATGTGCTGATCAGTATTCTGTTGAATACTTGAGGGGGGCACTCCACAGACATCTGGAATTATTTCTATGTGTATCTTTCTACTCTCCAATATTCTGCACTACAAGCTCTGGCTGTCTTTGTTTTCCCAAAATCCAAGCTGGAAGTCTTCAATTCAGGGATACTGTAAGGCTTTGCCTGGGTTTTCCCTCCTTGCATCACATCTTAGAAGATTTTCTAGGCAATAAGCTGGGAAAATCATAGTACTCACCAACTGTTTCTCTTTTCTCCAGGATCACTGTTCTTTGTTACGTGATGCACAGAGTCCTGAAAAGTATTGTTTCACACATTTTGTTCTTTCAGGCAGGAGAATAAATCTAATCCTTATTACTTTAACTTGGCAAGAAGTGGAAGTCCCAATGTTATTTAATTTTAATCAATCTACATTTATGTAGCCACATAGCATAGTGCACTTCTAGAGGATTCAGAAGTTCAGTGAGACCGAAGTGTAGAAAGCAAGAAACATGTCGTCAGATGAAGCTGGTCTAATCAGGCTCTCTGTTTGTATTGGATTCTAGTTATATGCCACCCCAGTTTTGCTCAGCCCTGCCCACTTTCCAGACACAAAGTCATTTTCTCAATGAAAAGCCCCATATGCCACTGCTATTGCCTTATTACCTAGCACTGTCAGTAATTTTAGTCACTTTCTACTTCAAGGTGAGGGTTAGGCTCCATTGTATCCTCCACTGAGTCTACCGTGGTAGAAGTTGCAAGTGTTGTGCTACCCAGGCCTGATCCTACTGCATCCAATAGAAGCCCTGGTCCCTCCTATCACTTCTAGACTCAGATGAAGTGCCTTAGGCACCATGGGGTCTCACTTCCATAATGGATACCTGAAGGGTGGATAGCATAACCTGAATGTACAGGTAGGTTAGTAGCTTCTGAGTTGAATTTTCATCAATAAGCAACAAGAGATAGAATCGACTATTCTGCAGCAAGGTGGTTCCATTCCAACTGTCCACAGATGCCTAATGCCCCTGAGCAACAGGCTGAGTTTCTTTGGAAATTCTGGACAGCTGCATAGTCTGCCACCTGATATTTGCTTTCCTACCTTTCTTACCTGACTTATCTTTTTCACATCACTCTTGCTGTCTCAAGACTGAATCGCTAAATAAAGCCTTAGGATGTAAACTTCATATTTGGCTATGCTTTTTAAGCAACTCTGAGTACGACTGTTTTGTAGGTCATGGTCCAAATTTAAGACTTCAGGACCTTGGAAAACCCTTGGAGTATATGAGGTAGGAGAGTGAAAATGCACACTGACTGCTGAATGGAGAATAGGTTTGAGGGGATTAGAGTAGAGGCAGTAAGGCCAATTAGGGGCTATTGCTGTAGTTTAGGCCACAGTTGATGTTGGCTTGGACTAGGGCAGTGACAGTGAAGTAGTAGAGTAAGCAGATATATTGTAGAGAGATTTAGAAGGTAGGCTAAAAAGTAACTCATGATGGAATAGGTGAGAGGTAGAATGATGATTGAGGAGTCATAAAGGAATCTTAAGTTACTGGCTTTAATAATTGGGTAAATGTTGTCATTTTCAGATACCAGGGAAATTGTGGAGCATAAGATTTGGAAGATGAATTTGAATTTGAATATGTTGAATTTAAAGATACTATGGGCCATCCAATAGGATGGATTTAATTCTGCTTTCATGGGAATGAGCATGCATTCCATGACCTCATTGCCCTCTCTGTGACTCACCCATTGGCAATCTCTCTGCTGTTGTTGGGGAAGGGACGCAAGTCTTTTGGTATTTTGTTTTATCTCAGTAACAAAGGAGAGGTCAGGTCTCTGGTAGGGAAAATGTGTTGTTTTATGTTTCACTTTGCTTTCTGTTCTTGAATTCACCTAGATGCCCATAGACAATGAAAGATACAGCAGTTCTTCAGAGAACAAGGGATATCTGAACTTACAGCAGGAAGTTGAGTTCTAGCTATGGTTGCTGTGGTCCCCCTTAATGAAGTGATCTCAGCTGTGCCACCTTTTTGCTCCCACCACAGGGTCTCTGAGAGGCAATGAACTGCCCAGAAGCCCACCCAGGGCTTCTCTACCTCATTTAGTTGGGTCTTCTGCTTAGCAATGTTCTCCCTCTCCTGATGGGGAGGGTAAATAGCTAAAACTATTCATCATTTAGGGCAAATAGCTAGAACTATTCATCAGGCCTCTGTCGGGTGTTTCGAGGATTTAGGTTCAATGCTGAGGACAAGTCTCATTGCAGACATAAAGCTTGGGGCTTTGGGGCCCTCACAGCAGGCAGCTATGATGCAGGTCTAAGTTATTACTCTGGTTGAGTCATTAAAGATTTTGAAATTGAAGCTATTTGTACCCCTGCCAAGCACAGCTCTCTGGTCTGGAAGGATCTTATCTATGTCCTGAACAAGTGAGTAATTCTCTGCCCACACTGTGCTTCATCTGTAGGCAGGGTCCAACTACCTGTGTAAATAGCCTGATGGGGCAGAGATTTGGCAAGCCATCCTGCATATTTATGTGGCCCCCAGGCCTCCACCTGCATACTTGTTAGTCTAATATCCCACGAGCTGGTCCTAAATTGAATTAACCTAGCATAAAAGGATATTACTCCAGGCTGGGTCGTGGTTCTTGTCTGGAGAATTTTGGTGATCTTCAATGTCCGAGATATCTGCAGTCTGTATTCATTGTTCTCCTAGGCATGGGCACACTGCCATAGGTCACACTTGATCTTTGCCCTATTGATGCTCACAGTTTGGAGGTGCAAGTAGATCTGTGGCCAGTTAATAATTCTATAAGGAAATTAGTAATAAGTTTTCTGAGCTACAAATTACTACAGCAGCCAAATAACCAACAGGATTGCAACCCAACAAAGTATCCTGGAGGAAGCAGCATTTGAGCTGAGTCTTTTAAGATGCAATTCTTCAGACATGTAGAGATTAGATGCAAGGCATTCCACTTTGAGAGAACTGTGTAAGCAAGAGAAAGAAGTGATACAGTACAAAATCTGCTCAGGGCACGGGAAGAACTCTAAGGTGTTTGAGGGTGAAGAGGTAGGAAGGGAGGAGATGCAACAGCTAAGGACAACATACCAAGGACCGTGCAGCCACACAATCAACTGTTATTTAGTATGTGCCCCAGAGCAAAGGAAGGTGTCTGAGTTGCATGGAGGTGGGTAGGGACAGGATAGTCACAAATATCTGTGTTTTGGAAGTCAGTCTAGAGAACAGAATGTGTGGAGGTAAAATAGAGAGTTCCATTTGAAGATGATAGCATGATTTCAGTGAGAGTTGAGGGAGGCTAAAGCACTGGAACTGGGGTTGGAGAAGAGACAGAATGGATAGAATTTGTCCTCAAACTACAAAGAGGGAGAGGAAGGATAAAGGCAGTTCCCAGGATGCCTTCAGGAATCTTCCAGGAAGATGAGAGCACCACCCTTAAAATGGGGAATTCTGGAGGAGCAGTAGAGTAAGGAGGGCTGATTTGGTCAGGTTTGGCCACAGTGAAGTGCAACATGTATGTTGAGCAGCCAGGTGCATTGCAGGCAATTGATAATGTGGGCCTTTCCACTCGAAAAGGGGCCCATGTGAAATCTTGAGATTCTTTAGAATCTGACCAGCTGTATTGCACCACCAGTGCAGAGCCCAGATGGGGATATGGTTGCTTTTTACCCAGTGGGCAGAATTAGTGCATTACCGCAGATACAGCTACACCTAGTTCCAAAAGACTTGTCAGATGTCAAACCTCATGAGACTCTCAGCCTGAACTTAGTCTTGATTCTGGTTCTGCTAGGGTGTAACTTCAGTTAAACAGCCTGAAGAGCAAAAGAGCAACAATTCTGTCTGTATTCTTATTGGCAAAACACCCCAAACTAATAGCATGATTTTAGCAGCTTTGAGAGGCCTTTGGGGGCAATTACTAGGACACATAATGGAAAGATCAAACACCTGTTGCTGGGATTAAATGCTTTCCCTTAGCCCTGTGTAGAGCTGTTGATGGGTTGATGGGGACCCAACAAGGGGAAGCTTTCTGTAGAAGAGCTGGAGGCCAGCACATCTGAGCCTTCTTGAAGTAGGAATGCAGGGTGGCAGGTGTGGCAAAAAAGATAAGGAAGTCCCTAACTCCTGGCATCCCAGCATCCTATATGCAGAATGGGAAGGCCCTCAGATTCCACCTCATCTGCCTCCCCATTGTTCTAGTAATGACGCTAAGGCTTGGATATGGAGCAAAGATTGGTCAGAAGCCAAACATCCAGTCAGGGATGAAATCAGGTTGGGCTCCAGTTTAGATTCCTGGCTTGATGTTTGTGATGGTTAGTTTTGTGTGTCAACTTGACTGGGCCACAAAATGCCCAAATATTGGGTTAAACTTTTTTTTTTCTGGGCGTGTGTGTGAGGGTGTTTCTGAAAGAGATTAACATTTAAAGTAGTGCATTAAGTAAAGCAGATGGCCATCCCCAATGAGGGTCGGCATGATCTAATCTATTTATGGTCCAAATAGAGCCAAAAGGCAGAGGAAGGTTTAATTTGCTCTCTGCCTGACTGCTTGAGTGGGGATATTCATTTCTCCTGCCCTCAGTGCTCCTGATTCTCAGGTCTTCAGATCCAGGCTGGAATTCACACCATCGGCTTTCCAGATATCAGGCTTTTGAGCCAAACCACCAGCGTTCCTGAGTCTATAGCTTGCAGACAGATCGTGGGACTTCTCAGCTTCTATAATGGTGTAAGCCAATACTTCATGATAAATCTCTCTCTCTCTCATTCCTCTCTTCTATCTCTCCTCTTTCTCTGTCTCCTCTCTTCTCTTTCTCTCTCTCTCTCCATATATATGTGTGTGTGCGTGTGTGTGTGTGTGTGCGTGTGCATGCATCTGGGTTGAATCTTCCACTATACCCAATCTGTTGGGACTGGTTCAGAACTAACAGCCATGGGCCCACAAGCTTAATTTCAAGATGTCAGGCTTTCACATCACTGGCCCTGGGCCTATAGAGAGTGGAGACAGGGGAAGAAGCCTATGTAGTATTTTGTTGAGAACGATTCTACAAGGAATTCGGGCTGCTGGGCCTCAGCAGATGGGACTTTTTTTTCCCCAAGAGACTGCTCAGAGCCACCTCTTCCCCATGGGTGAGACATTACCAGCACAGAGGTTTGCATGCAGTCCAGTGTTCTACTTTATTAACCACCAGTGACACTCAACAGAAAACCTATTTTAAACCAGTTTTCTCTATGCTTTCCAGCCTCTGAAATCATCATCTACACTTTTTTTCTTTGCTCTAGTTCTTTTTGTCACAGAAACTTTCACTGTAAGGTGCTCTTTCCCCAAAGTGGGGAGCCTGGCAGGAAGGCTTCTTTCAGTCTGCAGGGTGTAATTACAGTGAGAGGAGCAGTGCCATAGGCACCTCTGTCTCCCATTTGCAGACAGATGGATGCTGTTCTCCCCCTTCCTTTTGGTCCCCTCTAGTTAATCCAGACCTCAGGATTTGTGTTACTTTTCAGGAATCCTCCCACAAGCACTAGCACAGAGCTAAATGCTCAGAAGAAACTGAAACATGAACCCTCCATACATGCCCAAAAGGGAAGCTGGAGAGCTAGGGTAGCATTAGTGAGAAAAGGAAGGGGACACCTGTAACTTTGGCAAGGCCTTGCTGAGTACCTTTAGTAAGTCCTTCTCATTCATTTTAGGGGAGCAGAGAAATGTGGGGAGGTGGCCAGTGGATAGAAACCTTTGGGAGAGACTAAGGCTGGTTCAACGCCAGGGCACTGGCTCAGATGGTCAGTGACCGGCAGCAAGCACAGTCAAAGGAACAACCCAAATAACTTACTTCCAATGTGCCTGGTCTGCACTTCTAAAATTTTCCAGTGAAGATGGGACCACAGAGATGGCATCTAAGATGGCTGGCCCAGAGTAGGCTCTGTGGAAATGATAGGAGAATTAATGATTCCAGATGGATAGGACATGGAGTATGGATGATCATTTTCATTTAATTTTCTCTAATTTGCTTTTCCAGGTATTTCTACTGCATTTCATTTTCTGTATTAATTTTTTTATGGAATCCCGGTTTATGAGCATTTAACAATGTCCAGGGCATAATAAGCATCAAATTATCAGCTGATATTATTATTAATCAGCATTTCAAGTCTTGTTAATACCCTGCAGGTGTCTTCAGTCTCCAAATAGGTCTTCTTTGTGGAAGGAGGAGTTAAATGAAGACCTGGTGCTCCAGGCTGCTAAGCCTCTGGGGTGGCCTCAGTCCTATCAGTACCCAGATCCTAGCAGCACCTTGCTTGCCCAAGAACAGCAGCCCAATCCTTAGTAGGCCTACAGAGGTTGGAGGAGAAGAAACAGGGAGCTCAGTACTCAGTGGCAGCAGGGACATAGCACAAGCGCACTGCCCTGCCAAGTGCAAAACTCATCCTGGCTGCAGGCACTCTCTGGCACTCAGCCCACAACCTGGGCAAGGACGAGAAATCATGTCTTCAGAGGGGCAGTAACTTGTCCAGGGTGCCACAGCAAGAGATGGCAGAGCAGAAGTAAAAGCCAAGGCTGCAGCCTTGACCATGTCTGGTGACCTCTGCTTCCTAGCTTCACATTCTTGGGAGTCATATTTAAGACTTTTCTGGGAAAGGATGATAATCTTTTCCCCATCCTCTCTCACTCCTAGGCAAATAAAAGAACTTGCAAAAGCGAAGATCATCAGAAAAAAAGCATAAAAGTGTCTCTTTCTACTGATAGCATCTCTCCCAGCCTGCTCAGCCATTCACGTGACTTAGCAGGGCTCAGGTTTGAGCATGTCCTATTCACCTCTCACTGAGAAGCACAGAGCAGAGAGAGGGCTTTTCACCTCAGCTGCCTGCCTCCGCTTCTGCCCTCTACAATCTAATCTCCACACAGCTGCTAAAGTGATTTTTTAAAAAACACAAGTCAGATCATGTTACTTCTGTGCTTACAGTCCTCAGTGACCCCCATCTCATCCAGAGCAGATACCCAAACTTTTATCGTGGCCCCAAAGACCCTCCATGCTATGGACCTCACTGTCTTGCTGGCCTCCCCTCTCCTGTCACTGTCCCTCCTGGACACTCCTTTCCCACAACCCCAGCCTCCTTGCTGTCCCTCAATCTCAGGAAGAACAAGGACCTCACACTTGCAGTTCACTCCACCTGAGACATTCTCCCTGCAGACGTCAGCAGAGCACACTCCCTCACTTTCCTTGAGTTCTGTTCAAGTGACACCTTCTTAACGAGACCTTTCTCGAATGCCAAATTGAAAGTAACTTCCTTGGGATGCAGTGAAAAGGAAATCCTTATACACTGTTGGTGGAAGTGTAAATTACTACAACCATTAAGGAAAACAGTATGGAGATTGCCCAAAAAACTTAAAATAGAACTGCCATATGATCAAGCAATCGACTGCTGGATATATACCTGTGAAAGGAAAATATCTTGGGCCCCCAAAATCAGTAAGCTAAAGGGGAAAGTCAAGCTGGGAACTGTGTAAGGCAAACCTGCCTCCCATCCTGTTCAAAGTTACCCCTCTGCTCACTGAGATAAATGCATATCTGATTGTCTCATTTGGAGAGGTTAATCAGAAACTCAAAATAATGCAACCATTTGTTTCTTTTCTACCTGTATTCGTCTGTTTTCGTGCTGCTGATAAAGACAAACCTGAGACTGGGCAATTTACAAAAGAGGTTTATAATGGACTTACAGTTCCACATGGCTGGGGAGGCCTCACAATCATGGCAGAAGACAAGGAGGAGCAAATCACATCTTATGTGGATGGATGGCGGCAGGAAAAAAAGAAAGCTTGTGCAGAGAAGTTTCCATTTTTAAAACCATCAGATCTCATCAGACCCATTCACTATCAGGAGGACAGCACTGGAAAGACCCACCCCCATGATTCAATCATCTCCCACTGGGTCCCTCCCACAACACGTGGGAATTATGGGAGCTACGAGATGAGATTTCGGTGGGGACACAGAACCAAGCCATATCGTTCCATCCCTGGCCCCTCCCAAATATCATATGTTCACATTTCAAAACCAGTCATGCCTTCTCACAGTCCCCCAAAGTCTCAACTCATTTCAGCATTAACTCAGAAGTTCACAGTCCAAAGTCTCTTCTGAGACAAGGCAAGTCCCTTCCACCTACGAGCTGGTAAAATCAAAAGCAAGTTAGTTACTTCCTAGATACAATGGGGGTACAGGCATTAGGTAAATACAGCCATTCCAAGTGGGAGAAATTGGCCAACATAAAGGGGCTACAGGCCCCAATGCAAGTCTGAAATCCAGCAGGGCAGTCAAACCTTAAAACTCCAAAACAATCTTCTTTGACTCCATGTCTCACATCCAGCTCACGCTGATGGAAGAAGTGGGTTCCCATGATCTTGGGCGACTCCCACCTTGTGGCTTTTCAGGGTACAGCCTCCCTTGCGGCTGCCTTCACAAACTGGTGTTGAGTGTCTGCAGCTTTTCCAGTCTCATGCTGCAGGCTGTTGGAGGATCTACCATTCTGGGGTCTGGGACAATGGCCCTCTTCTCACAGCTCCACTAGGTGGTACTCCAGTAGGTACTCTGAGTGGGGAATCCAACCCCACATTTCCCTTCTGCACTGCCTTAGCAGAGGTTCTCCATGAGGGCCCTGCCCCTGAAGCAAACTTCTACCTGGGCATCCAGGCGTTTCCATACATCTTCTGACATCTAGGTGGAGGTTCCCATACCCTAATTCTTGACTTCTGTGCACTGCAAGCTCAACACCACATGGAAGCTGCCAAGACTTGGGGCTTGCACCCTCTAAAGCCATGGCCCGAGCTTTACAATGGCTCCTTTCAGGCACAGCTGGAACAGCTGGGACACAGGGAACCAAGTCCCTAGGATGCACACAGCACAGGGACAGTGGACCTGGCCCATGAAACCACTTTTTCCTTCTAGGCCTCCAAACCTGTGATGAAAGGGGCTGCCGTGAAGACCTCTGACATGCTGTAGAGACATTTTCCCCATTGTCTTGTGGATTAACATTCAGCTCCTCATTATGTATGCAAATTTCTGCAACCAGGTTGAATTTCTCCTCAGAAAATGGGATTTTCTTTTCTATCACATTGTCAGGCTGCAAAATTTCCAAATTTGTTATGCTCTGCTTCCCTTATAAAACTGAATGCCTTTAACAGCACCCAAGTCACATCTTCAATGCTTTGCTGCTTAGAAATTTCTTCCTCCAGATACACTAGAACATCTCTCTCAAGTTCAAAGTTCCACAAATCTCTAGGGCAGGGGCAAAAGGCCACCAGTCTCTTTGCTAAAACATAACAAGAGTCGTCTTTGCTCCGGTTCCCAACAAGTTCCTCATCTCCATCACAGACCACTTCAGCCTGGATTTTATTGTCCATAGTGCTATCAGCATTTTGTGTAAAGCCATTCAATAAGTCCCTAGGAAGTTCCAAACTTTCCCACATTTTCCTGTCTTCTTCTGAGCCCTCCAAACTGTTCCAACCTCTGCCCGTTACCCAGTTCCAAAGTCACTTCCACATTTTCAGGACTCTTTTCAGCAGCACCCCACTCCACTAGTACCAATTTACAATGGTAGTCTGTTTTCACACTGCCGATACGGACATACCCAAGACTGGGAAGAAAAAGAGGTTTAATTGGACTTACAGTTCCACATGGCTGGAGAGGCCTCAGAATAATGGCAAGAGTTGAAAGGCACTTATTACATGGAGGCAGCAATAGAAAATGAGGAAGGAGCAACAGCAGAAACCTCTGATAAACCCGTCATAGCGCATGAGACTTACTCACTATTATGAGAATAGCATGTGAAAGACCGGCCCCCATGATTCAATTACCTCCCCCGGTCCCTCCCACACCACGGGGGAATTCTGGGAGATACAATTCAAGTTGACATTTGGGTGGGGTCACAGCCAAACAATATCACGCCCCCCCAGAGACTCTGATCTCCTAAAATTTGATAGAGATCTAAAGTTTATTTTGCTGTACAACCCCTTTTCTTTGGAGTTGTTCTTGCTTCCAACATAAGGAATGCAAGCTTTTCCTGCTATCATGATGATGGAAGGCAGGAAACTCCTTAATGGAGTTTGAGCTCACTTCCAACAGGGAAGATGAGGTTTGTGTTTGTTCGTTGGTTTTTTTATTCCTGCTTCTAGGATGGTAGAGAGCAGTCTTCAGCCTGAGACCCGTCCCTAGGTAAGTAACAGAATTTGAGTTTGTCTTGGCTAAAGTTAAGATTAACAACCCAGCTGGTCTTAGTTTCTCCTTACCATTAGAGTGCTCAATAATCATAAAAGTTGTGCAATTGTTTGTTTTGCTTAACTTTTTTGTTGTTGTTGTTGTTGTTGTTGGTTTCTGTTTTTGTCGTTGTTTCAGTCTTTCTCCCACTGGGTTTCATCAACTCTATCCGGCTTGACCAAATCCAAAGGAAGTTCCAAATTATGGGGAACAAGGCCTCTGAAACGGCTAAATTCCCACACACAAAAAAAGTTGGTGTGGTGGGGGGGAGAAAAACGGCCAGAAAAAGGACAAAAAAAAGAAGAAAGTTTTTTTTTTTTTTTCTACTAAAAGGCTTTGTTTACATAACAAGGCCACCTTTTTGCTAACCAGGCCAAACTGAAAGAGCAATAGCTGTACTTCTGAAATTGCAGCAATTTGTCCTAGCTGAAATATGGTAATGAGATTTAAAAGGATTTTTTTAAGAGCTCAATGGTTAAAAGTCAGCTTAATTAAAAGCTAACATCCAAGATGTGTGTGTGTGTGTGTATGTGTGCATATGTGTGTGTTTGTATTTAAAAGACCTTCATGTTTTTGTTTTTGTTTTTGTTTTTAATCCTAGGACCTTGTCATTTTTTTGAGCATAAGTTTTTTTTCTTCTCAGTTGACTGAATTATGTTTTCTCCATTTACTTCCGCTGTCTCTCGTTTCTCTTGCACCCTCTGCTGCACGGTGGACCTAAAATAATTTGTAACAGCCTGGGGTTCCTTAAAGAAAACAGAGAAGATACCACACCCCCTTTGGGGGAGAAACCAGTTTTGCCTTATGGAACCCCAAGAATGTAAACAGACAAGTTCGTCTTTGTTTAAAAAAAATTAAGTGCACTGTAAAAGCATCACATGGTCTAACTTAGTAATTCTCCCTTTTTGGAGACCCAGGATTCAGTGTGGGATCTGGCCAAAGCCCAGAGATCCAGTTAAAATATAGGTATTCCCTATCTAAATAAAATTGGTCTCCTTATTAAATCCTATGATAGATTTCCATAATTTTATGTTTGATTTGGTATCCATCTTTAATCTCCCTCTGTCACTACTAGACATTTTTAACTCTGTGCCTTATGGTATAAATTTTGCTATTTGATTTTCACCTGAGTTGTTTGCTTTAATATGCATTTTTCGGTTTTGTTTTTTGAGACACAGTCTTGCTCTGTCGCCCAAGCTAGAGTGCGGTGGCACAATCTTGGCTCACTGCAACCTCCGCCTCCCAGTTAAAGCAATTCTCCTGCCTCAAACTCCTGAGTAGCTGGGATTACAGGCACCCACCACCACACCCAGCTAATTTTTGCATTTTCAGTAGAGACAGGGTTTCACCATCTTGGCCAGGCTGGTCTCAAACTCCTGACCTCGTGATCCACCCACCTCAGCCTCCCAAAGTACTGGGATTACAGGTGTGAGCCACCACCCCCGGCCTAATATGCAAATTTAAGACTATTTAGCTCACAACTGCCTAGGGTTCTGAAGTAGGTTATCCAGAATCTGAAAGTCTAAGATAGGAAAAAAAAAGATTTTTATAAATCTGTAAGTAGTACTTCTAATGACATGCCTAATATCTCTACGTATTTATGTGCTGTGTATGCTAAGTTTCACTACTGAAAATACATACAAGAGTTCTAATTAATGGGCTTAGGAAAATAAAAGTGCTTGAATCAAATACTTTATCAGGAAAAAAAAGAAAAGACTGGTCAAATGCTTTTTCAAGTTTAAGTAACTTAACTAAAATCTTTAGTAAATAAGCTAGCTTTAAAATTATTGGCAATGTAGTATCAGAAATGTCTTGTCAGCATATATTTTTGTTTGCATTTATTTATCAAGCAATTTCATACTTATCACTGCCAAATACTATAAGGTGACAAAATTTGACACAGGGGTTACGAAACTATAAACCCAGCCCAAGATGGAATGATCTTTGCTTGTGTAATCTTTAATAAATAAGACATCGATATTGGTTCAATAAAAATAGCTACATCTTAAATTTAGTAAGATTACCATAATTTCTAATCTTGTGGTTTTAGGCAGTCTAGTCCACAGGGAGTAAGGTTTTTTGGGGAAAGAACTGTTATTGTCTTTGTCTCAAATCTAAACTACAAACTAAGTTCCTTCCAAAGTTAGGTTGACCTATGCCCAGGAATGAACAAGGACAGCTTGGAGGCTAGAAGCAAGAAGGAGTCAGTTAGATCAAATCTTTTTCACTGTCTCAGTTGTGATTTTGCAATGGAGTTTCCATAACTTTAAATAATGACAATTGCAGTTTTTATAAATAAGCTAGGTGAATGATTAAAATAAAATAATTAAGTAAATGTCATTGGATAAATATTATAGACACACGTGTCATAATTTAGAATCTAAGATAATATTAAATTAAATAATATATTTCATTATTTGGGCATTTTCCAATAAAAATATATTTGTAGGAAAAAATTCTTCCCAAAAAAATGTTTTTCCTTTTAAAAAAGATGAACAAGTTTTGTCTAAATCAAAGCTTATTTAAAGGTCACGTATAAAACAAGGTAACAGGAATCAGGAAATAAAAGAGATGCAAACAAAGTTATATCTTATACAAAAATTAATTCAAGATGGATTAAAGACTTAAATGTTAGACCCAAAACCATAAAAACTTTAGAAGAAAACCTAGGCAATACCATTCAGGGCATAGGCATGGGCAAGGACTTCATGACTAAAACACCAAAAGTAATGGTAACAAAAGCCAAAATAGACAAATGGGATCTAATTAAACTAAAGAGCTTCTGCATGGCAAAAGAAACTACCATCAGAGTGAACAGGCAACCTACAGAATGGGAGAAAATCTTTGCAATCTACCCATCTGACAAAGGGCTAATATCCAGAATCTACAAAGAACTTAAATAAATTTACAAGAAAAAAACAACACCATCAAAAAGTGGGCAAAGGATATGAACAGACACTTCTCAAAAGAAGACATTTATGCAGCCAAAAGACACGTGAAAAAATGCTCATCATCACTGGTCATCAGAGAAATGCAAATTAAAACCACAATGAGGCACCATCTCACGCCAGTTAGAATGGCAATCATTAAAAAGTCAGGAAACAACAGATGCTGGAGAGGATGTGGAGAAATAGGAACACTTTTACATTGTTGGTGGGAGGGTAAATTACTTCAACCATTGTGGAAGGCAGTGTGGCAATTCCTCAAGGATCTAGAACTAGAAATACCATTTGACCCAGAGACCCCATTACTGGGTATATACCCAAAGGATTATAAATCATGCTAGTATAAAGGCACATGCACAGGTATGTTTATTGTGGCACTATTCACAATAGCAAAGACTTGGAACCAACCCAAATGTCCATCAATGATAGACTGGATTAAGAAAATGTGGCACATATACACCATGGAATACTATGCAGCCATAAAACAGGATGAGTTCATGTCCTTTGCAGGGACATGGATGAAGCTGGAAACCATCATTCTCAGCAAACTATCACAAGGACAGAAAACCAAACATCACATGTTCCCACTCACAGGTGGGAATTGAACAATGAGAACACTTGGACATAAGGTGGGTAACATCACACTGGGGCTTTTCAGGGAATGGGGAGCTATGGGAGGGATAGCATTAGGAGAAATACCTAATGTAAATGACGGGTTGATGGGTGCAGCAAACAAACATGGCACATGTATACCTATGTAACAAACCTGCACGTTGTGCACATGTACCCTAGAACTTAAAGTATAATTTAAAAAATAAATAAAGAGGTTTAATTTGGTAAGAAAGCTTAAATAGAAATAATTTCATATGAGAAGGAATCTTGCATGGTAAATTTAGTCCTAGAGTGAAATGAATGGTTCTTTAAGAAAGATGGATGCTCAGGACCAACCAGAAAGTCCAAGGATATCATGAACGGTCTGCATAAGCCACAATAGGATGATTTATTAAAGAAACAAACAAAAAAACAACTTGTACATGACCAAGTAAATGGAAATTAGGATAGCCTTTCTAGAGATTGGGTTTGATGTTAAAAAAAAAAGCACTTATGCACTAAAGAATTGGTCAGAGTAATGAAATTTTTAAGGGGTTGATTTTATTCTCAATAAATTATAAGAGATATCAAGTTTTTTTTATTTTAACCTCAAGTTTAAATTTTATTGCATCTCACTAGTTTTGGTTTTCTCTCCCCTTTTAAAGTTGCAAAACACTAACACTCCCCATCAACTCATCTTCAGCTCATATAAGTTTTTTATTTTTTCTTCCTCCTCAGGTTCTGTTTTTGTGTGTGTGTGTGTGTGTGTGTGTGTGTGTGGCCTGATGCTACCAATGTTTTCTTAAAGGTCTACGGGAAATATTTTCTTCCAACATTATATTCTGTGCACTGCAGAATGTATTTTCTTTTGCCTTTTGGTAACTGGCCTAACAGATTTTACATTTTATTAAAACAATTCCTATGACATCATTATTAAGTTTGGTTTGCTTAGGAAGAACTAATATTTAAAAAAATTTTAATTGAGGTTATTACATCCTTGTATCTTCCTGTATGTGCTTTTAAAGTGCTTGTGACATTGAGTTACAGGGCTTGGACTCCTGGGTATAAAAAGTACACCAAGACCTGCTAAACTTTAAACACTGACAGCAATTGAATCCTCATCTTTAAGCCTGGTAGAAGCAAAATAAGCTGCCTTCATGAAACACAGGGCAACAAATTAAAGCTATCTTACCCTTCAAGGCCCAGGGACTATCACAGAAGAGGTGGGTGTGTGAGATGGTAAGGGCTGATTTTGGGAGATAAAAAGTTCAGTTTCTCTATAAATTAAACATTAATGTCAAAGGCACACAGATGCAAGACCAGCATATGGGCCCTGTGTCCGATTGACAAGGTTTTCTTGAAGCTTTAACTGACTCCTTAATGAAAGTTATAAAGGTTATAAAGTCTGGCTGGGCACGGTGGCTCATGCCTGTAATCCCAGCACTTTGGGAGGCTGAGGTGGGCAGATCACAAGGTCAGGAGATTGAGACCATCCTGGCTAACACAGTGAAACCCCATCTCTACTAAAAGTATAAAAAATTAGCCAGGCGTGGTGGTGGGCGGATCACAAGGTCAGGAGATTGAGACCATCCTGGCTAACACAGTGAAACCCCATCTCTACTAAAAATATAAAAAATTAGCCAGGCGTGGTGGTGGGCGCCTGTAATCCCAGCTACTCGGGAGGCTGAGGCAGGAGAATGGTGTGAACCCAGGAGGCAGAGGTTGCAGCAAGCTGAGATCACACCACTGCACTCCAGGCTGGGTGACAGAGTGAGACTCCATCTAAAAAAAAAAAAACAAACAAACAAACAAAAAAGAAGGTTATAAAGGCTTATATCTTATGATTAAGATTAAAACTTTATACATTGTTTATAAAATTTTGGAAAACAAATTTAATTGGCTTTATGCTGTTTTTATCAGGGCTTACTGTTTGTAAAATTAAGTCTCCTCTCCCAAAAAATGAAGGTTTTTACCTTTTTAAAAAAAATCATTGAGTTATAACTTTGATTAAATGAATGACTTATTTTACAATGACCTGTAATTCTATTTTGTAACATCAAGTAATATCAAGTGCTTTAAACCCTTGATATTTGACAAACTTTCCAAAATGAAATTATAAATTATATCTTTTTCTGACCTAATTAATCCTTTAAGATATTATTAATAGGTTCCCTAAAGTCCAAATAATAACATATTGGCTTATTTGGTATAGAAATTATACAGGAAGCATTGTCAAATATAATATGGTGTTTGGTTTTCTTTGGGCTGTATTTGTATAAATGTGTTATTGGTATGTGTTCCAAAATTATGGGAAACTCCTATAATTCTGATATGACTTACTGTACATTATCAGTAATAATTATAATTGTTATGTTAAATTATTGTGTGCCACAGAGATAACAAATTTCCTTGTTAATTGTGTCTTTGACTATGGCTTCCCTAAAACTTTTTGTCATCCAAGGACAATTGTTGTCTTGTTTCAGTCCTCTTTAGAAGGTGGTTTTATAATCAGCTATAAAATTCTAACAGGTGTTCTTGAATGCACGCTTCTGTTAACTTTGGAGATTGTGACGTCAAACTAGAGGAAAAACTTTCAGGACTGATGGAGAGTGGAAAAGTTTATGAATATCAAGCAGAATAGGAATTAACTGCATGTACTGAACTAATAGAACTGTGTTTTATCTTTTTGCTTAAAACGTTGCTGATCCTTTGTTTTGTTTTTCAGAGTCAAGAAACTTTCCTTTTAAGCTACTTACAGCTTTTAACAGTTGAGTAAAGTATACTCCTATGAACAAAATTTGGAACATATTTGTTTCTGTCTGCCTGATTTCTACAGAATTTGGAAACTATTTGTGAGGATTTATAACTTATGACAATATAGTTATTTGCAAAAGTGCAATAAGAATCTGTTTTCATTTGTAACAGGGCACAATTGGAGAAACTGGTTATTTTACCAATGCTTTGACTGAAATGGGGTGCTTTCCTTTAAGAAATCTAACTTGATTTATGGAGCCAATAAAATCCCCTTGGAAAAACTGGCCTCATACCTTTGTCTACACAGTCCTTGTACAGGTTTTCTGACGTATGGTAAGTAAAGAAGATCACTTTCTGACAGGCCCAGAAGCCCCAAGTTTATCTTGGAACCTCAAGAGGAGAGGAATTCATTAAACTCATGGGTATTTCATGGTATAAATTCATGGCTGGGTATGGATTTAAAAAGGTCTTATCTGAGATTCCTTCTGTGGAACAAAGTTCAATCAAAGCCAATTTAAAAGCCTATGTAAAAAATAACTATTCCTGCTGCACTGTGTACAAATAATTAGGCCAAGTATAATAAAGCAAACCAGTCCTACCATGATTTGTCTTTAGTAAAAACGGGAAACTGGAGAAAGAAAAATTATGTTTCAAAAACTATAGTACACCTGTTGTTAGATTCTAGTCTTGTCTGATGTTTTTTGATTTTTATTATTTCCTACAGTTTGGATCAAACTCTAATTTTTCTTGGCTATGAGTCTTCAAAATAATGTTTTCAATTTTTTCTTTCTTTTTTCCCCATTTTTCCTAATTTGGAGTAACTGGAAACTAAGCTGGGCATTCTTAAAGCCCTGTGAACTGAAGCCAGACAACTTAAACTTTAGTAGAAAATAACAGCAACCCATTTACATAGACAAGCCACTTTCATACTGGCCTACTGATGTATGGACCTCAGAAGAATGTGGCCTATATTGATTTTCCAGGATTGTTCTTTTTTTGCTGTTGTTTTTCTCACTTCTTCCCCCTATTTTCTCTTCATAGGACATGAGACTTCACAACCTTCTAAAAATGAGTGTTACTAATAACTCAGGACCTACCTGTTTTGGGTGGAGAGGAGACCCAAGGGGAAGGGTGGAAGGGTACCTGCAGGAGGTAGGGTACAGAGAAGAAGTTTATAGAGTGAACAAATTACTGCAATTTGGCCCAAAAAGCATTAGTCTAGGCCCTGTTCTGCCACCAACTTGCTGTGTGATTGAGCTCAGGCCAACCCTTTTCCCTGTTATGCACTGAGAAGCCTCCTCAGCTTTTACCATCCGTGGTTTAAGAATTCTTGCCCAAGTCAAAGCAGTAACATCTGGCAAGGTTCAAGGCAAGCAAAGAACAGACAGCCAAGAAGAGAAACAGAGAGCTCAGAGGCATAATACTCAAACATGCTAGGGCAGGTGTAGCTGCAGATCAGGTTAGTTTCCTTTTCAACATCTGTTTTAATAATGAAAACAACAGCAGTAGGTGACATTTATTGTACATTAAGAGTCAGGCTGTATTCTAAGTTCTTTACAGATATTATCTGATTTGATCCTTACAAACCCATGAGGAAGGGTGCTACTATGATTCCCATTTTAGAGATGAACAAAAACTGAGGCTCAGAAAGGTTAGTTCAAGTCACCCTACTAAGAGACAGTAAGGACTCCTGGAGATCTAGCTCCAGAAAACATTCATCTTAACCAGACACTTGAGGTTAGGACTATGATGAAAAATTGTTAGAATAAACAGCATGAATGTGCAAGCCAAGTGTAGAATAGGTATATCAGGTGACCAAAAAGTGGAACTTTTTAATTTGCTTACAATCCCACCAATCAATAACAGGAAGATGTGGAGAAGTTTGGAACTTCCTAGAGATTTGTTGAGTGGCTTTGACCAAAATGCTGATAGTGATATGGACAATAAAGTCTCAGTTGAGGTGGTCTCACATGGAGATGAGGTACTTGTTGGGAACTGGAGCAAATGTGACTCTTGCTATGTTTTAGCAAAGAAACTGGTGACATTTTGCCCCTGCCCTAGAGATTTGTGGAACTTTGAACTTGAGAGAGATGATTTAGGGTATCTGGTAAAATAAATTTCTAAGCAGTAAAGCATTCAAGAGGAAGCAGAGCATAGAACTTTGGAAAATTCACAACCTGGCAATCAATAGAAAAGAAAAATCCATTTTCTGGGGAGAAATACAAAACTTTTTGCAGAAATTTCCATAAATAACAAGGAGCCAAATGTTAATTGCCAAGACAATAAAGAAAATGTCTCCAGGGCATGTCAGAGACCTTTCCTGCAGCTGCTCTCATCAGAGGACTATAGGCCTAGGAGGAAAAAATGGTTTCCTGGGCCAGGCCTGGGAGCCCCCTCCTGTATGTGGCCTAGGGACCTGGTGCTCTGCATCCCAGCCACTCCAGCGGTAGCTAAAAGAGGCCAAGGTACAGCTTGGGCCGTGGCTTTGGAGGGTACAAGAAGCTCCAAGCCTTGGCAGCTTCCATGTGGTGTTGAGCCTGTGGGTGCACAGAAGTCAAGAATTGAGGTTTGGGAAACTCTGCCTAGATTTCAGAGGATGTATGGAAACACCTCGGTGTCCAGGCAGAAGTTTCCTACAGGAATGGAGCCCACATGGAGAACCTCTGCTAGGGCACTGCAGAAGGAAAATGTGGGGTTGGATCCCCCAAAAAGAGTCCCCACTGGAGCACTGCCTAGTGGAGCTGTGAGAAGAGGGCCACCGTCCTCCAGACCCTAGAATGGTAGATCTACAGACAGCTTGCACTGTGTACCTGGAAAAGCTGCAGCCACTCAACACCAGCCCATGAAAGCAGCCAGGAGGGAGGTTGCACCTTGCAAAGCCACAGGGACAGAGCTGCTGGATTCCATGGGAGCCCACCTTTTGCATCAGCATGACCTAGATGTGAGACATGGAGTCAAAGATCATTTTGGAGCTTTAAGATTTGACTGCCCCATTGGATTTTGGACTTGTGTGGGTCCTGTAGCCCCATTGTTTTCACCAATTTCTCCCATTTGGAACAGGTATATTTACCCAATGACTGTACCTCCATTGTGCTTAGGAAGTAACTAAGTTGCTTTTGATTTTATAGGCTTATAGGTGGAAGGGACTTGCCTTATCTCAGATGAGACTTCGGACTGTGGACTTTTGAGTTAATGCTGAAATGAGTTAAGACTTTGGAGGACTGTTGCAAAGGCATAATTGATTTTGAAATGTAAGAATATGAGATTTGGGAGGGGCTGTGAGTGGAATGGTATGGTTTGGCTGTGTCCCCACTGAAATCTCATCTTGAATTGTAGCTCCCATAATTACCATGTGTCATGGGAGGGACCTGGTGGGAAGTAATTGAATAATGAGGGATTGGTCCTTCCCATGCTTTTCTCGTGATAGTGAATAAGTAAGTCCCATGAAATCTGATGGTTTTATAAACAGGAGTTCCTCTAAACAAGCTCTCTCTTACCTGCCACCATTTAAGATGTGACTTTGTTCCTCATTTGCCTTTCACCATGATTGTGAGGCCTCCCCAGCCACATGGAACTGTGAGTCCATTAAACCTATTTCCTTTATAAATTACCCAGTCTTCAGTTTGTCTTTATTAGCAGCATGAGAACAGGCTAATATAATCTGTGAGCAAGATTTGTGAGATGGGCAGAGATTTCTGTAGATACCTCAGACTCTCAACTCAGTCTACTTTCAGATGGGATCAACAAGGAAAAGTTCATGCACTCTCTACCTGTAATTTTTTTGTCCTGGGGTCAAAGGGTAATAGCTAATTCGACAGTAGCAAAATCCAAAACCAGAAAAAGTGTCTACATCAGTTAGGGAGAAGTGAAGGGCTGCTGCTGGCTTTTGGCATAAAATAGAATGTGCCAGGCAGTGGGATCAAGATAAAAAGGAACCTGTCTGAATTTTCAAAACTCTGATGAGTGAAGATTTTCATTTAATAGAGATAAGCAGCAACCATTCACTGTAGGTATCATTCTCGCATCATTGTGTTTCCAAGGCAACTGGATTACCAGGGAGACCTGGGGAGTGTGTATTGCTCAGAAACTGTGTTATCAGGAGTGGCTCCGGCCCTTGCATGGACTTTGAAACCATAAAGAATATGGAATAGGTTTGTATTTTCCTGAAGGCCTTCAACCAAGGTCTACATTCTCCAGTGCTCTGACTCAAATGGTTGGTCAGAAATAAATCAGCCTGGATAATGTTGTCCCCTTACTTAGAGCTACAACTTGCATTGGCACAAGAAGTTACTATTTTGGCTCAGGCTAATCTCCAGCACTGGCACTGGATAAATAAATGTAAGACCAGATGAGAAGAGATCAGACGCTCCCAGATGGACCAGGACGTCATCATTCATTGTCAGACCATCTTTTTCTTCCCCTTCTCTCCTCACCCAGCTTCAGGTCAAGAATTTCTGCTGTTGGATGCTTGACTGACTGCAGTGGGGGTAGAGATTGAGAAATTCTGCCTATCTCATGCTTTGGACCTGTCTCTTCCAAAACTAGTGTCCCTTCCTGAGCAGTAGAGGAAGTAGGGAGACACAGAAGGACATTAGACAGAGTGAACCAAGTATGTGAAGACACAGATTTCAGAAAAATATTCTAAAAGAATAGTGTGGCAGGAGAATACAGTAGAAGCAAAGAGACAGGTGTGAAATGAAGCTGGAAAGGTAGGCATTGGAGCTAGCCATTGGAGGGCTTTATGTATGGGAAGGAAATGATCTAATTTGTTCTTTAAAAAGATGTCTTTGCTAGATGGAGAATGGATTGCATTAGGTAGAAGAGTGGAAGCTGGGAGACCAATTAGAAGTCATTTGCAGAAGTCTAGGCAGCAATTAACAGTGGCCTGGAAAGGGATGGTGTCAGTTGGCATGGTAAGAAGTGGGTGGATCAGAGAGATGTTTAAGGGGTACAATTGATAGGACTTGGTGATATATTAGACGTAGTAAGCAAAAGAGGGTGGAAAGTCTAGAATAACTGCTATCTTTCTGGCCTAAGGAACTGGGTGGAAGGTAATGCAGCTTACTGAGATGGCCAAAACTTGGTAAGGGGTTTGAAGGGTTGTTTGTTATATCGGGAATGAACTTACAACTAACCCAAGTCTTTCATGTTTGTATTATCATCAACAAGAAACATGTGGTCAATGTCCATGCAAAATGACTTTCTAAAATCACTTTGAAACATTTCTTCTGAGTCAATTATTACTAAAAACAGCAAACCAGCCAGGCATGGTGGCTCACACCTATAATCCCAGCACTTTGGGAGGCCGAGGCGGGTGGATCATGAGGTCAGGAGATCGAGACCATCCTGGCAAACACGGTGAAACCCTGTCTCTACTAAAAAATACAAAAAATTAGCCAGGCGTGGTGGCAGGCGCCTGTAGTCCCAGCTACTTGGAAGGCTGAGGCAGGAGAATGGTGTGAATCCAGGAGGTGGAGCTTGCAGTGAACAGAGATGGCACCACTGCACTCCAGCCTGGGCGACAGAGCAAGACTCCATTTAAAAAAAAAAAAAAAAAAAAAAAGCAAACCTATTTTCTTCAAGTGAGGCCCACCTTGCCTACATATTCTTCCCAAGTCCTTGTTCTGCAATTTTCTCTAACCTAAAGTTTATAACTCTTTCACCACTAAAACAACAGGACCCAATATTTCTCATTCTGGAGATAAACTGACTTTGACTTCTCAGCACAATCCTTCATCCATTCAGTCAATGTTTGAAAACCTGCTTTGTGTCAGGATATCTCCTGGGCATTAGGGATATATAAAGATGATATGGGCCATCCTAACCATCCACCTAGCTATCCATCAGTCCATCCATTTCTTCCTTCAGTCACTCTTACTCCTCCATTCTATCATGTTTTATTGCCCAGACCCACCAAGGCAGAGAAGCTGTGGCTCACAGGCAGAAGTGGTTAATGAATGCGGTGAGGGAAAATTGGAGAATGAGGCAGGAGAATGGAAGATTATCAAAACAAAATTAATTGCTTAGTAAAAAGCCATAACCTAAGGGGTTCATTCAACTCCAGTGAACTAATAACATCTTGTGTTTAGAGCATTGTGACAGTCACCCCATGTGTACTCTCAGCCCTTCCAATCCACTATCGCCACAGCAGCCAGAGGGATCTTTTAAATAGCTAAACCCACTTATCTTTCTCTCATGCTTAAAAGCTTCCAGTGATTTCCCACCACACCACAAATAAAATCCACATACCTTTTCATGGTCTTGCCAGGCCCTTATTACCTCTATGGTTTCTCCTATCACCAAAATTCTCCTAGGTCACTCTGCTGAAGGCTTCAGGCCTTTTTTCTGCTCTAAGAAGCCAAGATTTTCCCTAGTGATTGATCATGCTGGTTTTTTTTTTCTGCTTCAAATCTGTTCCTCCTGATTTTTGCAGGCCTGGCTCTTTCTCATCACTTAGGTTTCAATTGAGATGCCACCTCCCTAGGGAGACCTTCTGTGATGACATTATATATTTGTTCATTGTCTCCTCTAACAGAAAGTCCAGCATGATATCTATTCTTTTCACTACTGTAGTCCACATTCCTCCACAGGACCTGACCCAGAGTAGGTACTCAATACATATTTGTTAAATGAATGAAGACGTGAATGAATGGATGCCCCCCATCCCCACCCATTCATAGTTCCATCTAAGAGGTAGTTGTTAGTACTACACCTCCACTTCACTGATGTAAAGCCTAAAGAAGTGAAACAACTTGCCCATAATTGGAACCTAGGTGTAAAGCTAATGGCAGGCAGAAGGTCTGCTTCCCCAGTCCTTCATGTCTGACAGAAAGGTTTTCAGTCAGGCTCCACCAAGCTCCCTTCTTTTCCCTTTCTCCGGCCAGCTCTGCCATTCCTCATGAGGCACAGAGGTTAGTAGCCAAATTCCACAGGACACTATGGACAAATTACCCAGACCCAGTAATGAATCCAGAGGGTGTTAGCCAGCATCCTCACAGTCATTTAGAATGAGAAGTTAGAATAAGCAGCTCATCACTTGCCTGCTCACTTCTGGTCATGTAAGATGGCTGCATTATGCCCAGAGAAATTGGATAATCATGGAGAACTTAATCAAGTAAGTTATTTAGCCTCATGCAGCTAGTGGAAAAAAGGGTATATGACCAAACGCAACTAAATCCAATAAAGTTAGTTTGTAAGTAAGGATGGAAACTTTCATCCTGGTGGGTAATTTTATTGTTGGGGTGAAACTGAATGGGAGTGACCAAATATTCAGTGCTGATGGCTGGACCATTCAGGCCAGCTCAGCCTCACACCCATACCTCATATACTCATGCTCCAGATGGTTAAATTCCCCAGAACAGGGCCTGATTATAAGCTTAAAAGGGCCTAAACTAGAAAAAGGTTATGCCACTCTCTCATATGCAATTAAAATTAATGGTTTTGCTACTGTGTAAACCATAAATTGAGCGTAATAATGTTCGACACAGTTCTGGTTTTGCCCATGGTGATAGCTACCTATGTGCTTTGTCTTTTAAATGTCTTTTTCTAAATTTAATTTTTAAATGTCATTTTTCTTTTTATTCCCTTTCTTCTTCCTTCCCTTCCTTCTTTCCTCCATTTCTCCCTCTATATCTGTGCCTCCCTATCTCTGTCTCTATGTATCTGTCTCTGTCTCTCTCTCTTTATCTTTCCCCTTGCTGTCCTTACCCTGCTAAACTAGAGAAGGCTAACAGGTTTCAGTCCCCTCATTGTACCGATGGAACTTGGCTGTGCTGTGATGGCAGTCAGTGGGAAACAGAGCCTGTATAAATTTGTTAAAGGCCCAATTATATACAGTCTTTAAAGAAAAGTAGACAATTATTTTCATTACATAAAGCACATGGATTCTCACAGCAAATCAGACACAAAGTAGTAGCCTAGAGCCTTGATGCTGACTCTGATGCACAAATACGTCCTGTTAGCAATTAGCACATTAATTTGGTTCCAATGATGGCTATCAAAAGGCTTTGCCCCTTTGCAGGCTCTGCCAACGCTTTCCTCCCAGGGGAGGCCTAGCCCAGTCTAGGAGGCAGGAGCATTTGTGGATGTTCCATAGGAAGTTACTGTTATTCTGAGATATCTGCCTGCCCAGTCTACCTGCCTGACCTTTTGTTTAGCTGATAAGTGTAAACAGGCAAATAAGTTTGCTGAGCAACTTCTTAGCAGGGTAACCAAGGCCTCTGTGACCTTTTCTCTCACTTAAAACTTAGCTGGTGAGCCTCATCTACTGCCACTCTTCACCACCGGCCACCTGGGACTCTGGTGACATTGGACTTATTGCCATTGCTCAAACATGCTGCACATTTCTAGGCCTTTCTACAAGCTTCTCCCTTTGCTGGAAAAGTCTCTGCATCTCTTTGCCTGGTGCCCTCCAACTCAGGTTTCAAGACCCATCTCAATGTCACTTCCTCTGTGAATTCTTCTGAAAAATCTTAGCAGATTATTTTCTTCTCTGTGTTCCCCCAATCCCCTGTCTATCTTTCTTTTTCTCTTTTTCTTTTTGAGGTGGAGTCTCACTCTGTCACCCAGGCTGCAGTGCAGTGGCGTGATACCAGCTCACCACAACCTCCGCTTCCAGGGTTCAAGCTATTTTCCTGCCTCAGCCTCCTGAGTAGCTGGAATTACAGGCATGCACCACCATGCCCGGCTAATTTTTGTATTTTTAGTAGAGACGAGGTTTCACCACGTTGGCCCGGCTGGTCTCGAACTCCTGACCTCAGGTGATCCACCTGCCTCGGCTTCCCAAAGTGCTGGGATTACAGGCATGAGTACAGTATCATCACCTATTCTGTTTTGGGCAGGAACTGTGTCTTGTTCCTTATGTATTCTCTTTATCTTCTTCTTATCCCCCCGACCCCAGACCCCAGTGCTTTGCACAGTGATTGGTGCATGGGGGATTTTCAGTAAATGCCCACTAACAAGGTGAGTAGGGAATGCTCTCTTGGGGAAAGTCCTGGTTGAGAGCCTTGCTTCTCAAAGTGTAGCCCCCAGACCATCAGCATCAGGATACTTTGCAACATCTCAGATCCCAACCCAGACCTACTGAGTCAAAATCTGCATTGAATAAGATCCCCAGGTGTTTCTTATGATGATTAAAATGTGAGAAGCACTGTGAGATTTGATAGAAGGAGAGTAATAACTAAAAGAAAACAGAGCGTTCATGATCTTCTGTCTATTACAGGAACGAGCCTAAAGGTCAGAACAGGTTCAAATGCTCACGAAGAATGGGATACTCAGACTGTTCAGAGCAGCCTAGGAGAGCAGCTGGCTGACAGATTCCGCCTGGTCTCCCGATCATGTCTGTCCCATCAGGACCAAGCAGCGGGTGCCATGGCTGTGGGGTTTCACAGCCAATATAAAGCCAAGTGCCCTCAGAGCTGGCTCCTTGGCTGAAGTCGGCCAGCCAGTGACCAAAGCCAGCTTGTTACATCATCAAGCCAGTCTGTCCTAGAACTTTGCATCTGACTTGTTTAATCCAACTCTGATCCAAGTTCATAAAGAACACAAATCATTTCCACTAAATCCTCAGGTTTCTGTTAATTTGGCCAATGTCTTTTCTTATTGTATTCATATATTTTTAGAGAATGGAAGCAATTTTAGCTTAATTAATGCCATTATACATAGGAAAAGCCACAGCCATTTCCAAGAGATTGAAAAAGTCACTATGCTCCAAATCACATGCATTTCTCAGTTGGTCCAGGAGACAAAAAAGTCTTCTTTCTAATTAGTCATTTGTGGTGCCTTTTCCATTTGAAAATATTATTTCCATTTAGTTCTCCTGGGTCCAAAGTATTAGCACCCCTTCTCCATCTCAAAAAGAATTGGAATTTTCCAAGTTCACTCATCCACTCTCTGCTGCCAACTTTTCCTGAGGCAGGCCTCCAGGAAGCTGTCAGCCAATGTCAATGAGCAGACAGATGCGGAGAATTATCCAAAAGCTCAGATGCTGAAACCCCAGCTAAGTTACCCCCACCAGACCTCAGATCACATCCCCTGATCATGTGCCCCTATCCTTTGAACTCAATCCCACTGAAGTCACTTCTCTTTGACCTCAGACAGTTCTTCGGCCACGGGGTGCATCCCTTTAATCCCAGTGCAGCAGGTTCCTTCAAGCCTCTGTTCCTTTCATCCCAAGCCAGTCCCCCAATACATGATGGATCAGTGGAACAACTTTGTCCCCAGAACTCTTGATCCTTGTGCATTTATCTCTTTCTCCTGCATCCACTCAACAAAATCATATCCCTGGATGAACTAATAATCCATAATCCTATTTCTTTTCTTTTAGACCCAGCTCTGAGGCTAGCGGGGGCAAATCACACAACCATGATTAGCCTCATTATAAATCAGGGTTTGTCCTCAACTGAGCAATCACTGCTGCAAGGGAATATTTTTCCATGGCCATAGTGACCTTCTCCTCCAGTTTTCATCCAGCAGATAAGGCTGGACAGTTAAGTTGTAAATGAGTGGCAAGCTCAAAAAGTCTTGTACGACTGCAAAGAAACTGGCCAGCAAGACTTCTCGAATGTTTACATTCACCAGTCACTAAAATAAACACTTTCTGCTTTCCTCAAGCCTCCTAAATATTGTCATGTTTCTTGCCTATAGAAAACAACTTTGCTCTTACTTCCTTGAAAACATGGAGGCCATCAGAAATTAAATCTCTTAACTCCCTGACTCTGCCCTGCTATCGATGTATGAGTCTTCTCTGACCACTTCACCTCCAGGCTCAGAGGGGTCTCTCCTTCTGTTAAAGGTAAGCATTTCTCCCACACTCATACCCCTAAGTCCTTAATATGTCCCCTTCTGTCTCCTCATCGCTTTTTCCTTTTCTCTCCTGCTCCTTCATGCTCCTTTTCTCTAAGGTCTTCTCCAAACTTGAAAACACATTCAAATTGCTGCAGTATAAAAGAAAAAAAGATTCTCATAATTATTTTTTAAAACTCATAAACCTATGGCCTATAGTTTTTCTTTTTAAATCCAGCTTTATTGATGTATAATTAGTGTACAGAAAAACTGCACTACGGCACGTAATTAATGCATACAATTTGGTGAGTTTGGATATGCATATACAATCATGTTATCTTCCAACCACCATATCTTTCCCCCACTCCCTCCACCACTGTCAAACTCTTGGAAAGAGACATGTATGCTTATTGTTTCCACCCCTTACCAACCTCCCACTTGCTTATTAATCTACTCTACTGCTCTGGCCTCTACTCACTACTCCACAGAAAACCACTCACGTCAAGGTCAGCAATGACATCCAGATTGCTAAATCCATCATTAAGTCTCAGTCCTGTTTTTACTTGACCCCTTAGTAACACTGAAGACTGTTGGCCATGCCTTTCTGGAAACACTCTACTTCTTTGACTTACGATTTCTCTCCTCATTCTCTTTGGGGTTGCCACTTCTTTAACTATCTGTCAAATATTACACAACCCAGGGTTCCTTTCTTAAGGCTATAACTTTTTCCCTGGACAGTCTTCTCCACTATCAAGGTTCCAACCACCACCTCTAAGCTCAAGACACTTCTCCCCACAAAAACTTTTACTTGGAGCTCATAGCTCTCCTGACTTCGTAATGCATATAACAAACTATCCACACAACATCTCTAACTGCACATCCCACAGGCATTTCAAAGGCAGCAGAGCCAAACTGAACTCACCACCTCATCCTTACCCTACCCCATGCAACTTAACTGCTTCCCTGTGTTTCCTATTTCAGTGAATGATTGCATCATCCTCACAGTCACCGATGTAGTGACTTTGGGAGTTATCCAACTAATCTCCATATCCTGCTGATTTTTGTTTGATTTACATTTCTCAAGTCGATCCCTAGCTTTTCATCCCCATTGCCATTATATTAGTCTAGGTTCTCATTATTTTTTCTCTTAACTATTGCAACTACACCACAAGAAGTGGCCTACCAAGGTATGGGTTATTGATTGTAACATACTCATTTTAGTATCAGTGGCACTTTGGAGTCTGTAGGTAACTTAAAAGTAGAAAATGCAACTCTGACTCACAGATTTGTTGGCCATGTTATTGATTTCGCTTTCTCTGGATGAATGTCATGGGAGCTTGGGCAATGTCTCCAATCTATCTCCAAAAGAGAAATTCTGTAAATAACCCATATAAGAAAGAGAAAACTTCCTTTCCCTGTCATAACATTTTATAGCCCTTTCCAGGTTTAACCTCATGCCAACACTGTAATAACTCGCATTACATTTCTAGGAGAGAAGAGAAAAATCAACTGCTGCCAGAGTGAACTTTACCTTTACATTGCATATGTGATTCCTGGGGTGTCCCCTCTATCTTCTTGTGAATTCTCAACATTTTCTGACGTTTTTTAGAAAAGCACTGAAGGTACAAAACTTTACTGTATACCTTTGCACATACAGTGTCTCTAGGTCACCCTTTCATCTCTGGCCTCACTACTAATTCATTCCAAGTTATTAATTGATTGACTTACAAAGGTCCTGCATAATCTGGCCCCTGACTACCTCCCTGTTTGCATCTCTTACCATTTTCCTTGCTTTACTCCTTCCAGTTATACTGATCTATTTCCTGTTCTTTGAATAAGCTGCTTTCAACCTCAAGGCCTTTACACTGATTGTCTCATTTTCTTGAATTACTTTCATCCAAGAACTTTGTATGGTTTCTTCCTTCACATTATTCAAGTATGAGCTCAACTTTTAACCCTGGAGAAAGTCCTTTCCTAACCATCTTATACAAATTAGCATCCCCCTACCCCAAACATTATCCCATTACTGTGTTTTATTTCCTGCAAGCCATCATCATTATCAATATTTTTGTTTACTTTATTTATCTGTTGGCTTATTTATCATCTGTCTCCCCACACTACATTTTCAATTTCCTAGTGGCAGAAGCTGTATCAATCCTCTTCACCACTGTAGTACTGGAAGTTCAGTAGGTTATCCATAAGTGGTTGCTGGATGGATTAGTAAATGTCCACATGACATAGACCTGGTATATTAATCAAGGGAGAGGCAAAGGTAGAAGAATTCTAGGTCATCACAAGTTCAGTAAGTATTACAGTACAGGAGTCTGAGGAAACAATGGCAAAAATAATACAAAGCAGATAAAATGTAACTCCAGATCCTCTTCTCCCCAACAGCATATACACTTAAACCATGAACCCAGGGAAATGTTCTCTAATTCTGACAGAAGCCTCCCTTAGAACTTCGAAAATGTTGTTGAGGATGTTGTTCACTAAGTCCATCTTGTCCTCTTTATGAAGATCCCTAGAAGCAATTTCTTTCTCATGTATTACGTGAAATAGTTTTGCTTCTATGAGCCAGCGGTTGGTTTTTGTCTTTCGAACCCTGAGGATCATGTAAAGGAGAGTTTTTCTCCTAGAACCGGCTGCTAAAAAATTCCAGGCTAAGCCAAAAGTACAGAATCCCACAGCATGCGTGGTTTGCACAAACTTATCCCTGGCTCCATCTTTTTTCTTCTAATTTTTATTTTCCTTGAGCCCTGACACCCTGATCTTTAAAAAATCCAATTGTATCAAAGTTCTTTAAAAATTTTTACAAATTCAATTTTTAAGCCAGGAGAACTATGTAAAGAAAATACTCTCCTGAGCTTATTTGCCAGGTATACTTTGGTCCTCTGTTGTGACAGGAATGTCCTGTAAATGTAGCAAGTGGATGAAGCAGGAGCTTCCAATTGGTTGGTCTGGATCAGTCAGGGGGTCTTGAAATCTTTATTACTCACCAAGGCTATTTTTGGGAGCTCACCTTCCCTTCTGTGAGGACGGAATCTGAAACTGAGTCTGTAGCTAAGGGAAATCCCTCACTTGCTGCCCTGGCCCCTATCTGGTAACCAAACACTGGCAACGGTCTCCTCTCCCATCCATCCCACCATTAGACTGCAAGCCAAGGTAAGGACTACATCTTCTAGGCAATGGGGAGCTCTTGAAAAGTTTTATGAAAAGTTATCGTAAGGCATATTTCTCCGTCTGCAGGGTTAAGAGAACATTAGAGAGAAATAGGACTAGAATCAGGATGATTTACTAAAAAGCTGTTACAATAAGCTAGGCTAGAAGTAATAAGGGCTATATCAGTCAGGGTTCAACCAGGGAAAGAGAAGCCATTCCAATTTTTTTTTAGAGGATAAATGTAATGCAGGGAACTAGTTACATAGGAGATGGAATTACTGATGAGCCAAATTGCATACGATGAGTCAACCCAGAGATAAGTAACAGCAGGAAATCACTACCAGCCCTTGGCTGGAGAGACAAAGAATGGAACCAGGGTTTCCAGAATCCTGGGACAGGGTCACCTGGTGGAAACTGGAATCATGGAGTGTCTGTTGGTGGGAAATGGAATCACAGGGGAGACGGATGCAGTTTAAGGCAGAGAGAGGAACAAAATATATACCCTCCTGGTTTCCCCCTTCCTCTCACCCTCCAATCTCCCTCCAAGAGGCACAAGAGATTAGAAAATGCAGCCTGAAAAACAGAGTTGAGCAGAGGAAGGGTGATGAATAGCTCTGAGGGCAAATGGACCAGCATAAGGGCCTATATCAAGATGGTGGCAGTGGAGATGGAGATGAGAAGATGGAGTTAGAAGTTATTTAGAAGTGAAATAGGTGGCGTGGTGAGCACTTATTTCCAATTCTGATGACTGCTGGATTAATCATGGTACTCTTGTGTGGGAGTGTAGGAGATGAGGCTGGTTTGGGTCTTATTGAGGCTGAGATGCCTGTTAGGCCTCCAGGTAGAGGGACCTGGGAAACAACCATATACTTAGCTCAGAAGCTCAGGAGAGAGACGAGGCTGGAGAGAGAGAATGAATAATATTAGCCAGGGAGTGTATGATGACAGAGAGGAGAAGCTGGGAGGGTTTGGGGCACAGTCCTGAGGAGCACCCACACTTAATGGTTGGACAGAGAAAACTGAGGGGGATCAGCCGGTAATGAGAAGAGAGTCAGAAGAAAGTGATCTGTGAGAACATAGAGAAAAGAGTATTTCATGAAGGAAGGTTCTAGGTCTTCTATCTCAGTGATTTTGGACAAACCCAGTGCTCTCTTCTCCTATATTCCCTTTCTCCCTACCACCAGCCTCTGCTTGTCTCTACCCTGGCAGTGCCAGGCTTTACAAAGCCTTCAGTTTAAGAGCTTGTAAGCCTTGCTGCCACTATGGACAGTGTCAAACAACAAAAACTGAGCACCACTCCTCCTCTGTGCCAAGCAGCATGCTGGGTAACGTTAGGAGCCACCAAAATGGTTCTGAAGCAGTCATAGCCTTCTGAGATCCTGTCTGGTGGGCTAAGTGAAGTATCCGCATGCTAAGAGCTATTCTTACACAGAATCACATCCTGTAGGCCAGAGCATAAGAAGACATATATGTGAGGCCTCAGAAGGAGCTGGAGAGGGGCAGGTTTCTCCCAGTAGGTGCACCTCAGACAATGCTAAAGAAAGATGAGTCTGAGAGAGGAGGATGGAAGTGTTACAAAGAAAGCCCCGGAGGCATGGATGACGGAGAAATAGGGCCCGAGTTGGAGCTGGAGCAAGGGATTCAAGCCAGGGCAAGTTGAAGACCAGGAAGTAGGAGCAGATGGCTAGGACTGAGAATGGGATATGAGGATCTGAAGGTAAGAGGCCAACTGGCCTGCCCTTCTTGCATTATGGCCTGGTGTGCTGAGCATTTCCACATGTGCTTTTCTGCTAGAGCCACATGCGAACCCTAAGCTCCTAGCATCCTCGCTAAAGCAGCCCCCCACCCCCAGCACTTCCCACCGCTTTTCCTAGTGAATCTCCTTTGTAGCACTCAGCAAACAACGAATAATCTACTTTGGTCATTTATTTATGTATTCTAACCCTCCGCCCTCAATAGACTATGAGCTCCTTGAGACTTTATGTAACTGTCCCCTAGTGCCTGGAACAATCTAGCACAAAATCGGTGTGCGCTAAACATATGTTGACTGACCGAAGTTTAGAAAGGATTTGCAGGGTAGTCCACACTATATAGCTGGGAAACCAAGGCCCAGAAAGATGAGGTGGCTATGGCAAGGCTGCATAGGCAGCAAGGGGCCAAGCTGGAACTGGAATCGATCGAGGTATTCTGATTCTCATTTTGCCCCATCACCATGATGCCACAATTGCTTCTTCACTCCTAGCAGGAGACTCCAGGCCACCTAGAGAGGGAGGCTCATGTGCAGTGGCAGGAGCCCAGGCTTTGAAATCCAAGTTATGGTTCCAATCCTGGCTTTACTCCTTAGTGTCTGTGTGACTTGCAGCAAGTTACTTCACTTTTCTAGCCTCTATTCCTGAGCATGGTAACCTGGACCTCTCAAAACTTTTGGGAAGACTCATGAAGTCCACAGAAACACTGAGAAGAGGGCCCAGCCTCCCACCTTGTGGCTTTTGGTGGTAAGGAAAGATGAGTCTGAGAGAGGAGGATGGAAGTGCTATGAATAAATCCCCAGAGGCATAGAAGGCAGGGAAAACATGGCCTGGGCTGGAGCAGGAGTGACGGATTCAAGCCAAGTCAGTGAGAGGCCAGAGGCAGGAGAAGTGATGAGTGGGGCTCTCCATCAGGAAGACAAAGGCTGATCCTGGGACTTCTCAGGGTATTCCCCCTCCAGTCATCTGGGGGTCTATGAGACCACAAGGTCCTCTGCCTGGCCACTGAACTGTAGTAACCAGTGGCACTGACCCTGCAGGGGTGGAGAGAGGCTGGCAGGACAATCCACATAGCCTATGCAGACAGAGGGAGGGGCAATGAAAGAATAGTGGCACACTCTTAGAGGCACACATAGGCAGGTGAAACCACAGGGAACAGCCACATTTTCCCTGGATGATCCCAAGCCTGCCAGGCAATAGCAGCTCAGCTCTGCCATTGATGAATTTGCTTGTGATCTTCGACAAGATCCTGTTGTCTCTGGTCTTCAGTTTCCTCCATAGAATGAGGACCTCTAAGGTTCTTGCTGGTTCTGCCAGCTATTCTACTTGGCAGTAACAGATATTCCTTGCTCTGTACAGTGTTCTTTGTAAAGAACACGGGATACTCACAGCTGCTCAGGAGCAGAGCTCTGGCTGGCCCAACTGAGCCCCTATGCCAGTTGTGGAAAAGGTTTCACAGGGCAGTGGAAACATCAAAAGCCCCTTACCCTGGGCAAGACACTTTACCAAGTAGAACTCCAGGATTCTGACTTCCAAGAATGGAAATAGGAGCCTCCTTTTGCCTTTCTTCCAATACTATATATTAAAGAGCTTGGGAAACCGTAACGTGTTAGCTTCAATGTCTTAGTCCCCCCTTGGGGACTCAGTTTTTAGCAGAAATATGGGAATAGAGCAAGCTGTTAGACTGTCATCTATAAGTGCCTCACCACATTGTGTTCCTAATCCCCATGGTGCCGAGAGGATCACTGTGGCTGAGCTGCAATGTGGCAGAGCATGAGACTCTTGCATTTGGCAGTGGGCTTAGGGGCTGCTGGAAAAGAGAGTGCCAGAGAAACTAGTGGAAAAATATCTTCCTCACCAGGCTTACCAAGACTTTTGTCTGCAACACCCCAGTGCTCAGAGTGTGACTACAAGATGTCAAACAGCCTGTCACTTGTGGTTCCCATGTGGCACTTGGGTGAGGAAATAAAAGGTTACTGCCTTTGCGCTTGATGTGCCTTCCTCAGGAAACCTTTAGGACCAAAGTCCACATGTCTGGTGTATAAAGCAGACTAGATATTCTGCCTTAGTCAGGAAGCAGTACTTGGGTCATGCTAAGGAAGCAGCTGGGAGTTGGACAAGGTTGAAATTCCTGGATCATAACTGCAGAGGGATGAGTCACTCATCTGAGCCAGGGAGGCCAGGAAGGCAGAGCCAGACTTGGAGGCAGGCAGTGCACAAGAAAGGGAGGGACGTCCTGTGACCAGGCCAGCAAGCTGGCCTTCTATGACACTACCGATCTGGTTTTCTTCCTGGATACTGCCTGTGTGTGAGAATAACTGCCCCTCTCTGTGCCTACCTGCCTCTGTTGTAAGGGAAAGTGTTCATGGTTGGCAGATGCTCACTTCAGCTCAATGCGGGTCACTTTTACTGAAGGGATGGTTTGACAGCAAAATAATAGGAATAAACTTTTGGGGATGATGAATATATTTTGCACCTTCACTGTGGTTGTGGTTTCTTGGGACTATATATTTTTCAAAACTCTGCATTGTTTCTCAGTATTTTAGAGAAAAAGTAAGCAGAAAACTTATATCAGGGAGGAAATACATGACCTGAACAGCACCATTAACTACTCTGACCTAATTAAAATAAAAAAAAAAAACGCATCCAACAATAGCAGAATAAGCATTCCTCTTCAGTGTGCATGAAGTATTTACCAAGGTATATGGTATTCTAGGCCATCAAACAAACCCTACAAATTGAAAAGAATAGAAGTAATATAAAGCATCTTCTTAGACCATAATGTAATTAAGCTCAAAATCAAACACCATGATGTCTGAAAAATGCCCAAATATTGGAAATTTTAAAATATGCTCCTAAATGCCCTATGAACCAAAGAGGGAGTCTTAGGAGAATTTTAAAAATACATCAAGTCGAATGAAAATAAAATTATATGTACAGAAATTTGTGGGATTCAGCTAAAGTATTTCCTTGAGGGAAATTTATAGCATATTTTAAATGTTTATATTAGAAAATAGTATCTAAAATCAATAACCAAAACATCCACACTAGGAAACCAAAGAAAGAAGAACGAGTTGAATTTAAAGAAGGACCCCACCCCCATCCCTTCCCAAACTCCCACCTCTTCCCTCCTTCCTCCCTCCCCACCATCAGAGAGCACACAGACCCACACATCATTTTACAACAGGTTTATTTTATTTTGATCACCATGGGGTATACCCTGTTGGGTATAAAATGTACTCTAGACCCTGTTGGCTATTTATCTGGGGTTAGACCTCTGGAGACCTCTCAGCTTGCCCTGAAATTACTGACTGCTCAGGGAGACACTGAAGAAGGTGGAGGTCTCCTCACTGTTTTGGTCCAGCTGTGGCTCATTTTGATGGAGTTCCTCGTTCAGCTGGTCACAGTGGCAGGATACTGTTGGCCCACTCCCTTCCTCAGGTTTTCCTGAAGCGGTGGTCTTTTTGGGAGAGACGTTTTTCCTGGAACTTCCTTGAAGGGTTCCTTTTCCCTTCCTAGTTGTCTTGGGAATCTGGAATGACAACAGGGAGATCTCAGAAGGGCATTGGTTTGGGGAAAGAGGATGGAGAAGGGGCGGGAACAGGGGCTTCATGAGAAAGGCATGGGCTGAGGTGAGGGTTGTGCTAGGTGAGGACAGGGTAGGAGTCTTGGGAGGGAAGAGTCAGGGTCAAGAAAGGGAGGAGGCTAGGTGGTTCATTTATCTTGATAGGGCTTCTGGATCTAGGTTGAGAGGGGGCTTTCATCTTCCTCGCCATTTTGGTGATGGCTGGTGATTGTTCCAAAAGTGGGCTGGAGGCTCGTCGTTTCCTGGTCATCTTCGCCAGCGTCTCTCAATTGTCTATTCCAGGCTGCCTGGTCTCCCTATACATACCCCTCCCAGGACAATGACGAACGAGACCCCTGAGCTTTGATTGGTCAGCAAGCTACTACCTAGCCAATGGTTGCCCTGTCGTGGAGAAGGTCTTAGATGTCACAAACCGCCCTCAGGACATTGTCATGAGAGGGAGGGGCGAGGAGAGAGAGGAGGAGAGGAGGAAAGACGAGGAGGGGACGGGAGGATGAGGAGGAAGCCAGAGTGGTCTGGTTGAAGAAAAGAGGGGCATTTCTTTAGAACTGCTAAAGAGCTTTCCCAAACAGATAGTGCTGCTCCTTTCCTCCCATGTTCAACTGGGGTGGGTCACATGGCAGGGAGAGAGTATTTCCTCCAAGCTTTTCCCCCAGGTCACTCCATTTCAATGCTTCTTTCTGTTTTCTCCTGCCATTCACCATTATCTAGTTTTTTAAAAATTATTATTATTATTGTATTTTACCAGAAATCTCTCCAAGATAATCTGGCTGTATTTAAGTCTATGTGTAAATGTGAATCACCCTACTTCCCTCCTAAAAATTTCTCTTATACATCTTGAAGACCACTCACTTGGCTGCTACCAGGGAACTTTTCAATCTTACTTCCTTTTCCCAGTGTCCACAGAAGTCTCCTGGGGTTTCAGTTTTCCCCAGTCTGAAATCACTGCTTTCAGGCTGTCAAACTTCAGTGAATACACTTCCTCCACTGGATATCTTATGAATCTTGTTTCAACTGTGGGGTCATGCTCATCTCAGCAGGTGCAGTACCCATGTTTGGATTTTAACAGTGTAGGGTGAATGAGGCAGATTTTCACATGTCAGAAATCATGCAGGATGTTTGCATTGTAGAAAAATACAACCTAAGACTGATGAGTTCATGGAACAGGGTGGTGTTGAGTAGAATAGATCAACACTGTGCCTGTGGTTCTGTCCAGTGTAATAAGTTTTTTTTTTTTTTTTTCAAAAAAGGCCTTCAGATTGGAAAAAGACAAGTAGAACTGTCTTTATTTACAGAAAATAAGAGCATATGCAGATAATTCTATCAATCTTAAAAATGCTTCTAGAACTAATAAGAGTTTAGCAATGGCACTGGATATAGATCATTATACCTGTATTTTTATACTAGCAATGAGCAATTGGCAATTGAGACAAAACAATGCAATTTAAAATAAACATTAAATGGATAAATATGACAGAAGATGTATAAGATCTGTCCACTGAAAACTATAAAACATTACAGAGATAAATTTAATGAGAAACTAAGTAAATAGAGATATAAACTTTATTCATTAGTCAAAAGACTGAATATTAAGATGTCATTTTCCCTCAAGGTTTTTGGAAGATTCAGTGCAATCCAAATCAAATTCCAGAAATGTTTAAATAGAAATTGGGAGGCTGACTCTAACATTCATATAGAAGTGCAAGGGCCTTAGAATAGCCAAAGAAAACTTTAAAAAATAGAACAAAGTTGGAGGCGTTACCTTACTTCATTTCAAGGCTTATAAACTAACAATGATCAGTATAGTGTGGGACTGTCATAATTACAGCAATATATCAACAGAAGAGAATAAACTCCAGGAATGAATCAACATGTATATGCATCTATAGATAACTATTTATTGATAAAGATGCAAATGAAGATTAGAGGGGAGAAATGATAGTGTATTCAACAATTGGGTCTGGAACAATTGGATATCCATATGCAAAACTAAATTTCAATCCATACTTTATCTATCTATCTATCTATCTATCTATCTATCTAAAAAGGGAGAGAGAAAAATAAAGGTATTTTAAGGAATTGTCTCAGGTGATTATGAGGTCTGATACATCCAAAATCTATAGGACAGGCCAGCAGGCTAGAAACTGACACAGCGTTTTTATGTTCCAATCTTGTGGTAGAATTCCTTCTCCAGAAAACCTTGGTCTTTTAAGACCTTCAACTGATTGTATGAGGCACACCCACATTATGGAGGTAAACTGCTTTATTTAAAATCAACTGATTTTAAATGCTGATCACATCTACAAAATACCTTCACAGAAACATCTAGACTAGTGTTTGACCGCACAACTGAGTACTATAGTCTAGACAAGTTGACCCATAAAACTAACCATTGCACATGCCTTGCCCCATATAAAAGTGTAACTCAAAATGAATCATAGCCCTAAATGTCAAAAATACTTTTTTTTCTAGAAGAAAACAGAAGAAAAACTTGTTACCTGGGGTTATGTCTTAGTTAGCTTTGACTTCCATAACAAAATGCCATGGATTGTGTAGCTGAAACAACAGAAATTTATTTTTTTTCAGAGTTTTGGAGACTGAAAGTCACAGATAAAGGACTGGAGGCTGTAATTTCTTATTCCTGGCTTGTAGATGGCCCTTTCTCATTATGTCCATTCTTGGCATTTCTTCTGTGTATGTGCATGGAGAGAAGGAAGGGAGGAAGGGTGAGAGAGAGAGAGAGTTCTCATTTAAGCACAAGAGTGCTTTCTTGTGTCCCTTCTCATAAGCACACTAATCCTATGGGATCAAGGCCCCACCCTTATGACCTCTTTTAACATTCATTACTTCCTTAAAGGCCCCACCTCCAAATACAGAAATACTGGGGCCGAAAGCTTCAAAATATGAATTTGGCAGAGGACATAAGCATTAGCAAAGAATAGACACATAGATTAATAAAACAGGATAGGGCTCAGAAATAGACCTGCACACATAAAGTCAGGTGATTTACAACAAAGGCAATAATGGTAAAAGTATAGTTTTTCCAACAAATGCTGCCTGAACATTGGACATCTATACACACATAATAATAACCTAGACATATCCTTACATATTTCAAAAAAAATTAACTCAAAACACATCATAGACCTAATGCAAAATGCAAAATCCATACAACTTCTATACGAAAACATAAGAGTAAATCTACATAATTTTCAGTTTGGTGGTGAGTTTTTAAATTCAACACCAAAAGCATCATCAATGAAAGAAAAATTTGCCAAGTTGGACTTTATTAAAATAAAAATAGTATGCTCTTCAAAAGACAGTGTGAATAGAATAAAAACAGAAGCTACAGACTAGGAGAAAACATCTGTAGTATACATAAGTGATAAACAACTTGTCTCTACAATATACACAAATTCTTAAAACTCGATGATAGAAATAAATGAAAATAGTCAAAGATCTGGACAGACACTACACCAAAGAAGATATACAGATGGCAAATAAGCATAATAAAAGTGCTGAACGTCCTTTGTCATTAGAGAAGTGTGTACTAAAATGAGGTACCACTGTACACCTAATTAGAATGTCTACAATAATAATAAAAAAAGTCCATGAAGATATGGAGCAACAGAAACTCTCATTCATTGATGGTGAAAATGCAAAATGGTACAGGCACTTTGGAAGACAGTTTGGCATTTTCTTAAAAAACTGAACATAGTCTTACGATAAGATTCAGCAATCCTACTCCTAGGTATTGATCCAACTAATTTGGAAACTTACATCTACATAAGAAATTGTATATTAATGTATACAATAGCTTATTTCATAATCACCAAAAACAGAGGCATCCAAGATGTATTTCATTTGGTGAATGGATTAAAAAACACGTAGATTAAAAAAACAGAATAGAGCCCCAACATAGACCTGCACACATACAATCAAGTGATTTATAACAAAAGCAATAAAGGTGAAAGTATAGTTGTTCCAACAATTGGTACATGAACAACTGGGTATCTAAACAAAAATAATAATAATAACCTAGACAAATCCTTAGGTATTTCACGAAATTAACTCAAAATACATCATAGACCTAATGCAAAATGCAAAAACTATACAACTTCTATAAGAAAACATGAGAAAATTTACATAACTTTGTTTGTTAAAGAGCTTTTAAATTAAACACCAAAAGCAAAAGTAGCAATGAGCACACCTAGCACCCAGAAGTAGATTTCTAGAACCATTTCCCATTAAAAGGAACCAGATATTTGGAGAAATGGCTTATTTATGACTGGGGCAGGGCATAAACCTGACGAGCCTGGGCCATTTTGCAGCCCTAGAAATTAAGGGCTAGAGAATATGATAAAGGACATTACAGTGTTGCAAATCCAGACTATGGAAAACTGGAAAGAACATAAGATATGTTTCTTTCCAACAACGAAGCGATGGCAAGAAAACAGATCATGTGGAGGGGACCTACAGGTGAGAGAAGATTTAATTACAAAAAATCACTATGTAATACTATTTTTGGGTACTCATCCAAATAAACAAATTTTTATAAAGTATAAGTCTTCTAGATAAGTGCATAAAACAGTTGAACATTTCATAATCATTTATTTATTTTTTAGAAATGAGAATTGTATTGGGTTTTTATTTGTAGTGATTGTGACCCAGAGGTGACTACAATCACGGGTGCTGCAGCCACCCAGGGAACACCTCGCCTGGTACCTGCAGCCATTCTCTGCGAGGGGTACAGCTGGGTACAATGTCCTTGTCTTTTAAAAATGAATATTGAATTATTTAGAGATGAAATGGTATGCTGTCTTTGATTTGATCCACATTATTCCAGCAGCTGAGATGCAGGTAGGTGAGTGTCTAACTGGAACCAGATTTGCCGTGTATTTAAGGTTGTTGATGCTGAGCGTCAGGTATGCTGGGTTCATTATGTTAGTCTCTCTATTATTCTATATGTGTGAGGCTTCCCTGATAAAAAAACGTTTTTTGTCATAAATATCATGCCATTAAAAATGAAATCCTAAATGATCCAACTATTTTGTAGAAATAAAATAAACAAATGACCAAATTGATCCAAAAAGAAAACTTCAATTAAACGACACAAACTGAAACTATACAATATTCAAAGCTCAAGCCATCCTCAAACGTCCCAGGTTAGTCGGTTTCGGAGGCTGATTCCACCAAATGATCAAGGAAAACTAACCATCATCTTATCTCAACTCTTCAAAGCACGCAAAATATAGACAATTCTTCAATTCATTCTCCCAGATTAACCCTTCTGGATTCAAAAATCAGATGAGGACCACCCCCCACTCCCGATGGAAAAAACACATAAACAAGCTCTCTTACATAGCAGCAAATATCTTATGTAAATTAGTAGAATATTAAATGAACAAACAAGCTCTACCCAAGGAAAGAAAATATGATTTAACATTAGAAAAAAAAGTTTCATTGTAATTTTTTACACACAAAATAGAGGAGAAAAAATTTATCACATCAATGGGTACAGGAAAAGCTTTTGGAAGAAATTCAATATGAGTTCATGGTAAAAATATTTAGTTAACCTATATTGAAAGAGAACATACATTTCCTAAAATCAACAGCAAACAAATTTAAGAAGTTCAAAGAATTATCATTAAAGGCAGGAACACGAAGTAGATGTAGGCTATTATCTCTACGTTTTAAATCATCATTGAGACACAAAGTCAGAGCTATAAGTATCATAATAAATAAGGGGCATGAATATAGGAAAAATACATAATGTTTAGTGATAATACCCTTATCATTCTTGAAAATTCAAAGAAAAAGGCATGTGGAATATTCAAGTCAATGGGTTTTCAGAATGAGGTGTACAACAGATTACTATAGCAAAATCAAATTCTCTGCCACACAATAGCAATAACTATTAGAGTTAATTAATTTCCATTAATTAGAACAATTAATAGAAAATATGCCATTTGCAATAGCAACAAAATCCAAGAATTACCAAAAAAGAAGCCTAAGAAAAATGTGTAAGGTCTTTCTAGAGGAAACTATCAAAGTATACTGACAGATTCAGGTAAAAGGAGTTTGAAATAAGTAAAGGAGCATAACCTATTCATTGATCAGGAGCAGAACATTGTAAAAATGTCAATTCTGCTTAAATGATTTACAATTTAGTGTCTTACCTGTAGCTGCCAAAAATTACAGTCACACTTAGGCTGCTGTTCTCTGGTTCCCAAATCAACTCTGGAAAATTATAGAAGAGAAAAAGAAAGAAAGAAAAAACAACAATATAAGCAATAAAATCTAAGCAACAAAACACAGAAAGTCCTGGGTGAGACTGAGGACTGTGTTGAACTGGTACTTATGTTTGGGGCGGTGTCAGTTGGAGGGGGGTTGGCTGCAGGGATGTTGAAGTCTATAGCCTGCCTAGACGTCAGATGACAGAATGAATAGGATGAACATTTTAAAATCTCCACCTCACTGCACTGCACAATCTGAGGCAGCACCTCAAAACACGATTCCAGTAACCCTAGGGTAATAGCAGGACAGCAGGAAAATTGGGTTGGTTAAGGCAGTATGGTTCCGGAGATCTGCTAATTACAACCTGAAACCAACTTAGTGGATGAGGATTAGCATTATTATTATTATTATTATTAATATTATTATTATTATTATTATTGAGACTGTCGCCCGGGCTGGAGTGCAATGACTCGATCTTGGCTCACTGCAACCTCCGCCTACCAGGTTCAAGCGATTCTCCTGCCTCAGCCTCCCAAGTAGCTGGGATTATAGGCGCCCACCACCACGCCCAGCTAATTTTTTAATTTTTTTTCTATATTTAGTGAAGACAGTGTTTCACCCTGTTGGCCAGGCTGGTCTCGAAAAGAATTATTTTAACAGAACATAAACAATGGAATAGAAGTTGAATAGGGTATCAGAGTGAATCATGCAAACTAAGGGTAGGTATTCTTTCATAGAAATAAATATATATGTTGCTACCTATATATATCCTTGGAAGATATGTAAAATATATTTCTTTGAGGAAAAAAGGTTTCCAAAGTCCAGCTCTGGCTGGGGAGGAGCCCCCGTGGGAAGGCGTGCATCTTCTCACAGAGGTCACTACAATAACGGGTGCTGCAGCCACCCAGGGAACACCTCGCCTGGTACCCGCAGCCATTTTCTGCAAGGGGTACAGCTGGGCAAATGCTCAGAGGTGAGAGAAAAAGAGCATCTCCAACCCATCACTTCAACAAAGAGCCAGGACCCAGGAAGAGGACCCTCCTGAGTGAAGACTGAGGGTAAACCCCCGCTCAAAGAGGGGCCACAGAATCCAGCTTAGTCCCTCCTGTCAGCCCTGGAAGACCCCAGCGGCTTTGTCGCCCAAGGACACCTCTCCCCCCACTGTGACCTCAGGGGACTAGGAGTCAGAACCTTGGTCTGAGGGGAGCAGACACCATCCGCAGAGAACAGGGGTCCAGGCTATGCCAGGAATCAAAGGACTGAGGGGCACGCCTACCTCAACCCCTAACCCCAGGACCTCTCGCCTCCTCCCCCACCCCAACTCCCACCCTGGCCGAATCCGGTTCCACCCCTGCTGTCAACCCAGGTGGCCCGGATGTGACATCCCTGACTTGCGCATTGGTCTGACCAGCAACTCGAGATCCACGGAGGGAAGCAGGCGCAGGCTCTGTGAGGAGGCAAGGTGGGGGCAGGCTGTGCCAGGCGTCAAAGTCAGGACCCTAAGAGAGAGCTGAGGGTTCCCCACCCCCATTCCTATCCCCCACCCCATTCCCATTCCCTTCCACACTCCTAACCCAATCCACACCCTCATCCCCTACCAGCACCCCATCCTCCCCAACCCCGTGCCACCCTCATACCCCCATCCCCAATTCAACCCCCGCACCCTCATCCCCCACCCCACACCTGCACCCCCACCCCCCAACACCCATACCCCCATCCAGGCAGGATCCCCGGTTCCGCCCCCGCTTTCAACCAAGGAAAGCCCCAGCTGCCCGGATGTGATGCCACTGACTTGCGCACTGGGGGTTAGAGACAAGCGAGCTTCTGCGTCTGACTCGCAGCTTGAGACTGGCGGAGGGAAGCCCGCCCAGGCTCTATAAGGAGACAAGGTGAGATGCTGAGGGAGGACTCAGGAGGACCCCCACCCCACATAGACGACCACAAAAAATCCAACACCACCCCTGCTGCCAGCCCTGGGCCACTCCTGGAGACTTCTCAGTCTGTGGTGGGGGGGCCACCACCCCACTGCCACTTAAGCCTCAGGGGATTCTGAAGTCAGAGCTTGGGGTGATCAGTGCAAGACTGGTGGGGGCAGGCTCTGCCAGGCATCAACCTCAGGACCCTAAAAGCCAGCTGAGCGTACCACACCGCTATTCCCATCCCGCAACCCCATTCCCATCCCCTAACCCCTTCCCATTCCCATTCGCACTCACAAACCCATCTACACTCCCATCCTCCACCAGCTCCCCATCCTCCCAAACACCCCACCACCTTCATACCGCCATCTCCCACCCCCAAAAACCCGCCCCCTCCACCGACCTCACCCCTCCCACCCCCATCCACGCTGAATCGGGTTGCGCTCCCTCTTTCAACCCAAGAAAGCCCCAGGGGCCCGGATGTGATGCCACTGACTTGCGCATTGGGGGTTAGAGAGAAGCGAGCTGCTCTGTCTGACCAGCAGCTTGGGATTGGCGGAGGGAAGCGGGCCAGGCCCTGTGAGGAGTCAAGGTGAGACGCTGAGGGAGGACTCAGGAGGCCCCCACCCCAGATAGATGACCCCAAATAATCCCGCACCACTCCTGCTACCAGCCGTGGGCCACCCGTGGGCGGACTTCTGAGTCTGGGGCGCCCACCACCCCACTGCCTCTGAAGTTGCAGGGGACTCTGGAGTCAGAGCTTGGGTTGATTAGTGTAAGACTAGTGAGGGCAGGCTCTGCCAGGCATGGACCTCAGCACCCTAAGAGAGGGCTAAGCGTACCCCACCCCTATTCCCATCCCCCACCACGTCCCCTTTCCGATTACCATTTGCACTCCCAAACCATCCACGCCCCCATCCCCCACCAGCACTCCTCTCCTCTTCAACCCCCCACCTCTCTCATACCGCCATCTCCCACCCCAACAACCCGGGCCCTTCTACCAACCTCACCCCTCCCACCCCCATCCACACTGAATCACGTTCCGCTTCCGCTTTCAACCCACCCCCAAAAACCCGCCCCCTCCATCGACCTCACCCCTCCCACCCCCATCCACGCTGAATCTGATTTCCGCTTCCTCTTTCAACCCAAGAAAGCCCCAGGGGCCCGGATGTGATGCCACTGACTTGCGCATTGGGGGTTAGAGAGAAGCGAGCTGCTCTGTCTGACCAGCAGCTTGGGATTGGCGGAGGGAAGCGGGCCAGGCCCTGTGAGGAGTCAAGGTGAGACGCTGAGGGAGGACTCAGGAGGCCCCCACCCCAGATAGACGACCCCAAATAATCCCGCACCACTCCTGCTACCAGCCGTGGGCCACCCGTGGGCGGACTTCTGAGTCTGGGGCGCCCTCCACCCCACTGCGTCTGAAGTCGCATGGGACTCTGGAGTCCGAGCTTGGGGTGGTTAGTGTAAGACTAGTGAGGGCAGGCTCTACGAGGCATCAACCTCAGGACCCTAAGAGAGGGCCAAGCGTACCCCACCCCTATTTCTATCCCCCACCGCCTCCCCTTTCCCATTACTATTTGCACTCCCAAACCCATCCGCGCCCCTATCCCCCACCAGCACTCCTATCCTCAACCCCGCACCTCTCTCACACCGCCATCTCCCACCCCAAAAACTGGGGCCCCTCCACCAACCTCACCCCTCCCACCCCCATGGATGCTGAATTGGGTTGCGCTTCCGCTTTCAACCCACCCCCAAAAACCCGCCCCCTCCACCGACCTCACCCCTCCCACCCCCTTCCACGCTGAATCGGGTTTCCGCTTCCGCTTTCAACCCAAGAAAGTCCCAGGTGCCCGGATGTGATGCCACTGACTTGCGCATTGGGGGTTAGAGAGAAGCGAGCTGCTCTGACCAGCCGCTTGGGATTGGCGGAGGGAAGCGGGCCAGGCCCTGTGAGGAGTCAAGGTGAGATGCTGAGGGAGGACTCAGGAGGCCCCCACCCCAGATAGACGACCCCAAATAATCCCGCACCACTCCTGCTACCAGCCGTGGGCCACCTGTGGGCGGACTTCTGAGTCTGGGGCGCCCACCACCCCACTGCCTCTGAAGTCGCAGAGGACTCTGGAGTCAGAGCTTAGGGTGTTTAGTGTAAGACTAGTGAGGCCAGGCTCTGCCAGGCATCAATCTCAGGACCGTAAGAGAGGGCTAAGCGTACCCCACCCCTATTCCCATCCCCCATCACGTCCCCTTTCCCATTACCATTTGCACTCCTAAACCCATCCGCGCCCCCATCCCCCACCAGCACTCCTCCTCGACCCCCCACCTCTGTCATACCGCCATCTGCCACCCCAAAAACCGGGGCCCCTCCACCAACCTCACCCCTCCCACCCCCATCCACGCTGAATCGGGTTCCGCTTCCGCTTTCAACCCACTCCCAAAAACCCGCCCCCTCCACCGACCTCCCCCCCACCCCCATCCACGCTGAATCGTGTTTCCGCTTCCGCTTTCAACCCAAGAAAGCCTCAGGGGCCCGGATGTGATGCCACTGACTTGCGCATTGGGGGTTAGAGAGAAGCGAGCTGCTGTCTGACCAGCAGCTTGGGATTGGTGGAAGGAAGCAGGCCAGGCCCTGTGAGGAGTCAAGGTGAGACGCTGAGGAGGACTCAGGAGGCCACCACCCCAGATAGACGACCCCAAATAATCCTGCACCACTCCTACCTGCCGTGGGCCACCTGTGGGCGGACTTCTGAGCTTGGGGCGCCCACCACCCCACTGCCTCTGAAGTCGCAGGGGACTCTGGAGTCAGAGCTTGGGGTGTTTAGTGTAAGACTAGTGAGGCCAGGCTCTGCCGGGCATCAATCTCAGGACCCTAAGAGAGGGCTAAGCGTACCCCACCCCTATTCCCATCCCCCACCACGTCCCCTTTCCCATTACCATTTGCACTCCCAAACCATCCACGCCCCATCCCCCACCAGCACTCCTCTCCTCTTCAACCCCCCACCTCTCTCATATCGCCATCTCCCACCCCAACAACCCGGGCCCTTGTACCAACCTCACCCCTCCCACCCCCATCCACACTGAATCACGTTCCGCTTCCGCTTTCAACCCACCCCCAAAAACCCGCCCCCTCCATCGACCTCACCCCTCCCACCCCCATCCACGCTGAATCTGATTTCCGCTTCCTCTTTCAACCCAAGAAAGCCCCAGGGGCCCGGATGTGATGCCACTGACTTGCGCATTGGGGGTTAGAGAGAAGCGAGCTGCTCTGTCTGACCAGCAGCTTGGGATTGGCGGAGGGAAGCGGGCCAGGCCCTGTGAGGAGTCAAGGTGAGACGCTGAGGGAGGACTCAGGAGGCCCCCACCCCAGATAGACGACCCCAAATAATCCCGCACCACTCCTGCTACCAGCCGTGGGCCACCCGTGGGCGGACTTCTGAGTCTGGGGCGCCCTCCACCCCACTGCGTCTGAAGTCGCATGGGACTCTGGAGTCCGAGCTTGGGGTGGTTAGTGTAAGACTAGTGAGGGCAGGCTCTACGAGGCATCAACCTCAGGACCCTAAGAGAGGGCCAAGCGTACCCCACCCCTATTTCTATCCCCCACCGCCTCCCCTTTCCCATTACTATTTGCACTCCCAAACCCATCCGCGCCCCTATCCCCCACCAGCACTCCTATCCTCAACCCCGCACCTCTCTCACACCGCCATCTCCCACCCCAAAAACTGGGGCCCCTCCACCAACCTCACCCCTCCCACCCCCATGGATGCTGAATTGGGTTGCGCTTCCGCTTTCAACCCACCCCCAAAAACCCGCCCCCTCCACCGACCTCACCCCTCCCACCCCCTTCCACGCTGAATCGGGTTTCCGCTTCCGCTTTCAACCCAAGAAAGTCCCAGGTGCCCGGATGTGATGCCACTGACTTGCGCATTGGGGGTTAGAGAGAAGCGAGCTGCTCTGACCAGCCGCTTGGGATTGGCGGAGGGAAGCGGGCCAGGCCCTGTGAGGAGTCAAGGTGAGATGCTGAGGGAGGACTCAGGAGGCCCCCACCCCAGATAGACGACCCCAAATAATCCCGCACCACTCCTGCTACCAGCCGTGGGCCACCTGTGGGCGGACTTCTGAGTCTGGGGCGCCCACCACCCCACTGCCTCTGAAGTCGCAGAGGACTCTGGAGTCAGAGCTTAGGGTGTTTAGTGTAAGACTAGTGAGGCCAGGCTCTGCCAGGCATCAATCTCAGGACCGTAAGAGAGGGCTAAGCGTACCCCACCCCTATTCCCATCCCCCATCACGTCCCCTTTCCCATTACCATTTGCACTCCTAAACCCATCCGCGCCCCCATCCCCCACCAGCACTCCTCCTCGACCCCCCACCTCTGTCATACCGCCATCTGCCACCCCAAAAACCGGGGCCCCTCCACCAACCTCACCCCTCCCACCCCCATCCACGCTGAATCGGGTTCCGCTTCCGCTTTCAACCCACTCCCAAAAACCCGCCCCCTCCACCGACCTCCCCCCCACCCCCATCCACGCTGAATCGTGTTTCCGCTTCCGCTTTCAACCCAAGAAAGCCTCAGGGGCCCGGATGTGATGCCACTGACTTGCGCATTGGGGGTTAGAGAGAAGCGAGCTGCTGTCTGACCAGCAGCTTGGGATTGGTGGAAGGAAGCAGGCCAGGCCCTGTGAGGAGTCAAGGTGAGACGCTGAGGAGGACTCAGGAGGCCACCACCCCAGATAGAAGACCCCAAATAATCCCGCACCACTCCTACCAGCCGTGGGCCACCTGTGGGCGGACTTCTGAGCTTGGGGCGCCCACCACCCCACTGCCTCTGAAGTCGCAGGGGACTCTGGAGTCAGAGCTTGGGGTGTTTAGTGTAAGACTAGTGAGGCCAGGCTCTGCCGGGCATCAATCTCAGGACCCTAAGAGAGGGCTAAGCGTACCCCACCCCTATTCCCATCCCCCACCACGTCCCCTTTCCCATTACCATTTGCACTCCTAAACCCATCCCCGCCCCCATCCCCCACCAGCACTCCTCCTCGACCCCCCACCTCTGTCATACCGCCATCTGCCACCCCAAAAACCGGGGCCCCTCCACCAACCTCACCCCTCCCACCCCCATCCACGCTGAATCGGGTTCCGCTTCCGCTTTCAACCCACTCCCAAAAACCCGCCCCCTCCACCGACCTCCCCCCCACCCCCATCCACGCTGAATCGTGTTTCCGCTTCCGCTTTCAACCCAAGAAAGCCTCAGGGGCCCGGATGTGATGCCACTGACTTGCGCATTGGGGGTTAGAGAGAAGCGAGCTGCTGTCTGACCAGCAGCTTGGGATTGGTGGAAGGAAGCAGGCCAGGCCCTGTGAGGAGTCAAGGTGAGACGCTGAGGAGGACTCAGGAGGCCACCACCCCAGATAGACGACCCCAAATAATCCCGCACCACTCCTACCTGCCGTGGGCCACCTGTGGGCGGACTTCTGAGCTTGGGGCGCCCACCACCCCACTGCCTCTGAAGTCGCATGGGACTCTGGAGTCAGAGCTTGGGGTGTTTAGTGTAAGACTAGTGAGGCCAGGCTCTGCCGGGCATCAATCTCAGGACCCTAAGAGAGGGCTAAGCGTACCCCACCCCTATTCCCATCCCCCACCACGTCCCCTTTCCCATTACCATTTGCACTCCCAAACCATCCACGCCCCATCCCCCACCAGCACTCCTCTCCTCTTCAACCCCCCACCTCTCTCATACCGCCATCTCCCACCCCAACAACCCGGGCCCTTGTACCAACCTCACCCCTCCCACCCCCATCCACACTGAATCACGTTCCGCTTCCGCTTTCAACCCACCCCCAAAAACCCGCCCCCTCCACCGACCTCACCCTTCCCACCCCCATCCACGCTGAATCTGATTTCTGGTTTCTCTTTCAACCCAAGAAAGCCCCAGGGGCCCGGATGTGATGCCACTGACTTGCGCATTCGGGGTTAGAGAGAAGCGAGCTGCTCTGTGACCAGCCGCTTGGGATTGGTGGAGGGAAGCGGGCCAGGCCCTGTGAGGAGTCAAGGTGAGACGCTGAGGGAGGACTCAGGAGGCCCCCACCCCAGATAGACGACCCCAAATAATCCCGCACCACTCCTGCTACCAGCCGTGGGCCACCCGTGGGCTGACTTCTGAGTCTGGGGCGCCCTCCACCCCACTGCGTCTGAAGTCACATGGGACTCTGGAGTCCGAGCTTGGGGTGGTTAGTGTAAGACTAGTGAGGGCAGGCTCTACGAGGCATCAACCTCAGGACCCTAAGAGAGGGCTAAGCGTACCCCACCCCCATTCCCATCCCCCACCCCCTCCCCTTTCCCATTACTATTTGCACTCCCAAACCCATCCGCGCCCCCATCCCCCACCAGGCTCCTATCCTCCTCAACCCCGCACCTCTCTCACACCACCATCTCCCACCCCAAAACCCGGGCCCCTCCACCAACCTCACCTCTCCCACCCCCATCCACACTGAATCAGGTTCTGCTTCCGCTTTCAACCCACCCCCAAAACGCGCCCCCTCCACCGACCTCACTCCTCCCACCCCCATCCACGCTGAATCGGGTTCTGCTTCCGCTTTCAACCCAAGAAAGCCGCAGGTGCCGGAATGTGATGCCACTGACTTGCGCATTGGGGGTTAGAGAAAAGCGAGCTGCTCTGTCTGACCAGCAGCTTGGGACTGGTGGAGGGAAGCGGGCCAGGCCCTGTGAGGAGTCAAGGTGAGACGCTGAGGGAGGACTCAGGAGGCCCCCACCGCAGATAGACAATCCCAAATAATCCCGAACCACTCATGCTCCCAGCCCTGGGCCACTCGTGGGGGGACTTCTGAGTCTGGGGCGCCCACCACCCCACTGCCTCTGAAGTCGCACGGGACTCTGCAGTCAGAGCTTGGGGTGATCAGTGCAAGACTGGTGAGGGCAGGCTCTGCCAGGCATCAACCTCAGGACTGTAAGAGAGGGCCGAGGGTCCCCCACCCCCATTCCCATCCCCCTTCCCATTCCCATCCACACTCCCAACCCCATCTACACCCTATCCCCCACCAGCACCCCTATCCTCCCCAAACCCCCACTACCCTTATGTCCTCATCCCCCACCCCAACACCACTATCCCCATCCAGGTTGAATCGCATTCCGTTTCTGCTTTCAACCCAGGGAAGCTCCAGGTTCCTGGATGTGATGCCAGTGACTTGTGCATTGGGGGTTAGAGAGACGCTAGCTTCTCAGTCTGACAGGCAGCTTGGGATTGGCAGAGGGAAGCCGGTCCAGGCTCTGTGAGGTGGCATAGTGAGAAGCTGAGGGAGAAGTCGGGAGGCCCTCTCCACCCCAGATAGACGACCCCAAATAATCCGGCACCCCTCCTGCTTCCAGTCCTGGGCCACCCGTGGGCGGACTTCTGAGTCTGGGACGCCCACCACCCCACTGCCGCTGAAGCCGCAGGGGACTATGGAGTCAGAGCTTGGTGTGATCAGTGCAGGACTGGTGGGGGTAGGCTCTGCCAGGCATCAACGTCAGGACCCTAGGAGAGGGCTGAGTGTCCCCCACCCCCATTCCTATCCCCTACCCCTTTCCCATCTGCACTCCCTACCCCATCTGTACCCCCATTCCCCACCTGTGCCCCTATCCTCCCCAACCCCCCAACCAGCCTCATACCCCCCTCCCCCACCCCTACCTTCATCCCCATCAGCGCAGCATCCGGTTCCACCCCTGCTTTCAATCCAGGCAAGCCCTGGGTGGCCGGATGTGATGCCACTGACTTGTGAATTGAGGGTTAGAGAGAAGTGAGTTTCTGGGTCTGAAGGGTGGCTTGAGATCGGCAGAGGGAAGGTGGCCCAGGCTTTGTGAAGAGGCAAAGTGAGACTCTGAGGGAGGATTCAGGAAACCCCTATCCCTGATAGAGGGTCCCAGCCCTGGACTACCCCGCGGAGGCTGACTTCTCAGACTGGGCTGCTCCCCACCTCCGCCCCCTTCGCAACGCGTTTGTTTAAGCCACAGGGGACTCTGGAGTCAGAGGTTGGTGTGATCAGGGAAGGGCTGGTTAGGAGAGGGCATGGCCCAGGCCCTGCCAGGAATCAAAGTCAGAAACCTGAGAGGGAACTGAGGTCCCCCAAGATCCTAGTCTAACCCCCACTCCCACAAATCCGCTGCCATTTCGCTGCTCCATTTCCCATTCCTTGCCCTCCACCCTCACCAGGCAGAATCCAGTTCCCCTTCTGCTATCAATCCAGGGAAACCCCAGGCTTGGTGCTGGGATGTTTTTTGGGGGTCAGAGAATCAAGGGCATAGTCCTGAGGGGCCAGTTGAGATCGGCTGAGGGGAGCGGGCCCAAGCTCTGTGGCGAGGCAAGGTGAGACTCTGAGGAAGGACTGAGGAGGCCCCCACCCAAGATAGAGGAACCCAAATAATCCAGCGCAGCTCCTGCTGCCAGTCCTGGACCACCCGGGGGAAGACTTCTCAGGCTAGGCCATCCCAGCTCCCACTGCCACTAAAGCTACAGGGGACTCTAGAGTCAAGAGCTTGGTGTGCCCAAGGCAGGGCCCAGGCTCTGCCTGGCATCGGGGTCAGGACCTTGAGAGGGAACTGAGGGCGCTACACCCCCACCCCATCCGCATTCCAACATGCCCAGCCCCATCCCCAACTCCGTTTTGCAGAATCCATTTTTTCCCCTGCAGTCAACCCCGGGAAGACCTGGGAATGGTCAGGCACTCGGATCTTGACATCCACATCGAGGGCTGAAGGAGGGAGAGGGTTTGGTATCATGAGCAGAGCCTCAGGGTAGCAGAGGGAGGACCCTGGCCCTCCTGGGAGATGAGGAAGGCCTCAGGAGACCCAGCACCCCAAGGCAGGGAGCCCACCCCACCCCGTCTGAGAATGAGGTGCCTCCTCTTTTAGCCTCAGGAATCCAAGGGATGGCAACTCAGGTCAGCAGAGGGGTGGGTTCCAAGCCCTTCCAGGATCAAGGAAAGGAAGACGAGGGAGGATTCAGGGGGCCTTGCATTCCAGATCAGTGGAGACCTGGGCCCTGGGAGGTCCTGGGCAAGGTAGCCACCTGTAGCTCATACTTCCTGCATCTTCGAGGTCACAGAGAGGAGAGGGCTATGGTCTGAGGGGTGGTACTTCAGGTCCGCAGAGGGAGGAGTCCCAGGATCTACAGGACCCAAGGTGTGCCACACTTCACGAGGAATGGGGATACCTGTGGCTCAGAAAGACGGGACCCCACAGAGTCTGGCTGTCCCCTGTTCTTAGCTCAGGGGGGACCAGAGGAGGGATGGCCCTATGTGCCAATTTCACTTGTTCCACAGGCAGGAAGTTGGGGAACCTTCAGGGAGATGAGGTTTTGGAGTAAAGGGGCAATGTTTGCTCATCTCAGGGGGTTGGGGGTTGAGGAAGGGCAGGCCCTGTCAGGAGCAAACATGAGTACCCCACAGGAGGCCATCAGAACCCTCACCCCAGAACCAAAGGGGTCAGCCCTGGGCACCCCACACAGGGGTGACAGGATGTGGCTCCTTCTCATTTCTGATTCCAGATCTCAGTGAGGTGAGGACCTTGTTCTCAGAGGGTGACTCAGGTCACCACAGGGACCCCCATCTGGTCTACAGACACAGTGGTCCCAGGATCTGCCAAGAGTCCTGGTGAGGAATGTGAGGGAGGATTGAGGGTACCACAGGGCCAGAACGCAGATGATGACCCCACAGAAATCAGCCCTGCTCCTGTTGTCACCCCAGAGAGCATGGGCTTGGCTTTCTGCTGAGGTCCCTCTCTTATCCTGGGATCACTGGTGTCACGGAGTGGGAGGCCTTGGTCTGAGGGGGCTGCACCCAGGTCAGTAGAGGGAGGGTCCCAGGCTCTGCCAGGAGTTGAGGTGAGGACCAAGCAGGCTCCGCATCCAGGACACATGGGTTCCAATGAATTTCGACATCTTTTGCTGTCGTTCTTCGGAAGACCTAGGCACAGGTGGCCAGATGTGGGGTTTCTTAGGTCCTGTTCCCTCTCAGGCATGTGAGCTCTTGATCTGAGTTTCTCAGGCCAGCAAAAGAGTGGGATCCAGGCCCTGCCTGGAGAAATGTGAGGGCCCTGAGTGAACACAGTGGGGATCATCCACTCCATGAGAGTGGGGACCTCACAGAGTCCAGCCTACCCTCTTGATGGCACTGAGGGACCGGGGCTGTGCTTACAGTCTGCACCCTAAGGGCCCATGGATTCCTCTCCTAGGAGCTCCAGGAACAAGGCAGTGAGGCCTTGGTCTGAGACAGTGTCCTCAGGTTACAGAGCAGAGGATGCACAGGCTGTGCCAGCAGTGAATGTTTGCCCTGAATGCACACCAAGGGCCCCACCTGCCACAAGACACATAGGACTCCAAAGAGTCTGGCCTCACCTCCCTACCATCAATCCTGCAGAATCGACCTCTGCTGGCCGGCTATACCCTGAGGTGCTCTCTCACTTCCTCCTTCAGGTTCTGAGCAGACAGGCCAACCGGAGGACAGGATTCCCTGGAGGCCACAGAGGAGCACCAAGGAGAAGATCTGTAAGTAAGCCTTTGTTAGAGCCTCTAAGATTTGGTTCTCAGCTGAGGTCTCTCACATGCTCCCTCTCTCCGTAGGCCTGTGGGTCCCCATTGCCCAGCTTTTGCCTGCACTCTTGCCTGCTGCCCTGACCAGAGTCATCATGTCTTCTGAGCAGAAGAGTCAGCACTGCAAGCCTGAGGAAGGCGTTGAGGCCCAAGAAGAGGCCCTGGGCCTGGTGGGTGCACAGGCTCCTACTACTGAGGAGCAGGAGGCTGCTGTCTCCTCCTCCTCTCCTCTGGTCCCTGGCACCCTGGAGGAAGTGCCTGCTGCTGAGTCAGCAGGTCCTCCCCAGAGTCCTCAGGGAGCCTCTGCCTTACCCACTACCATCAGCTTCACTTGCTGGAGGCAACCCAATGAGGGTTCCAGCAGCCAAGAAGAGGAGGGGCCAAGCACCTCGCCTGACGCAGAGTCCTTGTTCCGAGAAGCACTCAGTAACAAGGTGGATGAGTTGGCTCATTTTCTGCTCCGCAAGTATCGAGCCAAGGAGCTGGTCACAAAGGCAGAAATGCTGGAGAGAGTCATCAAAAATTACAAGCGCTGCTTTCCTGTGATCTTCGGCAAAGCCTCCGAGTCCCTGAAGATGATCTTTGGCATTGACGTGAAGGAAGTGGACCCCGCCAGCAACACCTACACCCTTGTCACCTGCCTGGGCCTTTCCTATGATGGCCTGCTGGGTAATAATCAGATCTTTCCCAAGACAGGCCTTCTGATAATCGTCCTGGGCACAATTGCAATGGAGGGCGACAGCGCCTCTGAGGAGGAAATCTGGGAGGAGCTGGGTGTGATGGGGGTGTATGATGGGAGGGAGCACACTGTCTATGGGGAGCCCAGGAAACTGCTCACCCAAGATTGGGTGCAGGAAAACTACCTGGAGTACCGGCAGGTACCCGGCAGTAATCCTGCGCGCTATGAGTTCCTGTGGGGTCCAAGGGCTCTGGCTGAAACCAGCTATGTGAAAGTCCTGGAGCATGTGGTCAGGGTCAATGCAAGAGTTCGCATTGCCTACCCATCCCTGCGTGAAGCAGCTTTGTTAGAGGAGGAAGAGGGAGTCTGAGCATGAGTTGCAGCCAGGGCTGTGGGGAAGGGGCAGGGCTGGGCCAGTGCATCTAACAGCCCTGTGCAGCAGCTTCCCTTGCCTCGTGTAACATGAGGCCCATTCTTCACTCTGTTTGAAGAAAATAGTCAGTGTTCTTAGTAGTGGGTTTCTATTTTGTTGGATGACTTGGAGATTTATCTCTGTTTCCTTTTACAATTGTTGAAATGTTCCTTTTAATGGATGGTTGAATTAACTTCAGCATCCAAGTTTATGAATCGTAGTTAACGTATATTGCTGTTAATATAGTTTAGGAGTAAGAGTCTTGTTTTTTATTCAGATTGGGAAATCCGTTCTATTTTGTGAATTTGGGACATAATAACAGCAGTGGAGTAAGTATTTAGAAGTGTGAATTCACCGTGAAATAGGTGAGATAAATTAAAAGATACTTAATTCCCGCCTTATGCCTCAGTCTATTCTGTAAAATTTAAAAAATATATATGCATACCTGGATTTCCTTGGCTTCGTGAATGTAAGAGAAATTAAATCTGAATAAATAATTCTTTCTGTTAACTGGCTCATTTCTTCTCTATGCACTGAGCATCTGCTCTGTGGAAGGCCCAGGATTAGTAGTGGAGATACTAGGGTAAGCCAGACACACACCTACCGATAGGGTATTAAGAGTCTAGGAGCGCGGTCATATAATTAAGGTGACAAGATGTCCTCTAAGATGTAGGGGAAAAGTAACGAGTGTGGGTATGGGGCTCCAGGTGAGAGTGGTCGGGTGTAAATTCCCTGTGTGGGGCCTTTTGGGCTTTGGGAAACTCCATTTTCTTCTGAGGGATCTGATTCTAATGAAGCTTGGTGGGTCCAGGGCCAGATTCTCAGAGGGAGAGGGAAAAGCCCAGATTGGAAAAGTGCTCTGAGCGGTTCCTTTGTGACAATGGATGAACAGAGAGGAGCCTCTACCTGGGGCAGGAATGGAAGGTGTCTTGCGCTTTTGTCCCAGTGTTGTTGAACACAGTGCATGAGCTAGGTGATGGACACCCGTTATTTGCAAGGGTTTCCTGTGAGATAAGTGTATGTCTCCCCCAAAAGGGAGACCCAGAAGCCACTGGCCAGGTGCTTTTCTACCTGGCTGGGAGAACCAGAACTGACTATTAAAAAGGCATTCTAATTAGGTTATCTCAAGTGCAATTTGACCAATTGTAAGCAGGGGCTAGATTTTGGGTGGTAACAAAATGAAAATAGTGGTATGGATGGAAAAGCAGCTGGGAGCGAGGGAAGGAGTTGGTCTTTGACTCAAATTCTAGGAGCTTTGAGCTGCATCTGGCTGGGGAAAACTCCCACACACTCAAATTTTGAGGCACATTCTCTAAGTGGTAATTCTTACTGAATTTTATGGACGAAACTTCCTTTTTTGGCTAATTATTCCATGCCCTATTGAGCTGTATATTCTCTGATCAACAACAGCAACAAAATCCCAGAATGCTAGGGTCTGGGGTCAAATAATACTAGAAGTAACAGCCATCTGCCTTTCCTTAAACTTCCAATTTAATTCCATTCCCTGAGCCAGGTGCTTCACGTACATTGCACACACTCCAACAGTCCTACTAGACAGGGCTTATCAAATCTGCTTACAGATGAAGAATTCAAGGCTCACAGGGCTTGTGAACTTGGACATAATAACAGAGTATTTCCGGGGTATCCCCAGGATCATGTGTCTAGTAAGGAACAGGGCTGGAATCAGACTCCTGCTCTGAATTCCTTTAGAGCCCATGCTGTTCCCATTCCCCCCAGCCTGAGGTTGACCTCCCGACTGGTACTTTATTTCTCTTCTCAGCACTGCACCATGTCTCTCAGGTGACAAAAAGAAGGACCTTGAGGCCAACATTACTAAAAGCAGGCTTGGAGAAGGTGGCAATGAGAATCAAACACCATTCGGGGCTGGTTTGCGCTGGGTTCCTTGACAGCTGAGTCTCCCCAGGTGTGGGCATTTCTGTCCGGTCTCAGCACTTTCTGGAACTACAGCGCATTTCCTCTGGTCACTTCCATATGGTCCTGTCTGACTCTGGAACCTTCCCTGCTGACCACCTTGTCACTGGTCCCCACAGAACAGCCCAAAATCACCTGCTCACCTCTTGACAGGGAGCATTCTGGGACAGTAGAAGTCTTCTGGCTGTCCCATCTCTCACCCAGGAAGCCGTGTGATAATAAGCAAACTTTTTGATATAAAATTCACATAGGGACAGTGGCTTTTAGACAACTGGGTACCACTCTGGTTATCTTCAACACAGTCTCCAAGTGTTTTCCGAATGGGTTGAGTAGAGTCTGATTTGCCATATTATCCATCAGTTTTTGGCATGTCACCCCGAAGTTAATAGGGGTTTGGAACCACCTTGATACTTGAAATTAGACTTTAACCGGGTGTTTTATTTGGAATCCAGCTCTGAACACATACACAGATGAATGCTTTAAAACCAAAGCCTCCCTCATGAGTATTAGGTGGGGAAAAACTTTGAAAATCCTAGTGGAACAAACATCTACATACTGAGGCTGAATTCCTAAATGCCTATAGTCTCCCAGGAGGTGAAAAATGATTCCTTGGAATACATGTCAGCTCCGATGAAAAAGGAATAATTAAGCAGCCTTCTACTGCCTCTTGGATGCTTAACTGCCCCATGGAAAAATACTGGCTTTCAGTGTGCCTAGAGGCACCCGACAGGTGTTCAGGCATGTGGAGGGTAGCAGAGACTCACAGGTTAAGATTTTAACCAGGAATCAAATGGAAGAAAATATTTTCGGTGTACTTGGAGCTAAATGAGAAGAACTTATGAACACAAATAAGGAAATAACAGACACTGAAGTCTACTTGAGGTAGGGAGGGTGGCAGGAGGGAGAGGATCAGAAAAGATATCTATTGGGTACTGGGCTTAATACCTGGATGATGAAATAATATATACAACAAACTCCTGTGACTCTTATTTATGTATGTGACAGACCTTCACATGTACCCCCAAACCTAAAATAAAAGTTAAAAAAAATAAAGGGCATTGCAAAGGGAGGCCTTCCTGCTGAGACTTTCAAGATTCTGGACAGTTGTGATCCTACATTTGAAAGTATCAGTCACATATTAGGCACTTGAACAATCTGGAGAACTTCAAGGCAAATTTGACCTTCTCAGAAACTCCTCCTAGAAATGAGCTGGATCGTGTAACACCGAATTATAATATGAATAGTTGCCTTTTATTAAGCACTTTGTAACAGTTTATGGGGGAGACTACAGTACTCACCCACACCTTGTCTTCCTCTCTTTCCTTGACAAAGGAACAGCACAGTTCACCTGCAGTTAGGAAGAGTAGTGTGACGACTCCTCACCACTGAAACATGAGCAGAAGCGTTGTCTGTCACATCCCGGCATGTGAGAGCCAATGTGCCATTTCCATTCTTTCTCCCTCCTTTCAATGGCAAACATGGCAGCTTCAGCTTGAGATGATGGAATCACAAGGTGGAAGTAATATGGATCCCCAGGTCACGTGGGAGTGGAGAACCTCTGCCAAGCCACATCAGAACTTAGGTGTGCATAAAATAAACTTCTGTTGTGTCAAGCCATTGAAATGTCAGGGTTTGTCTGTTGCATCAGCTAGCAGTTACTTTAACTGACACAGCTGCTATTTCTGCTGTTAGATGTAAATATTTTTTATTTAAAAAGTAATAGTTTGTATATTCTTATTGCAAAAATTATAGAAATGTAGATAATTTACAATTTTAAAGTTTGCAAAGCTCTTCCACGGTTTAGCCCCCTCCTCAGAGGTCCCACAATTAACCATCTGGTGTGTATTATTTTAAAGCTGACCCTAGGCTCTTCACTGACACATAAACTTTAACAATATATTATTTTTATTTAATATAAGACAATAATGATGTACATATTGATCTGCCACTAGTGTTTGTCCCTTCATAAAATGGATATGGGATCTTTCCACAACAGCACATATATACATCTATCTCTCTTTTGATACCACTTTCTATAATTCTGAAGTACGCATGCACCATAATTAATTAAACTCTTTCTTCCTAGTAAACACATTATTTACCATTTGGTGTATGATAAACCGAATAAAATCAATATCTTTGAATATGAATTATTGAGCAAACATGAATGTTTTCTTATAAGAAATGTATTAACATGGACATTGGGTTAAAATGAAAAGGTTGTAAATAGTTTAACATTTTATAAATATTTTTTAATTTCATTACAAAAAATGCTGTACCAATTCACATTCTAATAAAAATCACAGATTATTTAAAATTCTGAAATGTGGACAGGACATTTCTACTTTGCTTTGAGAAGGATTTTGGTCAGACTTAACAGGAGCCAGGGAAGTGGAGCAGGGAGGACACCCTCAGCCCATGAGGGTCATTGGGAGGATCCAGGGGAGAGCAATTGCCAGGGTGTATGAGAGAGACCACATGTGAAACCAAGTCCACAGAGCCCCAGGCAGGCTGGTACTCAGTGCTCTGAATCCAGAGTTCAGCCCAGTGGGGTCAGGAACCTGAGGAAGAAAAGTGGGAAGGGAAGAGGGAGAACAGGACAACCAACAGGATTAGATTTGGGAAATCGGGCACCATCATCACCAATTGGACTGGGCCCTGTGATCTGAATGTGCAGGCCTTTTGGCTGAATGCATCAGCCGCGTGCAGGACACCACACCCTCCCTCAGAATTTCCTTCCCTCTGTCAGGAAGCATATGGCTGGCTTCCTGCATCTTTCTGGGCAAGCTGCCTCTCTTGACGATTCCAGTGGTCCTGTGCAAAGTCTGCAGCATTCCAGGGCTGGGAGCTGTCTTCATGCCTGCTGGGGGCTGGTGTTTTATCCCCTGGGGACCCTTCACCAAAGCTGGGCTATGTGAATGGGTTGGTGACTGATGACCGAAAGCCAAGATGGGCCAGGAATGCAGTTGAAGGTGGCAGTGTGGCTGCATGGAGGGAAAGTCGGAGGAAGAGTGCCGCGGGACTAGTCTGCTCAGACTCTGCACATGAAGCACTGTGTGGGGAAGTGCAGTGAAAGCGATCCAGGTGGTGAACATGTCTCAGATGGCTTCCTGTGTCTTCTGAGCTCTTGGACCACAAGGGGCAGGTGTCCTGAAGCTGTGACCGCTTGCCTATTTTGCCTCCAGACACTGTCTAGGGTAGAGGGCTGGCCCAAGGTGTGGACATGGGCAGGTTGGATGGAAACTCAGTAGAGATGGCACAATCCCTTGTTAAACTGACAGGGATGTACAGGGTCCAATGCATGAAGCATCATGCACCATCCTGTTGGGAGCATCCTCATCTCCATGATGGTGTTTGGGCCTGGGAAGGAGGCATCCACAGTGACCCTCTCAGTGGTAGTTTCCATGGAAATTTTGAACTCAAGCAATCATAGGTGAGGGAAGTGTATGTTTCCTCATGGAGGCAGGAGGCCTAGGTGGGGTCAGGCTCTGAAATTTAAATCAGTGATTTCATTGATGCCTTGCCTGGTAATTTCATTCATTCATTCATTTGTTCATCCAGCAAACATTTATTGAACACATGCTGAGGACACACCAAGTCAACAATACAAAAGAAAGTGGCAAGCCCCTTAATTCATTCTGTGAGGGGTGTGGAGAAGATGGTGAGGTGGAAAGACATGTGAGCGTTTTAGGAAGTGAGGGACTGTGAACTGATGGAGAGAATTGCTATTGATCTGACTTCTGAGGTTGTGCCTAGGTGATGCTATTCCTTTAGTTGAGAGTAAGGTGCAGGAGGAAGAGTTGGTGTTGTTTTGGTGGGGAAGAGTGTGGAGATGAGGTCCGTGTGCACTATGTAGTCAGGGAGGTACTGTAGCCTGTCCAGGTGGTGCTATCAAGTAGGCAGTAGAGAAAGGGGTCTGTCTATCTGGTTGGGGCCAAGACTGGATATTAGGTTGGCTGCATCACGAGAAGTAATTTGAGGCTATAGGCTTAAGTAAAATCAAGTGATTATTGTGTAGATACTGGCTTACATGCTACATGACGCCATTCCATTTCTTGCAAACACATTTATTTGGTAACCAAAGTTACACAAAGTTTAATAAAGGAAGGAAGCGTACAGGAGGCTTGAAAGGGAGAGAGAACACTTCCAGAAATCCAAATAGGGAATGTTTCCTATATATGTGTGTATACATTTGTGTATATACATATTTGTGTATATATACATATATACAAAGATATATGTATATCTTCATGTATACACGTGTGTATATGTACAAATATATGTATATATTTGCATATACACATATAAACATGTATATTTGTTATATATGCATATATAAACATATATACATATACATATATGTATATTTGTTATATACATGTGTAAACATGTATATAAACATGTATATTTGTATATATATAAACATGTATATTTGTATATAAACATGTATATTTGTATAAAAATACATATGTGTATATGCATTTGTGTGAATATATATAGTTGCATATGTGTATATGCAACTACTTATGTGTATATGCCCATACGGGTATATGGGCATATGGGTATATGTGCATATGCATTTGTGTCAATATATAGTTGTATATATGTTTCAGCTGTCTCATGTTGTATATAGATTTATATATCATCCTTTTTTTTGAGACACAGTTTCTCTTGTCCAGACTCAATGGCACGATCTCAGCCCTCTGCAACCTCCTCCTCCCGGGTTCAAGAGATTCTCATGCCTCAGCCTCCTGAGTAGCTGGGATTACAGGCATGTGCCACCATGCCCAGCAAATTTTTGTATTTTTGGTGGAGACAGGGTTTTGCCATGTTCTCCAGGCTGGTTTCAAACTCCCAACCTCAGGTGATCTGCCCACCTTAGCCTCCCAAAATGCCTGGATTATAGGCATGAGCCACTGTGCCTGGCCAGATTTATATATCATCCATTTTCAATGTCATATATGCTATATTATGTTACTTTTAGTGCTCTTGGCATCTGTTGTCCAAGATTAAGTGTATAACTACTAATACCCAGACACTTATCTCCTATAAGAGTGTGCTGTTTTTGGCAGCTGGCAGCTCTACCATAACTAAATAAAGATTATCATGACAAACAGAACAAGGGGCAAGAAGCAATCTGGAGTCGAAGTACCTGGGGGTCAGTACTTCATGATGTATTTTGTATCTAGTTGGTGGAAAGTGGTTGTCAAAATTTTAGATGTGGAAACTCTTACTCCAACAGAAGCCTTCCACAGAACTCCAGTCCATGAACATGAGGAAGACAGAGCAGTGTGGATGAAGCGAGGACTCATCCCATAGTCCTGTCTACCCAGCACCTTTTTTTCCCTCAGAGCATTGGGCCCTGACACCCCTGAGCACTACTGGAGCAGTTCTGTGCAAAAGGCCCTTCCCAGACACGGACTTTCTCATGCCCTCACACAGGCATCTATCTGTGTGGATGCCATTCTGTCTGCCACACAGAATCTCAACTTTGTTGCCAGGCACTGCCAAAAACTTGTGACCTCCCAAACTCTCCATTCTCTGTATATGCTACAATTCCATTTCTGGTTTCCCAGGCTCCTCATTGTGTCCCCCCACCCCATCCCCTGACCTAAACCCACATAGATACACACTGTCCTCCTGCTCACTCATGTATTTTTTATTGTCAGCATGGGACTCACTCCCCTCCCTCCAACTCACCATTCCCCTTTGCTCACTGCAAGCTCTGCCTCCCAGGTTCACGCCATTCTCCTGCCTCAGCCTCCTGAGTAGCTGGGACTACAGGCGCCCACCACCACGCCTAGCTAATTTTGTTTGGTTTTTTTTGTATTTTTAGTAGAGACAGGGTTTCACCATGTTAGCCAGGATGGTCTCCATCTCCTGACCTCGTGATCCGCCTGCCTCGGCCTCCCAAAGTGCTGGGATTAGAGGCGTGAGCCACCGCACCCAGCCGGGCATTTTTACTTTCTTTTGAAAGTATTCTCAGATCACGTTCAACCGTCCTAAACAAGAGCAAAGAGCTTGGTACGTTTTACTTATGTATGTTGCCTCTGCTCCCCCAACACAGCACATAATCATCTTTACTGATATTCAGATTGCCTAATCTCAACTAAAGTCTATTAAAGATGTATAGCTTAATTCCCTTCAAGAACACAAGATGAAGGGATTCCTATGAGTTCCTTATTTAACAGAGAAGAGTAATTTGGGTGTGGAGTTCACAGATTCCCTCCAGTGACACTGTGTTCACACTTTAAATGATGAGTGGTATTTAAACGCCTGACATATATAGGCCCACCTGGCTACTGTGCTAGGGCCTTGGGTACAAAAAGGAAGCAAGCTGACCACTGGAACTCAGAATAGTCAAACACATGAAAACCAACAATTTACTTCCATTTCTCCCTTCTTAGCTTTTCATCTATTGTTGAGACACATTTTATTCCTACATGTGTTATATACTTCACAATACAGTACGTTTTTTGCTTTAAACAGTCATTTTAAAGACATTTACATAATAGAGAAATTATATTTATCCATAAAGTTGCAAATCTTGATGCTCTTCATTCCTTTGTGTTAGTCCAGATTTCTATTGGTATCATTTTCTGCCTACCTGGAGGACTTTCTTTAACATTTCCTGTACTGCATTTCTGTTGGTGATTGATTCTGAAAAATACTTTATTTCATCTTTGATTTGAAACGTATTTTCCCTGGGATGCCAGTGAATGTCAGACATTGTGGATTTTAGGTTCACTATTTTTCTTTCAGTGCTTTAAGGATATTGTTCTGCTTTTCTCTGGCTTTCATTGTTTTTGACAAGAAATATGCTGTTGTCTTTATCTTCATCCATATGTAGGTAAAATACCTTTTTTGCCTCTTTCTACTTTTAAGATTTTCCCTTTATCACTGGTTTTAAGCAATTTTATTATGAGGTGCTGTACAGTTTTCTTCATATTTCCTGTTCTTGGGATTCTTTTATTTTCTTGCCTCTGTAGATTTATGGTTTTCATCAAATTTGGATAATTTTCATTATTTCTTCAAATGATTTTTATCCTCCATATTTCCTCTCCTTTGGGAGGTCTCCCAATGCATCCATATTAGGCCATTTGAAGTTGCCTCATAGCTCACTGATGGTCTACTCATTATTTCCTGTGTTTTTTCTTTCTGTTTCTATTCTGGAGAGTTTCTATCACTGTATCTTCAAGTTCACTAATCTTTTCTTCTTTTATGACTTGACCCCTATTAATCCACACTGTTATATTTTTTCAACTCAGACATTATAGTGTTCATATGTCAAAGATGATTTAGTTTTTAAAATATTGTCTATGTCTCTATTTTACCTGCTTAATTTTTCCTCTAATTTCTTGAACATATATAATTCAGTTTTAATAAGTGTTTTTATTATCCTTATCTACTATGTCATCTGTCTCATTTGTATGTTAGTATTATCAATTGATTTTTCTTGATATCATTCATCCTACTATCCTTCTTTTTGAATGCCTGGCAATTTTGATTGGATGCTAGACATTGTGAAATTTACCTTGATGTGTGCTGGGTATTTTTGTGTGTCTATAAATAAATATTCTTGAGATTTTTTCTGGGCCATAGTTAAGTTTCTTGGAAATAGTATGATTCTATTGGGCCATGCTTTAATTTGTTATGTGAGATCAGAGCAGTGTTTTGTCTATGGTCGGTATTTCTTCATTACTAAGACAAAACCATTCTGAGTGCTCTAACCAATGCCCTGTCAATTGTGAGATACTGTACTTTACCTGTTGGGAATGGGAATTATGTCAAGCTTTCTGTGAGTTCAGGAGATCTCCCTGTGTACCTTTCTCTTTTCCAGTATTTTGCACTGAAACCTCCAGCCACTTTGGCCTTTCTGGACTGCCTGCTCCAGATCCTCAGCTGAAGGATACAATCAGGCTCCTGCTTTGTGCACTGCCATTTGCAATCTGTCTTCAGGCAATACGCTGGGTACAATTGCAGGACTTTCCTTTTTTGTTTTTCATCTATCAGAAATAACTAACCTTTGTTGCCTATGTCCAATAAATTGAAAAGTGTTGTTTCATATATTTTGTCTGGGTTCTAGTTGTTGTAAGCATATGTATAATTTTGGTCCTTATTACTTAATCTTGGCCAGAAGCAGAAGCTCTGTGCTCCAAATTTAAAACCTATCTTTGCATGACAGAGATGCCAATATTTCAAACTTACTTAAATTACAAAGCAGGATTGGAAGACTATGGGACACCCATATGTGTTCTTATAGACTTACGTGGAACTGGGAGAATATACAGCAAAATAGCAACAATGTTCTTTTCTTGCTAGGGGAAATGTAATTGATTTATTTATTTTCTTATTTATGCCTTCAATATTTTCCAACACATCTGAAACACATGAATTACCTTGATAATTATAAAATATTATAAATATTTTAAAAGATGATTTAGACTACCAAAAATAAACATATATTCTTTAGTTGGCTTGTTTCCAATATTGATTAACCTCTTGCTTGATTCTTTTATTCAGCCTCTGATATGCTTACCATCTTTGTAACCAGAAAGAAACAAATAATTTGAAATAAAATTAGTAGGCTATATGTTGTCACCCAGTTTCTTTCACACTTTCAAATACAATGCTAAAGAGGTAAGAAACTACCTTGTTTTTAAAGTCCTCCCTCTAGAAAAGTTAACTTATATTTTAAAGGAAAATTATATTTATATTTAAATCATATTCTACATGGCATGTTTGAATCCAGTATTTATATAAAGGACTGTGTATAGGCAGTCTTGGCAGAAGGAATTATTATGGTTATATTCATTATTATGAATGTTATTCATGTCTCTTCTCTAAGCTCACAATAAACAAATTATGTTTTTTAAAAAGTGCTTCAGTCATTATTGTCACTAATTCCAAGCAATGTCTGAAAATGCACTTTTCTTTAAACATTTCTTTATTTTGATAAGAATGATGCAACATTTCTTTATTTTAATAAGAATGATGCAAGATTTTCAGAATAATGATCAACAATTTTCTCCACAGGTGATTACACATCACGGCTTCTTCAGTTAATACATGATTGTCTTTCACAAAGTCAATACCATGTAAAAATAACTGTAATTTATGATTTTATTAATATTTCTTCTGTACTGGAAGTGTTATGTGCTCATCCCACATATTTATTTTCTGTAATCACAGTTTCTCCATTTTAATGTTTTCATGCCCACACTGTCCTAACCAAGCCATTAGCGGTCTCTCACACTGATATGATTCTGTATTGTGTTGGGGCCTCAGAATTTTCTCAGCGCCATATTGTTTGTTTCTTTTTTTCCCTTGTAGAAGGAATACACACCCTTTTTCTTCCTGTGAGTACTTCCTTTACTTTTTGTTCCATAGCTTTTTTCCTAAAACTCATAAATCTCTGAATTTTACCAAATTATTTTGATCCAAATGTATGTCTATAGATTTTCAGATATAAAATATATGCACATAATTTATTGCTTTGCAATGGAATAATCTCATAGTATTTTTATTTTTTCTTCTTTTAAAATATGAGTTCACGTTCTCAAAAAAAATGAAATGAGTAAACACTAGTATCTTTGCTAATACATTTTCTTGCTAACACCATTTTATATTCAGGCAGTATTTTTCCCCTTACAATATAAAAATGCTTTCTTATTTTTCCGTGTTCTCACCTTGTTTTCTTTATATGCTTTTGCTGTATATTTAAATGATTTGTGGGCTACTCCACACTTTTAAACAATTAAACATTACTACTAGATCATAAGAGATTTGTTAATTTTAAGGTCATTTTTGCCCTTTCTTAAAACTCTTGTATCATATATCCCTCACTCTATATGTAGAGTTTCCTAGGCTTTTAGCTGTACTCTTTAGCCATGGCTTCTCAACAATCCTGTTTCAAATATTTATCATTCTGACACTGGGTATTTCAGCTTCTCTGGTCTTTTCAAAGAGTCAGAATTTGGTTACATTGATATTAGTCATTGTTTTTCCAATTTTAATTTTATTAGTATCTGCTCTTATCTATATTATCCCCATCTCTCTCCTTGCCTTAGATTTGTTTTACTTTTCTTTATATAGTTTCTTAAGGGAGAAAGCTTAGATTATTGCTTAGATCTCTTTCTTTCTCTCTAATATGAACATGTAATGATATAAAGTTCCCTTTAAGCATGAGTTTGGCTGAATCTCACAAATTCTCATGTTGCAATTTTAACTTAATTGAAAATATTTTCTAATTTCCCTGAATTGTTTCTTCTGAAACATGGGTTATAAAAATGTGTTATATAATTTGCAAATATTTGAGGACTTTACAGATATTTCTTTTGTTATATTCTTCAGTGTTATTTCATTGTAATTAAAGAGCATACTGTCCTAGCCTCTTTTGTGCTACTATAACAGAGTACCACAGACTGGGTACTTTATAATGAACAGAAATTATTGGATCACAGTTCTGGAGGCTGGAAAGTCCAAGATTGAGGAGTCCACCATCTGGTGAAGGCCTTCCTATTGTGTCATCCCGTGGCAGAAGGACGAAAAGAAAGGGTGAGGGAGAACAAGGGATTAAACTCACAGCCTCAAGGTCTTTCATAATCTGCATTAATCCATTCATGAGAGTGGAGACCTCATGACCTAAACACTCTCATTAGGTCCCATATCCCAACATTTTTACATTGGGGATTAAGTTTCCAACAAATGCTTTTGGGGGACACATTCAAAATATAATACATACTTTGCATGATTTCAATTCTTTTAAATTTTTAAGAGGTGTTTTATGGCTCCTCTTGGTGAATATTCCATGTGTGCTTGAGTGTAATTTATATTTCCATGTTGTGTGTGGTGGTTTGCATGTGCAAATTAGATTAAGTTTGTTAATAGTGTCATTACAGTTCTTTCGTACTCAGAAATGTTCTGTTTACTTTATTATTTACTCACTGATGAGTATAAAAATCCCCAAATATAATTGTAGATTTGGCTATCATTTTAGTCCTATCAGTTTTTGTTTCATTTATCTGGAGGCTCTGCTTTTAGGTTCACACCTTTGGTATTGCTATATTCTTGGTGAATTGAATCTTTTATCATTATGTAATGTCCCTGTTTATTCAAAGTAACTTTCCTTCTTATGAAAGCAAGAATTTCTGATGTTAATATTGTTAACTACAGTTTTCTCATTTTCTTATTTTATTTTTTTAAATTGTCAAATGATAAAACTCTTTTTTTCCCTTTTGCTGTATGTACAGTTTTAGGCTTTAACACATGTACAGATTTGTGTAACCACAACCACAAGGAGAATGTGGAACTGTTTCATCGCCCTCTGCAAAAAAATTTCACGTGCTATTCATTTATAAAAGAAAAAAAGATAAATTAGACTTCCTCAAAATGAAAAACTCCTTTCCCTTCACACATAACCTTGACAACCACTCATCTGTTCTCCATCACTATAGTTTCGCTTTTTGGACAAAGTCATATAAATGGGAGAATAGAGAATGTAACTTGCTGAGACTGGTGTCTTTCACTTAGCACATTATATTTGAGGTTTATCCAGGTTGTTGTGTATATCAGCAGTTCATTCCTTCTTATTATTCAATAGTAATCCATTGTATGGATGCAACACAGATTATCCATCACTGTGGAAGGACATTTGCATTGTTTCCACATTTTGGCAAATATGAATGCAGCTTATATAAAAATTGATGTGTAGGATTTTGTGTGAACATATGTTTTTATTTCTCTCAGGTGTGGCATTTCTGAGTCATACAGTAAGTGTATGTTTATGAGTAATTACCCAATCATGTTCCACATCTGCTGTACCATTTTACATTCCCACTAATAATGTATAAGAGTCAAAGTTGTTCATTATTGCTATCATTTTGTAATGCTGTTTTTAACTTAAAAATTTGTTTGAATTTTATTCTCTCTCAAATGTATGCATTTAATTTGCATTTCACTATTGCTAAAGATGTAGAACAATTTTCCATGTGCTTACTGGCCATCCACATGTCTGCTTTGGGTGAAGTATGTATCGTTATCTTTTGGCAATTAAAATATTGTGTTGTTATTTTATCATATTGGAGTTTTGAGAGCTCTTCATGTAATTTGCGCGTAAGACTTTTTTTTTTTTTTTTTTTTTTTGAGACGGAGTCTCGCTCTGTAGCCCAGGCTGGAGTGCAGTGGGGCGATCTCGGCTCACTGCAAGCTCTGCCTCCCGGGTTCACGCCATTCTCCTGCCTCACCCTCCCGAGTAGCTGGGACTACAGGCGCCCACCACCACGCCCGGCTAATTTTTTTGTATTTTTAGTAGAGACGGGGTTTCACTGTGTTAGCCAGGATGGTGTCCATCTCTTGACCTCATGATCCACCCGCCTCGGCCTCCCAAAGTGCTGGGATTACAGGCGTGAGCCACCGCGCCCGGCCGTGTGTAAGACCATTATTAGATATATGATTGGCAAAAATGTTTCCAGTTTGTAGCTTGACTTTTTATTCTTTCTCAAAGCAAACGTTTTTCGTTTCGAGGAAGTTTAATTTATCTTTTTTTCTTTTATGAGTCATTCTTTTGGTGTCATGTTTAAGACCTTTTTGCCTAACTCTAGGTCATGAAGACTTGACTCCATGTTTTCTTTTAAAACTTTTATAGTTTTTCATTTAACATCTAGATAATGCATTTTGAGTTAGTTTTTGTTTAAAGTGTGAGGTTTAGGTAGAGTTTCAATTTTTAACAAAACATGTCTAATCGTTCCAATAGCACTTATTGAAAAGCCAATATTTCTCAATTGAATAGCCTTAGTCTTTTGTAAAAATTGCTGGGCTGTATTTATGTGAGTCTGGTTCTGAACTCTATCTGGTTTTATTAATCTATGTCTCTGTCTCTTAGCTAAAACCACACCATCTTGATCACTATAGCTTTGTACACTATTGGCAGAAATGTAAATTTGTATAGCATTATTAAAAACAGTATGGAAGTTCCATTAAAAAAATTAAAAATAGAACAAACATATGATCTGACAATCCTGCACTGGGTATCGATCTAAAGGAAATAAAATCACTATCTCAAAGAGATATCTGCACTTCTATGTTCATTGCAGCATTATCTTGGCTACTGTGGTAGCCAAGATATGGAAACAACTTAGGTATCAATCAACAAATGGGTAAATAAAGAAAATGTGATACGCACACATACACACGTGCAATGGAATATTACTCATCTTCTTTATTGAAGCATATTTTTTTCTGGGTATAGAATTCTAAATCAGCAGCTATATTTTTTCTGTGCTTTGAGCACATCATACTATTGTATTGTGTCTTCTATAGTTTCTGTTGAGAATTGAGCTGTCCATCTAATTATTTCTTTTTTGAAGGATGATAGACTGAGTAATAGCCTCCCCAAAAGATATCCACCTCCTAATCCCTGTAACCTCTGAATATTACCTTATATGACAATTTACTTTATAGGTCTGTATGAGAGAGTGGCAGAAAGAGATTTGACACAGACAAAAGAGAAAAAAGCAATGTGATCATGGAGGCAGAGATTGGAGTGATACAGCTACATGCCAAGGAATGCTGGTTGCCAGGTGGAAGAGGCAAAGAACAGCCTCTGGAGAGAGCACAACCCTGCTAGATTTTGGCTCAGTGATGCTGATTTCAGACTTCTAACCTCCAGAACTGTGAGAGAATAAATTTCTTTTAAGCTACCAAAGTTGTGGTAGCTTGTTAAAGTAGGCATAGGAAAACGAATACCTGATGATAATCTATAGAATATTTGTAGATGATTTGAATAGGTATTTATTCAATTGCTGCCCATCCTTATCACCATTTACAGAGACTTTAAAAGGTTGTTTTTAAATAGTTTTTACTAGTTTCACTTGGCAGTGGGTCTGCAGAGTTCCTCATACTGTCATGCAAGAAGAAGTTTTCTCCTCTTCAGTTTTTAATTAGCAAAACTCTGCAGAGTCCTAAGGCCAGAACCCTTTTCCCAGACTTCCCCAAAACTTACTCTCATGATTACTCTTCCTTCTATGAACTTTTTTCTTTAACTTTTATTTTAGATTCAGGGATACACATGCAGGTTTGTTATATAGGTAAATTGCATGTCACAGGAGTTTAGTGTACAGATTATTTTGTCACCCAGGATATAAGCATAGTACCGGATAGGTAGTTTTTCCATCCTCACCCTCTTCCACCCTCCACCCTCAAGCAGGTCCTGGTGTCTGCTGTTCCCTTCTTTGCGTCCATATACACACGAAGTTAACTCCCACTTATAAGTGAGAACATGAAGTATTTGGTTTTCTGTTCCTGTGTTAGTTTGCTTAGGATGATGGCCCCTAGCTGCATCCATGTTGCTGCAAAGGACATGATCTCCTTCTTTTTTAGGGCTACATAGTATTCCATGGTGTATATCTACCATGTTTTCTTTATCCAGTCTACTATTGATAGACCGGTTCATTCCATGTCTTTGCTACTGTGAATAGTGTTTCTATGAACATGCACGTACATGTGTCTTTATGGCAGAATAATTTCTGTTCCTTTAGGTACATACCCAATAATGAGATTGCCGGGTTGAATGGTAATTCTGCTTTAAGTTATTTCAGAAATTGCCAAGCTGCTTTCCACAGCAGCTTGACTAATTTATATTCCCACCAACAGTATAAGTGTTCCCTTTTCCCTGAAATCTTACCATAACTGTTATTTTTTGACTTTTTATTAATCACCATTCTGACTGGTATGAGAAGGTATCTCATTGTGGTTTTGATTTGCATTGCTCTAATGATGAGTGATGTTGAACATTTTTTCATATTCTTGTTGGCTGCATGTATGTCTTCTTTTGAAAAGAGTCTGTTAATGACTTTTGGCCACTTTTTAATGGGGCTGTTTGCTTTTGCTTGTAAATTTAAGTTCTTTATAGATTCTGGATATTTGACCTTTGTTGGACGCGTATTTTGCAAATATTTTTCCCATTCTGTAGGTTATCTGTTTACTCTGTTGATAGTTTCATTTGCTGTGTACAAGCTCTTTAGTTTAGTTAGGTCCCATTTGTTAATTTTTGTTTTGGTTACAATTGCTTTTGGTGTCTTCGTCAAGAAGCCTTTGCACATTCCTATGTTGGTAATGCTATTTTCCAGGTTATCTTCCAGGGATTTTATAGTTTTAGGTTTTACACTGAAGTCTTTAATCCGTCTTGAGTTGATTTTTGAATATGGTGTAAGGAACGGGTCAAGTTTCAATCTTCTGCATATGGCTATCCAGTTATCCCAGTACCATCTTATTGAAAAGGAATTCCTTTCCCGATTGCTTGTTTTTGTCATCTTTGTTGAAGAGCAGATGGTTGTAGGTATGTGGCATTATTTCTGGGCTCTCTCTTATGTTCCATTTTTCTGCATGTCTGTTTTTGTACCAGTGCCACAATGTTTTGGTTACTGTGGCCTTGTATATTTTGAAGTCGAGTACTATGTTGTGCTCAGCTTTGTTCTTTTTGCCGAGGATTGCCTTGGCTATTTGAGCTCATTTTTTGGTTCCACATGAATTTTAAAAGAGTTTTTTTTTTTCTAATTCTGTGAAGCACGCCATTGATAGTTTGATAGGAATAACATTGAATCTGTAAATTGCTTTGGGGGGTATGGCCATTTTAACAATATTGATTATCTCTATCTGTGAGCATTGAATGTTTTTCCATTTGTTTATATCATCTTTAATTTCTGTGGGCTACTACCTAAAATGTTTGCCTCTTTTCTTACATTCTCTTGAACTGGGATCTAATCTAAGTATAAAAATAGAACATAATTGCTTTTCTTATGAAGGGCCAATATTTCCTGGCATGGCATTAATACTGTATTGCCCCTAACAGACTGGATTTAAATTTTGACTACCACATGGATGGCTGCTAGTATTTCCCTTGTTGTCAGTCAGATTTAGTGATAAAAATAAGAAACACCTAACTGACCTTCCCGTAGGCTGCTATTATTCAGTTATTAAAATATAAAACAGATTTGAAATACATACCACACTGGGTCTCCAATTTTGAGGCAATTATTTTACTTTTAGACTAGCTCATAAAGCTTTTAGAAGTCCATCCTTTTGGCTTACAAAGCATCTACTTTGTTACTACCACCGTGCTGGGGTCCGTGCTGGACTGATTACAACTTTTTTGAAATGCAACATGGGACTATCATGTGCTTCGGACCACACTTTTTGTCCCTTTTATGAATTTTTCCCCCAATTTCAAGTGCTTTACTTGAGACATGTATATTTGACCTTGGAGAAGTCATAACGCTGCATTTTCCCTCATGAGTTTATATTTACTCCAGTGGGAATTAGAGTAATCCTCTGTCTGAGGATTTTACTTGTCTGACCTTACTTCAGGTCCCTATCAGCTTCACTGGGGCCAAGGCAAAACTGCATTTATCAAAGAATTAAACATGCCACATGGTGGCGTGAACCTGGGAGGCGGAGTTTGCAGTGAGCCGAGATCGTGCCACTGCACTCCAGCCTGGGCGACAGAGCAAGACTCTGTCACAAAAAAAAACAAACAAACAAATAAACCAAAAACAAGCAAACAAAAAACATGCCACATGGTTATTGAGCTCAAACTAAGAGTGTGTAAGCTGCACGAGATTGAATGTGCCCCACAGGATAAAGCAAACATCAGTTTCAGTATCCATTCTTAGATCTTATGTTTTCAAATTTATAAATCAAGAGGTACAGGACCCCTTGGATTCCCTTTCTGATTTGGAACTCCAGGTGTGCTCCTTTGTGCAAAGACTGAGAATTGAAACAATTCACTGGAGGGAGAGAAAAGTCTCACTTGCAAGAATTTTATCCACTTCATACAGGAATATTATTCGCTAAACCCTAACAATATTCCCATCATTTTTCTTCTTTACCCTGGTCTCAGCCATCATGAACTCTCACCTAGACTCTTGCAGTAGTTTTATAGATAATATCATAGACTAATTTTAACAGTGTAGCTTGGGTGATCCTTTTAAAAACTAAGTCAGATTAGAACATTTCTCTGATCAGGAGCCTTCACACTCCGAGGAATAGTCAAAGTACTTACAAATGACCAACAGATTGTGATAGTTAGTTAACTGTATGTGTCAACTTGACTGGGCTAAGGGATATCCAGAGAGATGGTAAAATGTTATTTCTGGGTGTGTCTGTGAGGGTTTTTCCAGAAAAGGTTAGCATATGAATAGGTAGACTGAATAAAGAAGATCACCCTCTCCAATGAGGGCTGGCATTTTCCAATCTGGCTAAGACCTCAAATAGAACAAAAAAGTAGAGGAAGGACACACTCTCTCTGCCTGAGCTAAGACATCCATCTTCTGCCCTCAAACATTGGTGCTCCTGGTTTTCAGGCCTTTGGACTTGAACCAGTACTTATACCAGCAGCCCATAGTTACTAGGGCCTTCAGACTCAAACTGCAACGTACATCATTGGCTCCTCTGGTTTTCAGTCTTTCAGCTTGGACTGGAACTGCACCCGGTCTTCCTGGAAGATAGCAGTGCAACTGATAACATTTACTCAGTGATGAACTGAGATGGTAGAGAATGCATGGCAGATGCAAAATATCAAGTATTTGAGAATTGCAGAGGAATTAAATACAAGAAAAATAGAATGGGTGAACGGTGCTGGGAGCAATAAAAATATTGGAGAGAGGCAATCAAAGGCTGAGGGTGATTAGTTACCCATTAGAGGTTGTGTGTAAAATAGAAGACCTCCTTGGCAACATATAGAAACTCTACTTGCAGCCAGAAGGTAGGCAGGAAATGCTGACTATGAGACCCGGGGCGTAATTATGAGAAGAGCAGGATAAATTCTAAATTTCTGGAGGTCAGCTACATAAAGGTCAGTGCCCTGATTGGTACCCTGAGACAAGAAGGAAGAACATCTAAGTTGATGTACTCTAGCATCTTGATTGCCCAAACTTCTCTGAACCTTCTAGGGGCTTTCAAAGGGGACCATTTCTCCCTATTAAAAAACAGTACTCCATGCTTGCTTAAAGTCCATGTGACCTTTATAGACAATATGTATCCCCCTCAAGGTCTGCTTCCACTCACCCTCCCATATACCAGAGCAATAACTAGCATTAAGTTACTGTATAACCTGGACAAAGAAGTGCTAAACTTGCTAGAAGATGAGACAAACTGTTTTCCAAAGGAGCTACAAGATCTAGCAAATATATACCATCAAGCTGTGACGGTAAGCATGGGACTAGGTTCTGAGAATGTTGGATCAATGGAGGTGGAGCATAACGTTGGATAGGAGAGATATTATAGGTATAGGAGTACTCTCCTGTAACAAAAGATGTAACAGCCTGGCCAGGCCCCTGGGAAACAGTGTTAATGTACTGTTTACATGGTTCTTAGAAGCATTAGGAAAGTGATGGGCCACACTAAGTGAAGGTAAAATGCCAGAACTGTCAAGACTGACAGTGGAAGAAGGGATCAAAACACTCAGAGAAATTAATGTGGAAGAGTGGATATCCTGCATCAGACCAGAAAACCCACCGGAATGGCCGTGGGAGAGCCAGGAGGATGCTCGGTTTAGCACAGCAGTAAGTAAATAAGTAAGTACCAGTAACATGAAGAAGTTCAGTGATGGGTATCTGAAGGTCAAGGTAGCCAGTAAAATATGCTGTTACAGAATCGGGTTCCCTATTAACAATAAGAGGATGCTTTAATAATGGAGACCAGGTGATGGTGATTAACCGTTATAAGGAAGGTGAGCACAACTATCAGAATGAGCAACAACATCAAAGTAGCAGCCAGAGGTCTGACTTGAAGAGGGCTATGAAGATAATTATTAGAAAATAAATTTTCTAGTGGCAGATACCAAGGCTGTTGCTCCATCTATACCACCAAAATAATGGATAATCAGGAGGCAGATGAGGGACACTTCAATAAAAAGTCATGATTCCGTGCCTAGTTTCTGGATGTGAGCCATTCTTCAAACTCAGAATCCATTCAATGAATTTGTGTGTGTGTGTGTGTGTATACATAGACACACTAATTATTATGTATAATATGTACACTATTCATTATATATATGTGTATACTATTTTATATATATATATACACATTAACAAACATACATATATGCTGTGTGTGTGTGTGTGTGTGTGTGTGTGTGTGTGTGTGTGTGTGTATGTGTGTATTTTTTTCTCATCCTGGGCTGCGTCTCCTTCTACACAAAGTTAACGACCAGGTGACTAGGTGCACTGCTTGCAGCTCCACTCACTGGGGAGATTTTTCCCCTCTACTGGCTTTTAACATGAGTAACCACACTATGGGGCAACTGTAACACAGGGGTCTGGGCTACTGCTCTGGCACTGACTCTTGCCTTCTGGTGATGCTCAGGCTCAATTTAGGAAGGATTACTACTGGATATGTCTTTATGACTTGGTAGTTCTGATAGCAACTAGCTAGGAGGCACACAGTCACTTGGTGTCCCATGGTCAAGCATTGTCTCTATCAGGGCCCAAAAGCACAATGGAAGCTAATTGTCTTACGTGGATGGCATGGCCATTCTCCAGAACCCTAGGGGTCTGTATGGCGATCCTCCCATGGGGAATGGCCTTAAACCCTACCCTGCCTCCTTTCTTATCACTGACACCTCTGACACTGCACGGTCTGTCAGATGAGATGGTCCAAGAATTGCTTGCACTGCAGCCAGGACCTACTGCAGATCCCTCTCTTGCTCCCAGCCTCTCTCACAACTCTCAGCCTTCCGTGTCACCCAGTGTGTGGACTGGAGAAGTTATCTTATGGGCGGGACATTTTCTCCCACAAACCCTAAGAGGTCTACCAGGTGCACTACTTTCTTCTTTGCAGTGGGAGATTCAAGAGGCAGTGATTTGTCTTTTCCTTTGGTGGGGACATCCTGGCATGCCTTTGACCACTGGACCCTTAAAAACTTCACCGATGTAGAACTCTGAATCCCCATGGCCTTTATCTTCCAATCCTCTGGTGTGCACATGTCTTACTAAGGCCTCCAGTGTGCAGGCTACCTCTTACCTGTCCTGTCCAATCAGAATGATGGTGTCAGGGTAATGGATCAAAGTGATGTTTTTCATGATATCCTGACAGCCTAAATCTTGTATGACAATATTATGACTGGAGGTGTGAGAATTAACATAGCTTTTAGAAAAACTGTAAGTAAATGTTCTTATCTTGCCCACTGTTTTTAATCCTCTCTTCTAATTAGAATGGAAAAACACACACTTGCCAAATCTGTTGTATACCATGTACCTACTCTAGTGACAATATTTGCTAGCAACAATCACAGCAGCTGTGATCTGAACTACCACTTAGTGAAGCCCTGGCTTCATTAGCCAGGATCCATCCAGTTTCTACAGGGGCCAGACTGATGAATAAAATGGAGATGCAATAGGAACATCCTTAGGATATTGAAGGGTAGCATTAATTTCCTGTGTTTGGTTTGCAAAATTGTGTTTGATTTACTATCTTGGCAGGAGGAAGGTATTTTAAGAGGTTTTCACTTGGCTTTTCCCACTACAGAAGCTCTTATAACGATCAGAAACTCGATGTGGGGTTTACTCCAACTTCCAGGTACAGCAAATCCAATTATGCATTCCAGAACTGGGAGGATGTTTGGATGCGTCTGTGAATCTGATTGGCCCACTAAGAACTGTACTCCAGCCAGGACTAAATTTATTTATTGATTTCCATAAGCCTGCAACTCTAACAGAGAAGCCTAATAATGCTTTAGTCTTCTGGTATCGGTGTTAATTTAGACCTATATCCAATAGTTCTTGAAATGTCTGGGTGTTCCCTCCTCTCCCAAGTGTACAATCACCTGAGTAAATAGATGGAAAACCCATTGGAAAAGGAGTGGGGATATAATCACAGTATATACTTGCCACGGTGTTGCAGTGTACTTCCTCCTTCAGACCTAGCCGCTTGTTCTGTCAGTAGGCTACAGTTCTGAAAATTGTCTCAGGTGCAATAACTGAGCAAAGCATCATGCCTTTCTAACTTGAGAAATCAGCCTTAGCTTTCTGATCCTGCATCCTTGCCTTTTGAGTGTAGATTTTAAGCAACACCTTTGTTTACTATTAATCTGTTCTTACCTGCTTTGTTGACCATCTCTACAACTTCCTGTAGGTCAAGTTTCTGTGGATGCCCTTCCAACTTTGCTAGTTAACATAACAGACCCTGGTTTCTGGTGGTTAAGCACTGCTACTTGGTCTCTATTCCTTCAGGGCACTGTCATCCCCATTGCTATTAGCCATCTACTGTAGACTGAATGATTGTTGCCCTCAGATTCTTATGTTGAAATCATAGCTCTTAATGTGAGAATATTTGGAAGTGGGACCTTTAGGGAGTGATTCGGTTATGAGGGTGGAGGCTTCACGAATGGAATCAGTGTCCTTATAAAAGATACTCCAGAGAGCTCCCTCACTTCTCCAGCCATGTCAGGACACAGTGAGAAGATGACTGTCTGTAAACCAGGAAGCAGGCTCTCACCAGACACAGAATCTGCCAGGGCCTTAATTGTGGAGGTCCAATCCTCCAGAACTATGAGAAATATTTTTTGTTGTTTATATGCTACCCAATTCATGGCATTTGTTTTAGCAGCCCAAACAGACCAAGACACCATCCAAGGTAATATTTCTGCTATGGTCAGTCCCGGCCTGCAGAGAATAACTACTTCATTTCTTAGTGGTGTTGGTGCTTCTTTGCATTCCTCGTGGTTTTGGGGAATTACATGCCCTCTGGGTCCTCTCATGGAACGTAATTGTCTTTGGGCCTCACCTAGTAGATGATAGTTCCAATCAATATATTGTAGCATGCAGATTTCCCTCAGTCTTTGAATCTTTTTTTTTTAATACTGTTTGCCGAGGCAACTCAGGCATTTCCACCTCACTCAGCGTTGATCATCACTTTCTTCAAGCTTCTAGGAGCCACTGTAGCAGAGATTTTTGACCCATCCCTTGGGTTTCTTGCCAGGTTTCAATCTCATGTCTTGAAAAACTGTCCAATGTCAATAGATTTCTGTTTATCCATTTTTATGTCTCAGTTATCTTAACAAAGGATCCTCAAAACAAGTCCCTGTGCTACCCCCCGACCCCTTCTAGTACATGGCAGTTAATTCTTATAGCTCATCCGGGGTGTAATCTTTTATCTTTTTATGAGACCTAGGACTGTCCTAACGGATTATGTCTGTTTCTTTTTTTTTTTTTTTGAGATGCAGTCACGCTGTGTCCCCCAGGGTGGAGTGCAGTGGCGAGATCTTGGCTCACTGCAAGCCCGGCCTGCTGGGTTCACGCCATTCTCCTGCCTCAGCCTCCCGAGTAGCTGGGACTACAGGCACCCGCCACCACGCCTGGCTAATTTTTTGTATTTTTAGTAGAGATGGGGTTTCACCGTGTTAGCCAGGATGGTCTCGATCTCCTGACCTCGTGATCTGCCCGTCTCGGCCTCCCAAAGTGGTGGGATTACAGGCGTGAGCCACCACGCTCGGCCTTGTCTGGATTTGATTCCGATTATTGGCTTAACAGCCAGGAAAGGAAGTTGGGGTGCTCTTGAAGCAAACACCTGTTATCTTGATGGAGAATAGTCTCCAAAAGGTCTTCCACTACTGAGAAGTGCTAACTCTTATAGGGAGGGGTGGACTACCTCTACAGGCTTTGAGAGGGTTCAGGGAAGTCTACAAAGCCTCAATCCTTGATAGCACACATCCAGATGAACTCACTCAATGTTTTGGAGTTCCAGGCTTTTCAAAACAGGGCCCTCATTTTAGCCTAATAGATAGGGCTTGGTTGGACATCTGGTCATATCTGCAAATTTGCAAATCTAACTCTCAAGTTCTGCATTTGATCCTCATCTATGCCTGATTTCCCACTGAAGGAGATAAAGTCCTCTTCGTAAGTTTCCCAAATGGCCCTCTGACTCTCTTCCTTAAATTTTAACTGTTGTTGACTATGTCCTCAGTTTCTCCTTATTTCTCTGTAGAGCATCAGTACAATCTAGTAATAACTGGCCAACTCTACCCTTGTTGTATATACAATGTTCCCCTCACAGCCTTCAAATGCCTGAATCAGCAATGGGGTTTCCCCCCAACGGGGATGTTTTCCCAGGTAACCATCAGTGAAATCTTCAGGATCTGGACTGTCACAGTGTGCCAGGTACTACCTATGCCCCATATACTACTCAAGATGGTGGTGAGTAATCCAGTCTGAGAACTCCCTTTAATTGCATGTTTTCTTGTATTATTGCAATTGGTAGACATATCCATGCTCTTGTACCCCTGTTATATTCAGTCCTGGGCTAGGAGTAGCCCAAGAACAGCATGACCTCACATGAAGCATATTTATGCTGAAGTTTGTCATTTATCAGAAATTCAAATGTAACTGGAAATCCTGTATTTGCCAAATCCAGCAACCCTTCCACAGTGGCAGGGTTAGAGGTTATATGTAGGCACAACAGCATAGCTACCTACACATTAAGGCTCATTTAGCTATTGTCCTTGCCTATAAAAGATGCCAATGGTGAGTCCCCAATATGTCACCATTCTTGAAGGAAACCAATAAGCAACTTGGGGACAAATATGGAGTCTCTTCAAAACCGGATGGAGCAATAATTCAGTTTGACTGCAATTGACACAAATTCTAGTTATGATTATTTTCCTGGAGGTCCTCAGCCAGTTGTTGGTCAAGAGCATAGTGTTTGACTATGACAAGATTTTATATAATCTTGCCAACAATATACAGAGACAAGATTTTATATAACATTGAATTGGACCCAGAGGTTCCCTTTCCAGAAAAAGGAAGGCAACACTGGGGACATGATCTGGAATTCGATTACATGCCATACTACCCTGAAACTGCTAGCCAGATAGAGTGATGAAATGGTGTATTAAAGACAGAGCTGAAGTGTAAGCTTAGGGATGATACTCTAAGAGGATGGGATCCCACTCACCAGGAAGCATTTTGGACCCTAAATCAGTTTGCACCCTATGGGGTAGAATGTACAGGTTTGGGAACTGAGGAGTAGAAGTAGAAGTTGTTTTGCTTATCCACTCCTGGTGACCCACTTAGGGGAATCTGTGGCTCCAGTTTTCATAGTTCTGGGTCCTACAGGTTTAGAGCTCTTAGCTTCCAGATTGCCAATGCCTTTACCAGGGAACACAAGAGTTCCATCGGATTTTACCCATGGCCGCTGCTTGGTCATGTTTGGCACCAGCCAAAAGAAAACAAGTCACCTTCCTGGCAGGGGTAATTGATTCTAATTACCATGAGGAGATCATGCCATTTCTTTACAGTTGGGGCAGGCAAGAATAAGTTTGGTATCCAGGGGACCCATTTAGATATCCCTTAGAAATGATAAACAAGTCCACCAGCCATGGCCTGAGAATGACATGGTATCCAGAGGCTCAGAACCTCCAGGGGTGAAGGTTTCAGTCAGTCCATGAGGTAAGCTACCTAGATAAGCAGATACTAGCTAAGGGTGAGAGGAATTCTGAAATGAGTAGTACAGGACAGAGATGATGAGTATCAGTTAAGGCCCCAAGACCAGCTCCCATAACAGATGTGTAGTAGTGTGTTTCATTAGTCTTGTAAATCCTCTAAGGAAAAGAAGCTCAACATAACCAGGGGAAGATGATTCTGTTGTGTATTTGTATGACGCAAACGAGCCTCAGCGAGGTAAGGGATGAATGATCGTGGATGCTGTAGTGTTCCACCAAGTCCTTCCTCTACCACTGCCCGTTGGGCACAGCTCTCACTTCTCCAGCTGCTGAGATTGTTGGAGGCTGACAGCCTTTAACTGAGACCGTCTCAGGCATACCCATGCTCATGCTCACATTCAGTGAGAGAATATAAGGGCCCATCCCCCTTGCCCTGATTTGTGATCATTCAGAAGGACCATCTCAGCTTGAGAACTTCTAATTTGTTAATCTGAGGCTCTTAACAGCCAATGCATCATAGTCCGATTTCTTCTCCACCTCACCTTGTTCCCTGCACTCTTCCCAAAGGCAGGGATCCAAAGAGCACTCCTCAACCAACTTCCTGCCTTCTAATCTTGGTCTCAAAGACTGCTTCCCAGAAAACCTGACCTATGAAAATGTGAAAGTGTGTTTTACTCTACATTTTTTTCCTTTTTTTTTGTTATTATTTCTTAATATGAACACTGTTTTCAATCTTTTCCTTTCTTGTTTCTGGTATTTTACGTCATGCTTAGAAATGCTTTCCCATTCCAGGAATATAAACATATTCACCCATATTGTCTTATAGTGTCTTTATGGTTTCCTTTCAAAAAGTTTTTAAATTTTTGATTCATCTGTAATTTGGATGAGGAGAGACATAGGGACCTAGCTTTATTTCTTGTTTTTCAAATGCTTAATTGGTTCCCTGTGCTATTTATTTTTAAAATTCCTTTAACGCTCCAAATTTTTCTAATGTATAATGTTTTTATCCTTTTTCCAATTTCTAGTTATCAATGCCTAACTCAGTTTTCTTCCATTGTGTTTAGTAATTGAAATGTTTAAATTATGAATTTTTCTCTAAGTGCAGTGTTGGCTGCATGTCATTCATTAATTTTATTTTTTAGATATTATGCACTTAATTATGATTTTAATTTTTTCCTTTCAAAATAACTATTTATGTGAGCTTCTAAAAATTTACCGATGTAGGGATTTTATGTATTTGTAGATTTATTACAGTGTGATTACAAAATCTGGTTTGCACTATTTCTGTGTTTCAAAATCCGTTTAAATATGACTGCTTACAAATTTGCATGTCTACATTGCCCAAGAGCCACACTGCCTTTTTTCCTCCCTATATCTTTAGTGAGGAACTACTTTCCTAGTTCTAAAATTGTTCCTTATATTTTCTGTGAGTTTCTTGCATGCAAAGTGTTTGAGCATCATTCTAAAGGCTTTATGGCAAAAATGGCTGTTCAAATATAGCCTTTTTGTCTCCTCTTTGGTTCTCATTATTGTTTCTGAGTTCCTTTAGAGTTAGAAGTGTCACAGGATGCCAGGGCCACACTTCCCAGCATACCTTTAGACTCTCTTATTTTGAAAGGTGAATAATCCAAGGTGTCCAGGCTTGCTCCAAGCCTGGCCAGGGTATTAGCATTTCTAAGGTCCAGTCCCACTCCACTATTAAGTCCTTGTGTGACAGGAGACAAGTATCTCCTGTTTTCTGTGCCTCAGAATCCTCATCTTTCCATGGTAGAGGAGGGGAATGTTTTGAGTCTGGTGGTCCCTAGGAACCGTCTCGTTCTGATAAGGGGGGCTAGAGTGATAGGCAAGGCAAAAGGGACACGGAGCCAGCAGGGGCATAGGAGCAATTAAGGGAAACTGTAAAGGGTGCCACATACCCAGGTGCACTTCTCCCTTCATTCCCATTCCTTACTAATGAGAGAAGGGTACATGGTCCATGCCTGGCAGGTCTGGAAATTATGGATGGGAGAGGGGAGCAAACACTTGGGTCATGGATTTCAGATTTAAAACCTGGGCTGAGAACAAACTTGAACACCAGAGAAACCAGCCACACCTTGAATGCTTTGCTGATATATTTATTTACATATTTCCCCATTTCAGATGATGGTGACAAAAAGTAGATGGAGACCCCACCCTATCCACCCCCCAACAAATTACAGACACAGATTTCACTTAGCATATAGAAGCATTGGGGCATGTCCAAATTCATTCCACTGGGTTACTACAGCCAGGAGAGATTTGATCTTGGGGGCAGTCTGAGCACCTCAGGCCCAGAAATTGAGCTAAAGAGAGGTCGCCATTCTGGGCCTTGCCACTGGTGTGCCAGCAGAGGTGACAGAAGAGAATCATGGTGAACTGAGCTGTCTAGCCCTATCATGTGGTCTAGAAGGTGACAGTGGGCTCTTGGATAGCTTCCAGTGAGATCCACAGTCCCACAGAAATCTGTGACTCAGGGTTTTCATCTGCAAAATGGGGATAAGAATCCTGCCCTAAAGATGTCACAAGGCTATCATGAAGCTCCAATCAGACACAACTTGTCAAAAGTGCTTTGCCAAAGTTCCAGTGCCATACAAATTTAAGGGAATTTGATTGATTGATTGTGATGGTTAGAGTGCCCCGGGTATAACAGTGGACTGGTTTATGGGTCCAGGGGTCAAGCAAGTGATAGAACTCCGACAGTGTGCCCTGGGTGGGCACCAATCAATGGCGAGTAATGCCTGTTGCAAAGCCGAGTTTCCTTAGTTTCTTGGCCCCAGGAAGTCACCAAGGCCTAGTGCCTGGGTCAGGGCTAGGGGAAGTCACTGGGAAAGTTACAGAAAGAGTCACAGGGGTCAAAGAGAAGGAAGAGGGTGGCATATAAAGCAGGGAGTAGTTACTATAATCACACACAAAAATAGATACCCATTGGATGAAGGGCATTGAATTGGTAGTGCAGACGAAAGATGGAGCCAGCAAGGAGAGGGAGATGTCACAGCAGCAGAGAGAGAGGAATGCTGTCCCAAATAGGCTCTCTTGCTGCCCCCCCCTCTTCCTAAAGGGATAATGCCAGTGTCTATCTATCTGCAGAGAAAGGGGTAGCAGGGAGAGAGAACTGAGAACATAATAATCTGACCAAAGGAGAGGGATCTCTTCCTCCTGTTATACTGCTGCCCAGCATCTTAATGAGGTGCCAGGTATAGGCAAGCAACTAGTCGGTGCACTTTGAGGCTGAGGCCAGAACTGGGCCGAAAGCACTACAAAGGCAATAGTGGGCTTCTGGAAAAATGCAGTAATTGTCTGGTGGTCAGCATTGTTGGAAGATAGCTAATCCGCCTGTACTTAGGCATGGTTTTAGGGAGCTGATCACTAAGTGGCTGTGGTTTTGAACACTGAGCATCACGGATGCTCCTTGAAGAAGAGGGAGGTGGCCCATTTATTAATAATTTGAAATGGTCTGCTGAGAAGACTCAGTGAATGGGCCAGGTAGGGGAGAGGGGCAGCAAAGACAAACCCTCTGCAAGCTTCTGTTTGGGGAATGGGGCAGGAAAAACTCTAGTCGCTCCTGCTGCTGCTGCTGCTTTCCCCCAACTCCCTTGGCAAGGGGCTTGGACCTCCTGGGGAACTGGAGAGGTTGCCCCACAGGGTACCAGCTGGTACCTACAAGTTAAGGCAAACAAGCCAGTAGAGCACATTGAAGAAGAAGAAAGTCACTGGGAAAACAACTCTCGAGTAGTTATCCAGGCGGTAGACATGGATGCAGAGGCGGCCCTGCTGCCAGGTACTGCCCTCACAATCGGGGACCATGCAGAAGTACTTCTTAAAACGCTTGCACCACTCACAGCAGGCCAGCTTGGAGCAGAGGCTGCGGGGACCCTCAGGGCTACCTGGGCTAGGGGGCTGCTGGGCTGAGCAAGACGGGCGCTCCTCTCCATCACTTCCCTCAGTGGTGACAATCTGGCACACAAAAGCTTCCTGATGTTGGCGGGCACAGGCTCGGGAACGTGCACGGGTACGGGCATGGGCACGGCTATTGATACGAGGCTAAAATGGACAAGGAAAGAAGTGGGGAAAAGTCAAGGGAAGATAACCCAAGTCTAAGTGCTGCCTCCGGATTTTCTGGAAACTGTCTTTGGCACACCATATCTTGGCTTCTCTCCTCCAACTTCTCACCATTACATCAGGAAGTTGATTCAACCCCGCCACCACCCTGGGTAACATTCCATCACTCAGCAAGCTGACCACCCATGTGCCATAACCCCAGTACCCTTGCTAGCATGTCTCTACACTCCAAAGCCTTGCCACCACTCCCATACCCAGCTCATACATGGCGGAGTTTAGGAGAAGCATGGGCTTTTGTCTGGTTGTAGATCAGGAAGTTGAGCACAGCAAACTCCAACAGAGCGCAGAAGCAGAAGACGAAGCAGATGGCGATATAGAAATCCAAGGCTGTGATATAGGAGACACGCGGGAAATTCTTACGAGAAAAGGTGCCCAACGTGGTCATGGTCAGAACAGAGGTGATCCCTGCAAGAGCACAAGAGTGATGGGCTCAGCTCCTGACCTATGTGCGACATTGGTTAAAAGACTCCATGACAAGGCAACTCTGCCCTGGCCCAGCCAACTCCCAGCCATGTGCCTATGCGTATACCTGTTTCTCCTCTTACCTAGAGAGGTCCGGGCTGGAGCAGACTCTGTCTTGATCCAAAAGGAAACCCAGGAGAGCATCGTGGTCACGGAAGAAGGGACATAGTTTTGAAAGGCAACATAGCCAAACCGCCTGCTCACATTGAAGAAAATCGTCATGACCATGAAGTCACCTGAAAGACACAAAAAACATCACTGCATTACAGTGCTGACACGACGGTCCCCCTTAGCAGGACGTGAACAGTAAGGGTCTCATTTTTCAGCTCACAGTATTCCCTAGGATAGAGGCATGATGTGACAATGCAATACATACAAATAGGACCAGAAGAAGCCCAGAAAAAAGACTTACTGCAAGACCAATGGCCAGTTGAGAGCTAAGCCAAGGCCAGAATCTTAATAGCTTCCTTCTCAGTTCACTGTCCTACACCCAATGTCTGTCTCTGCAGGTTGGCAAGAGAGTCAGGTGAAAGTGAAAAAATCAATTAGCCTTCTAGATATCATGCCCACGCAGCTGATATCCAGATGGCTGACTAAGGGCTTCATACCCTCTGAGGCACATCACACCTGCACTGCTGGCCCTCAGAATGTCTACTCTCAGCAAATGAGACTAGGGAAGTCTGTGCTGTGGTGGAGAAGCACAGAATGCTTTTGGCCTCCTTTCTGCACATTCATGTGATGGCAAAATGCCTTCGTGAGTGAGCACTGCTCCACAGGTGGTCAAAACCGGCACTAGCCTGCTCCCCAAAGTTTTGGTGGCTCCCTGTTTCACATGAGCTATACAGACTATCTGCACTCTGGAATCTGATGCTAAAGGCCCACCATGACCCGGCTCCCACTGACATTTTCCACACGCACCTTACCCAAAGCCAATCCCATCTGCTCACAGATTTCCTGAGATGGCCTGCAATTTTACACCAAGATTCTAACCCTGGACTCTTTGGTCTTAGTCTATGACCCCTAACCCAAACTGAGTGTTTCAGGGAAAGAGAAGAAAAAGCTTAAAATGAACATTTCAGTCAGCCCTCCAGAAGTCAGGTCTGTGGCATACACATCCACAGGGCAGACTGAGGTCCTCACAGTCACTTGGACATTGTGTCCTTGGTCATGGCTCTCAGCTAGACGGTCATGGCTCCTCCGGGACCTGATGACAACCTATATCTCTAGTTGGCATCTTCTTTTGTAGCATTCATGCTGCTTTATGCTCTGACACACCCTCCCCAAGCACTCTGCTGCTATCATGACTCCCAGGCTGGTGTGGGCTTTTCTCTGAGCCCAGGACATCATTTTCCACTTTCAGCATCACATTGCAGTTGCAATACTGTAAAATTCCTAGGCCTATAATTAGGTCGTCTTTTAAGTCCCTTCAAGGCAGGGCTCATGCAGGCCCTGTGGCTTAGCCCCTGCCCATCCAAGCTCAGAACAGCCTGGAACCCAGCAGACACTCAGCAACTCTTGCTCCTGTCAGGCAACAGCTTTGTAAAGCAGACCAGAACACTAACCTGTCCGTGTGTCCTCCTATTTTGGAAAGTGGATCAACTGCCCAGCAGGTCTGGGTGGGCTGGAGCTGAATGAGAAGAGCAGCCTTTCGTACTCACCTTGGCAGCACTGAAACTCAAGGAGCAAAGCTTCTCAGATTCTTCTGGAAGAAGGCAAGGGAGCGACCTGTTGTCAGTGGGAAACCTGTGTGTTGAGTATAGCTTTGGGATAGAACTCCTCCAGAGCTGCTGCACGGACCACCCTCGCACTTGCCTACTGGCCAGAATGTATTTATCAAAAGTCCTCTTGCCGTGGGATCTTGACTGCAATTTAAGACACTTCTAATTAGTTATACCCAGGCCCTGCAAAATTGCTGGGTTTATATAATATATTCTTGTTGCACGAAGATTTATTATTCTGTTGGATGATTCTATTTTAATTTTATTTATTCTGGCCAAAAAAGAACCTTCTCCGCTCGTCAAGAGATGCCAATTTGTCTTGAAGGACAAGAGAAAGATGCTAACACACACTTTCTTCTTCTTGAGGAGTGAGAGAAGCACGGGTAAGGAAAACAATATATCTGGGGCTGATGAACCAAAGCAAAAAAATATATGCTAAAGATGGTTTTCTGCTCAAACTCTTATCCTCTTTGACCAGATCATGGTTGGTCACTGCAGTGTCAGAGGGACACAATTAAATAGACCATGTCCAGAGGACTGGGACTAGAAGAATGAATGGACCCAAAGCTTTGAAGAATAAGGGAAGAAAAATAAACTAGGGCTATGTAGACTACAACAGACTATGATCCATGCCGGGAATGATGATGTTGATCGTTTAATCTCGGTCCTGTGAAACAGTGGCTGGACTAATGTAACCTGGACAGTTCCAAGGAAAAAGAACTAAGCTTAATGTGTGGAACTTCCAGAGACTCCAATTTCAGAAGAACAGGGAGAGTTTTTTGATGAACAGAACTGTCTAGAGAAGAAGGAAACCTCCTTGTAAGACAGTGAATTCCTGACCAGCAATAATATTCCATCAGAGGCTCCACAGCCATCAGTGAAGGGCAAGCCTCTCTCTGGAGGCAGGGCTGGACTCTCTTAGAAGCTCCTGAAGCAGAGATTCTCTGGATCAAGGTCCAAGATGGCCAGAGTAGCAGGCTACCACTGCATTCTGAACCCTTAATCGCCGAGCACGTAAGTATGCTCCAGATGGAGAGACCTGCCCCAGGGCCCAACTGGAAGAGTTTGAGACCAGTCCCAAAGATAACTCTGACATTGAAGGAACCACGTCTCCAGATCAACTAGTCTCCAGCAGAGGAGAAAGAAGACCTCTTTTCTCCTCAAGAATCCTCCTCACTCCCAAGGAGGTCTGGTGCTTACCTACTGTCATTGCTTTGATGATGATGCTGGCTCTGGGGCTTTGTAGTCACTAGGGCACCATTTTGAAACAATGCACAATCATCTACTAAACGGAACCACTAGTGACTTGAAAGCCCCTGGGCCTTATCTTCTCTGTCACTTTTGATGATGGGTCCCCACCTATCCGGGAAAAGCTGAGGTGCAGAAAACCAAGAGGCAGGCCCATGGTTAGCTGGCAGAAGAGCAAGGCTCCCAAGTCAAAGGTAGTAAAACCGCTTCCCCAGAGTCCCCAAGAAAAAGGGCAAGTATTTTTAAGGTAGCCCAGCCCTCTGCCCCTGCCTAATACTGTGCAAGCAAAGCTCTAGCCACATGAGCATGAGCTTTCCCTCATCCAGAGACTGACTCAATAAATGAAACAAAAGCAGATTTTCTGCCTAGTCACATGGTAGCAGAACAAGATGCCTCTCACGACAAATGGCTGGTTGGGTGACTGGCTCCATCCACATTCTGGAAACGATGAGGGCAGTGCCTTCACTGCCCTGAACTTGGTCAGGATGTGTGAAGAGTGTTTCCAGGGTTGCTCTGGGAGCTACCCTGGGGAGGTCCCTTGGCTCCTCATTCAGGTCACCTAGGAACATAAGTGAAGGTGCTCACATCTAATTGGGAGCTGAAGTGTAAGATACCCAGGACCTTCCCCTTTAGTCTTTGTCAGAGAAAAGGTCAGAAAACCAGTGGCCACTATGTCTATGTGGAATCCACCATGAAGCCTTTGATAAGAATCTGTGCTTTTCAGACTTGTTCCTTTAAGATAAATGTCAATGCAGCAGCCAGTGTAGCTGCTGTAACTTCCTCCAGACTTTCCCAGCCTTAAACTAGCTGACATTAGAACTCTAGCCTCCACCTCCCACTACAATGGACTTTGCTTCCCATTCAACCAGACTGGATTGGTTCTGGGTATGGAGAACTCACACGAGCTCCATTCCCCAAAGTCATCCAAAGAGGTCAGAGTTGTAACCTCGAAACTGAAGGGTCTGCATGAAAAAGCCAGCTGCACATTCCGACAGCAGCAGAACTTTATCTACTTACCTAACCTCTCAAGGAGCTTGGCAAAGCACTTACTTCTTTGCAGATGAGACTGAGACATAGTTACAAAGTCTCAGTTTCCTCTGCAAACAGTTGTAAGTGCTTAGCAATTATAAGACAGGAGCCATGTCTTACAATGTTTGCACGGGATGACTGCAAAGCATTTGTATGGATGGCCATCTCCAATCATCCCTACCACCTTCCTGGACTTCCGCCAAGCCCTGGCACGCTTACCAACTGGGGTTGTGATTATTTCAGTTTTGTTGCTCACTCCTGTAAAATCAAACTGGAAGAGCTTCCAGGAGTTCTTCTCATTGATTTCAAGCTTGAAATTTTCCCACTTGTAGATCATCTCATTCTCAGGATAGGAAACTGGAAAGGAATGTGAGAAAGAGGGTCTTATGAGACTTGGAAGCCCACCTGAGGTCTCCAATAGCATGAAGTCAGCCTGCACAATGCCTTGGAGTCCTGTCTCTGGCCTCACCAGCTGTGGGACCTTGCCTCTCTTACCTCATTGTTGAAGTCCATTCAATGAGTGCGTTTACTGAGCATTCCTCAGTATCAGGCCCTAGGCCAGAAATACAGAGATGAGCAAGGCATGAACCCTACCCTCAAGCAATCACATTTAATTTTATAAGACAGTGAGTATACTACTGTGATTTTTGGAGGAGCTCTGAAAAACCTATGTCCACAGAACAGCGGGGAAACAAAGTAGATAAAGGTCACTTGGGGACATACTCAGAAAAGACTTCATAAAGCAGGTGATATTCCCATTAAATCTTGAAACTCAAGTAAATATTCTCAATAAGAATGAGGTTGAAGGGGTTAAGGGGCAGTATAGAAAGGTGAAACACCTGGTGTATTGTGGAAAGGACAAAAGTTCAGGATGGCTAGCTCACAGAGGATGAGGTGCACAGGATTGGGTGGCAGGGTCCAGTTCATGAATGGCCTTGAGGTTCATTCTAAGGAATTTCAAATTGATCCATGAGAGTTAACGGCAGATTCGAGACTAAGAAGTGACCCAACCTAGGTGACCCTTCAGCTAGGTCACTCTGGTCCTTCTGTGAGGACAACATGTTGTCAAGGAGGCCAGTGTAGTAATCCAGGCAGAATTAAATTAATGCAGGTGGAAGTCAAAGCTGTACAGGGTGCAGAGAAATAGACAGCATCGATAGAGACTGGGAGGAAACACCAACAGGATGTGCTGATTGATTAGATGCAGGAGGTGAGGGAGAGGGAACATCAAAGTTCTTGATTTGCGCAACTGGGTGAGTGATGGTCCTCTTCAATGAGACAGATGGGAACCCAGAAGCAACACACTTGTTTTGGTGGTAGAGGTTTGGAGGAGACAATGAATTTCATTTTGGACATGTGCAGTTTCAAAGTGAAGATGTGGCAAAAGTCCAGGTGGAAGATAACAAAGGCCTAAACCAAGGTAGTGCCAGTGGAGATGGAGAGGAGCAGACATACTTGAGATACGCTTCAGAGGCACGTGGAAGGGATGAGCAACACAGTATTGTTGGCAGGAAAGGAAATGAGGGTGGAGGATGGAAGTCCTGCACAACCTTGGCAGCATTTTAGAAGAAAAGCAGAGGCAGAAAAATGTAAATGGCAAGGATGAGAAAAAGAAGGAGCCCAGCATGTTTCTGGGGCCCCAGAAACTTAAGAAGGTACTCACAGCTAGAGAAAGATAGAGGGCAAGAGTGAGAATCCATTGGAAATCTGAGCATGTGGAGTGAGCATCCGGCATCAATGGTCATCCTGGAAGGGAGAAAGGAGCCTCATCAGGCTGGCCCTAAGCACTTCCGTATCCACCCAGCTTTGGTCTAGGGACTACCACCAATGAATGGCCAGAGTCAATTTTTTTCTTTGTTTGTTTGAGACAGAGTCTCACTCTGTCACCCAGGCTGGAGGGCAGTGGCGTGATGTCAGCTCACTGCAGCCTCTTGCCTCCCAGGCTCAAGCAATTCTCATGCCCTAGCCTCCCGAGTAGCTGGAATTAGTGCCAGCACACCCTGCTAATTTTTGCATTTTTAGTGGAGACAGGGTTTTCCCATGATGGCCAGGCTGGTCTCGAACTCCTGACCTCAAGTGATCTGCCTGCCTCAGCCTCACAAAGTGCTGGGATCACAGGCGTGAGCCACCGTGCCTGGACCTCGCTAGAATTTAAGACAAAAAGCTCAAAGGAGAGATAACAAGAGAGAAAACAAAACAAAACAAAACAAAACAAAACAAAACAAAACAAACAAACAGCTTAGAAGTATCTGGTTACTCTGGGCTCCATCATTAGAGAAACGTATGGAGCAACTTCGATCGGCTTTTGTTTTCTCGCCCAGCCTAGTTTCCAGGACCTGCCAACATCCTCCCTGCTATCCCCCACACACAACCTTCCCCTGCTGGGAATTCAAGTATCCAACTTGATCTTAGGTACCTTTGCCACTACCGTGCTGCTGCTCTGCCTGAACAATTCCACCACTGTGGACGTATCTTTGTATCGAGTGCCCACGTAGGATGGAATTGTCTAGATAATGCAGTCATACTGGCACATCCTAGTTGAGGGAGCTCTGGACTCGGAGCCAAGTAACTGAGTACCAGTTCCAGCTCTGCCACAAACTTGGTGTGTGGCTTTAAGCAATATCTTTCTATTTTGAGGCCTCTATATCTGTTACATAAGGGGGCTGAGCTCATGGTCTAGGAAAGCTGGACAGGCCCTTAGAGGTATCATTCAGGATGAGATCTCTGCCCATGGATCTTTAGCTAAAATTATCAGAAGGGGAGAGAGAATTCCAGGAAGTGAGACTCCAGAGGCTTGACATACCTAATTGTGTACAACACCTTGCCATCCTTGTAGATGCGGACCATCTGGTTGGGCATGGTGATCTCATGCTCGTGGGTCCTCTTAGAATTCCTAAAAAAGGTGTCCGGGATCCATAGCTGGCTCACCACATTGCCATTCAGAACAAGAGACTCAAAGGTGTCGTTGTAACAGAGGCGTTCGTCGTACCAGGTCTGGGAGAAGATGATGTCAATGGTGTATTCCTGGTGGGAAGGACAGAAAAGCACATACTTGGGGATGAACAGAAAAAGGACATTCACATGCAAACATATTGTTTGCCACTCCCTAACCTAGAATCCTAAAGGCAATGTGGTGGAATGCATTGAGCACTAGACCAGGAAGCAGGAGTCAGATGAGGTCCCTTCTCTCTGCTCAAAGACTCTTCCAATGTCAGAACTAGAAGGGAACTCAGAGGTTACCAAGCCTAATGATCCCAAATGAGAAGTCAGTCATGCCCTGCTTGATTACCGTGAGCAAGGGGAGCTAGGTCCTCACATCATGCAGCAGTTAACACAATTCTCACACAACTCAGGACAATAGAAAAGTTTGCCTTAAACAAAGCTCCCTACTACTTTCTCTTAGAATCCCCACTGTGCTCTCAGGTAGCACATAGAGCAAGTCTAGTTTCGGTTCCAGAGGAGAGATCTCCAGAAATGATACGTCATTGAATCTGTCTTTTTCCCACATTTCTGAAGTCAGGGTGCACCTTACAATTGACACATATCTTTAATGGGGCATTTCTTATTCTTTCTTGACAGTGGCTTAAATTGGTTACGATCTTAAATCAGAGCCAACATTGAATCAAGGAAAGGCACTTGAAGACTGGAATCTTGCCCTCCTGAGTCTTTTCTCTAGGGTAGACATTCATGACTAAAAGTTTTCAGCTTCAACAACCCAACCACTTGTTTTACCAATAGATCTGCAAGGATTGCACAGTCAACTGACAGTCTGCTCACAGGCGACTCTTTTCACCAAAGTGTGATAGTACTTGTTAGTACTTGGTCCATAGCACTACTACTCACTTTGTGCTGTGTTTATCCTACAAGGTCAACCACACATTTGAAAATGATTCCACACTTTGGGAAAGTGTTGCCCAACAGAATGGCAAATGTGACTATGGTCCATGCAGATCTTACTGACATGGAGCAAATTGAAAGACACTACTGGATAAAACTGAAATCTAGAGCACCTTCCTGGTCACACCATAGTCAAGACTACTGGATTAATGCAGCTGAATTAAGGAAGCCTATGATCACTAGGTATACATGATCAACATGAACACAACAATGGGATAGGTGAGATTTGGTGATCTTTAAAGGTACTGTTAGCTCTGACGTTATAGATTCTGAGGATTTTCATTAGCACATGTTTCAGGTTTGTGTGTCACCACAACTATCCAGTTGTTTTTATGTTTCCTTATAAGTGAGAATAAGAGAACATTTCACTTAGGCAAACGATAAGACAACATAGGACTTGATCACTAAAAATGACATGTCTGTACACTACGCCCACACGTGGAAATATAAACATGGAATTATGTCAAAATAAAAAAAGATTAGAAAATATCCAGAAGACACTGACTGACACTACAGAAAACTGAATGCGCCCTACAAATAAATGATTTCAAGGTAATGTGGAGGCAAGGAGAACTGTTAGACTCTAGTGACAATTAGTCTCACTTTTTTTTTTCTGTAGAATTGTTTCCATTTATAATCAAAGTCTTAAATAAATGTTCTTGTGACCTTGGCTAAAACTCGTATCTTTCTCTGTTATCCTCTTTGTTAAATGGGAGACTATAAATAATTTGTAAGTGCCCTCCTCCTCAAAACAACTGCCCTGTTTCCAGAGCTGACATTGACACCCTCCCTTTACCAGTGGGCAAAGGTTCCATGCTATTCTGTGATGGGCTTATCAAGTAGATGGACCCTTTGGAATCCACTTAGGTTTGTACAGAGGAAGGTGGCATGAGTTTGGCTGTAGGAGTTTTCTATTTCCAGGTGTTCCAAAATAAAATATAATTCCCAACTAGATCACAGTCTCAGAGGATACATTTCATCTAGAAACAGACAGGCGATGGTGGCTTAATTCCATGGGCTGGGCTCTTCATCTTATTGCTCCTGTGTAGGCTGTGATGCTACTCCAGCCAGGTCAACACCCTCTCAGTCCCCACATTTCCATAGTAAATCAAAGATCCCAGCTCAAAATTGTTTTAAAAATTTACAAGCACACACACCATTGATTGCATACAGTGGAGTTTCCCCTTTCAGCTTTTATTTGGGGAGCACCAGTGTTAATTAACCCCAATCCTTCATTCTCCAGAATTATAATAAAAATGAAGTGTTTTGGAGGCCAGGCGCCATGACTCAAGCATGTAGTCCCGGCACTTTGGGAGGCACATGTTTAAGGTTTGTGTGTCACCACAACTATCCAGTTGTTTTTATGCTTCCTTAAAACCTTCTGGGAGGTTTTACAGCCTTCTGGGAGGGCGGATCACGAAGTCAGGAGTTGAAGACCAGCCTGGCCAACGTGGTGAAACCCCATCTCTACTAAAAATACAAAAATTAGCCATGCATGGTGGCAGGCATCTGTAATCCCAGCTACTCAGGAGGCTGAGGCAGGAGAATGGCTCGAACACGGGAGGCGGAGGTTGACGTGAGCAAAGATCGTGCCACTCCACTCCAGCCTGGGTGATGGAGCGAGACTCCATCTCAGGGGAGCTGGGGGGGAAAGGAGTGTTTTGAGTCACAAGAGAAACCTCTATTTAGTCTCATGTTTTTTAAACAAGGAGAATCTTTTTTTATTTTGCTTATTTTGTTTTTCCTTTCAAATAAGCACCTGTAACCTCTGAATGTGTGTGTTCGTGTGCATAGATATATCCGTGATTATTTGGTCTCCAGATATTGTCTGTCCCATAAAATGTCTGTTAAACATCAACAATGATATTGAATAGGAAGAAGCTAGAAATGTGCACCACTGGTGGTGAAGGGAGAAAAAAACCCTACTGCAATAGAACTCCAAGCAGCTCGAACAGCAAGTACCACAAGCAGGCCAAGGCAGAACTCTGAGTTATTTTAGAGATAAGGAAACTAAGGCTTTATGAGAAAGGGGGCTATCCAAAGTCACACAAATAGTCAATGGCAGCCTGGCCCTGGGATGGCTTTCACTTGCACCAACAATCTCTTTAGGTACCAAGGTCCAATTTTCTCTGCAGAATCCCTAGGTCTTTCCGCTGACTTCTTGTGCATCAAACAATGAATACCCACAACCATGGAGGCGGGCACAGCCCTCGGGGAAGAAATCAAGAAAATCCCTGATTGCCTTTGCTGGCCAGGACAAAAGATTGTAAAAGCAGCCACCAAACTGCTGGGGGCCAGCCATGGAAGGGAAGACTGAGAATGTTCCCTGGAGTAGGCCAGAGAAGCAGACAGAAAAGAGCTGGCAGAGCCTGGCTCCCATTTGAATGAGAGCCTCTGACCCCGACCTGCCCCACCTGCCTCCACAAATGTCTTCCAAGTGTTTCTACTGTCCCAAGTGGCTGGCAGTCTAAACTTGGCCAGCAGAGCCTCCTTCATTCCCAGGCCTCGTGAACTGCTTGGTAGCCAGTGGGAAGCCTTGCCCTCTGCACTCACACTGTGTTTATGCTCTATGTTATGAAGTGTTTCAAATAAGCATTTAATTTCTATTCGACAACTGTAAGTTCATTACATATCAACCGATAACTAACAGTTCACTTTTTCCCCAGTTTGACAAAGGAGCTTGCGATGTACATCCCTTTTAGCTCAGCCGAAACTCTAGAAATTCAGTGTTTTGGAACTAGAATCAACTGCGATAATTACCACAGCAAGAAAAAGCGTTAGCAACTATCGATGCTATGATGGGCAGCGATTCCCAGATTGTTCATTGCCTTTTAATCTCAGACTGGGTGTTACACAACTGTGCACTCAGGTTTCCTTCCCGGAGGACAAGGCCTGCTTTCTAAACAACATCTGACTGAAAGGTGTTGAAACTCCCCTCAAGCAACTACACCAACTATGTACCCAATGCTGGGACTCACATTTCTGAGAAGTCTCAGCTTCCTCAAATGTAAAACAGGGATCCATATCCTAACGGCAGCTTTGGCTTCCATGCAGGCTGTCATGAGGATCCAAGGAGACAAGAATGTACTGGGTACTGGTATGTTCTGTGACTATGTGGCAGAGACGTGTGTCCCCTCCTTACCAAGTACACCACAGAACAGGGACCTCCCACAGCTTTAAAGAACTATTTGGAACCATGTAGAAGGCAAGGCATTTCAGGAAAATTTAACACCACATGTGAGGGTTTGGAATTTTCAAAAGACACTTGGCTCAGGCTAAAGTGCCACCTTACTGGCCAAAGAAAATAAAGTTGCTGTCTCTTTTCTGAACCAGTCCTGTGTTCCATGCTAGGTTTGGTGACTGCTGGGTTATTAGACTATATCCTTCAAGCATTGTCAGGTGAGGCCACTGCTGGCAGCATGAATAGCCATGGAGCAAGGAGAGACAGCGCATTCAGCTACTGTGAGTGGGGCTACTGCTCTGCTACAAGGGCTCTTGTAGATAGAAATTGGCTTCCCAAACAGCAAGGAGATTTTAGTCACAAATTCTCCACTACTCTTCAGTTTTACAGGATGCTCTGTCTCACCCAGAAAGCAAACCGAAGCATCTTGGCGCCCCCTGCTCCATTTGTCAGTGTGTGGTTCTCTCCACTCCACCTAAGGAAATTTAGCCACCACCAAATGGGTGGAGATTGACATGCTAGAAAAGAAGGGGCAAACCAGCTTGTGGAAATTAGACCGGTTACTTCCAAATCAGGTTGGCAGTGCCTTAGTCAGCCAAAGGAGCAGAGAACTAGAAGAAAGGAACAAATAAATAGCTATGCAAATTTCTGGGAGCCATGAGGTTACTGTGGACTGAGCACTACATTTGGCTTTTGGCATGCTGAAGAGGATAGGCAGAGACTGCTGTAGGAGGCTCTCTGCCCAGCTAGAATAGCATCGTGAGCCACTTTCCCCACTCCTACACCAATGACCTGAAAGGGTCAACAGTGACAACAATGGTGGGACCACAAGCCCTCAACCTCTGGTTCTTGCACAGAACTTAGTGCTTCTTAGTTTATAAACAATGCTAGCAAAATTAATTGCTAAATTCATACCCATTTTTAAAAGGTAAATTGCAAGACTAAAAGGAGACTACAATTCTCATAGTGGTAAACGCACTGGTAGCAGCAAAAAGTAAATCTGATTATCAAGGGAAGAGTCAAGAAAACCCCACCAATTTTAAAATGTAGACAGAAACTCAAAAACATCTATCTGCTCTCATGCTTCTGTTCTTGTTAGTTCTCAGCAACTCAATTCTAGGAGTTGCTCTAACAGAAGAACATCATGACCATGTGTAGCCGGCAGACTCTTGAGATGTCCTCCAGTGCTCTTCACTTCCTGGTGTTTGTGCCCTTCTGTAATCCCTTGACAGGGATTACACTTGACTTGGGATGGACCTCATGATTTGCATCTGATGAGGAGAATACCACAGAAGCAATGGGATGTCACTCCTAAAATTAGATTATAAAAAGTCCGTGATTTCCATCTTGAGCACCTTCTCTCATACTCTTCCTCACTCTGAAAGAAGCCAGCTACCATATTGTGAGCTACCCTGTGGATAGGTGCACATGGCAAGGATGGAGGGAGACCTCCAGACCACAGCCAGAGAGGACCAGAATCCTGCCAATCCTGTGAGTGGTCTTGGAAATGGATCCCCCCTCAGTTGAGCCTTCAGATGAGACTCCAGCCCCAGCTGACACCTTGATTACAGGCTTGTGAGAGACCCTGAAACAGAGAACCCAGCTAAGCCATGCCTGGATTCCTGACCCACACGAACTGTGAGATAATGATTATTTGTTGTTTTAAGACACTATGTTTTGGGGATAATTTGTTACATAGTAATGCATAGGTAGTGTGCCTGAAGAATCAGGCAGCCAAAGCCTCATGGTTTGGGAGTGGGGAACCTTGCTTTTCCACTTAGCCTATGCGAACACCTTGATTTTCCATGAAGGTTAACTTAGCATTGAGGGTCTATTTGCAAGGCCCATCTCAGAGCCAAGGCTCTAACTCACCCAGTCACATGGCACTTTTTGAGTACCTGTGAGTATGCCAAAATTTTGTTTGCCCCGGGCCAAGCCATGTCTGTGGCTGTGACGGAGTTGCTTACCAAAGCCTTCCTCAGTGTCAGGCTCTGCAGATGCAAGTGATTCTTGCAGAGCATCATTCATCACTCATTTGCTTAGCTAACATATATGGAGCCCTTGACATCAAGGAGTTCATGGAGAAGACAGCAAGGCCGACATACCACAGATAATTACAATGAAATGATGTAGGCAAGATCAGGTAAACACCTGTGATATAAGCTGGAAAGATGTAACTGCCGAAGAGAAGAATGTGGTATGAGAAAGAAAGGAGCAATTAACAGGTGTGGAGGTCAGGGGAGATGCCATGAATGAGATGCTGTCTGAGCTAGATACTGAAAAAGAAGGCAGCTGACAAGTAAGAAAGTGGAACAATGGCATACCAAATAGAAGATCACTTGAATGAAAGCTCAGAGGTACAAGGTGGTCTGGGAACACCAATATTCTAGTGTGACCAAAGCACGTGGTCTCTAAAAGGGTGAAGAGGAATACAACCATGGAGGGCCTTCAACTGCATGTAGTAAGCAGTGCTGGGACTGCAGGAGGTGCATCACTTGGGAGGCCAACTTAGTAGGTGGAGTAGGTGTATTCTAGGTGGGAGATGATGAAAGCCAAATGGGGGCAGTGCTGACACTATGATGATACGAGTGGAAAAGGAAAGAAGGAAGTAGAGCAAAAATATAGAACAGTCTTAGAGCAAGAGCTAGTAACTTTAGACTTATGTCCATACAATAATTATCAGAAGAAAAGAGGCAGTCCATTGTGGTGTTTAACATTGCTTTATTATTTCTATTTTGAATGAAAAAACTGGAAGATATGGTCATGATTCTGAAGATCCTCTTCAAGTAGCAAGGGACTTACCTTTTCCAGTCTCATTCTCAAACCAGTGGTTAAAAAATCCCTTTCTCCCTCCAGAAAATAAATTATTGGAGTTGTTACAGAAGTACAGAGCAGAAAGCAGAAGTCTGTGGAAGGTCCCATAGGTCAGCCCCTGGGCTAGGAAATAGTACTAAAAAAGCTTAGTACTCACCATGTCTAGGATAGAGAGAGGACCAAGGCTGTTGACGGAGATCTCAACAGTGACCACAGTGGGCTTCTCTATAAGGGAAGCAGAAGCAGCAGAGGGTAAGTGTCAAACAGGCGCATGGGACGGGGGAGGAAGTGGTCAGAGGGGATGAAAGGGGAGTCAAGTAAGTGTTGGACCACACAGTTTCAGCATCTAATCCTATTTCTTTATTTATTCTTTCATGGCAAAACCAAGCTCACGGACTGTTAAGAATTGGACACACATCTTGAAGATCAACAATCTAGTTTAGTCCTCTCATTTTACCACTGGAAAAACTGAGGGCGAGAGAAGGGAAAAGTCTTGATCAAGGTCAATGACACTGCTGAGAATAGAGTTAATATCTCTTACCTGACAGGTCAATAGCAGATGTTCCTGTCCATGAGCATGGCACCCTCTGTTACTGCCCAGGTGCATTCTCCATGCCTATGCCCTCAACCCCTGGACCCTCTAGGAGGGGAAGAACGTCGTTCTGCTCCTCACCTCCAATGCCAGGGCGCAGTTTGTGGTCATAATTACTCAGGATAGTGTTCAGGATGCGAGAGGCTTCTGGCAGTTTGCCAACTCTGCTCCCAGTCTCAGTCTCAGTTGACTTTGTTTCCTCAGAGAGGAGCTGATTTTCCAGAGGCTGGGGCTGGGGGCCATAGACAACATCACGGGAAGAGGCTTCATTCTTTGATTCAGTCTGAGGTCCCTCGACCCTAGAACATTCAAACGAAAAATGAAGCTCTGCCCTGCACTCTGTAGGGGCCCCAGCTAGTGCCTCTTGGGACAGAAGCAAACCAAAACAAGTTTTCAACACAAAACCTAGTTAAATTGTGACTGGTAATAGCAAATTATAAGACAGTGACAGATTAGGCTTGTGAATTTCTTTTAAACCTTGCTGCTCTTTGGGGACTTTCTATGCTGTCCCTCTTTTATGATCACTCTTTTATTTAAGAAAAAATCAACAAAACCAAGACCTAGATTTTAAAAGAATGTTACACGTGAAATGAAGAGGGCATTTATGTCTGAGCGCTGGCCCACTGTGACTAGCCTTGGCCTCTAGTCAGCCTGACCAGCACCAACCAGGAGTGAGGAGCAGGCAGAGGGCCAGGGCTGAGAGGAATGCTTGCGAAAGCCAGAGCGGCCTCTCCCAGAGAGGACCAGAAAATTGTGGGAATATTTTGCGGTTTTGTTGGTTGTGTAATACTCGTTGCACTGGGGGCAGGGGAAGGGGATGAAGGGAAGGAGGCTAAAGAGCAGCCTTTGTGGGTGTCTAAACAGGAAAGGCAGGAGTCCTCCACCCACAGACAGCCATCCAGGAACTGGCTGCCCAACAGGAGTCCACCCTGAGCTCCACAGCCATGCACCACAGCCAAGAAAAAGAAGAAGATTAGTAAGAATAATTGAATTAAACAAAAATGTTAAAGGCCATCTGCCAAGGTATGAAACTCACCGATGGTGTTAGAAGTCCGGATAGTGCTGCCTTTGCTGGGAGGCAGTGACAAAGGGGGCTTCTGAGGTCCTGCTCACATTCGGGTCCTTGATTTGGCTTTCTTTACACCGCTGTGGTCATATTCTGACAACTCATCAGCTGTACACTTATGATTTGAGCACTTCTCTGTATACATGTTCTAATTCCATAAAAAGTGTTTTTAAAAATCAAAATGCCCCACTTGCTAATATCTGGATCTTATTTTATTTAAAAGCAAACTCTTGAAAAACAAACAGAAATCATTTATGACACAATAGGAGAGATTTGAACACTGAGTGGACAGTTGAGACATGAATAAATTATTCTTTAATTTTTGGTGTAATTATGGTATTTTCTTATGTTTGTGAAATATTAATGACTAGAAATACATACTAAAACAATTACATATAAAATGATATGATGTCTGAGATATGCTTCAAGACAATCTAAGTTGGAATTGGAGGGTGGGTGGTGTAAAAGAAAATAAGAGTGGCCATGAGTTCACAAACAATGGGGGTGCACTGTTCCCCCTACCTTTATATGTCTTTAAAAAATTATAATTAAAAGTCTTTTTAAAAGCCATCGTCCCATATTAATCTGTGATACTGGAAGGCAGGAGAGTGGTTTCCTTTGGGGAGGAAAGTGTACGGGGACAGGCATTTTGGAGATGCATGCGTGTGTGTGTGTGTGTGTGTGTGTGTGTGTGTGTCTGTGTGTGTGTGTGTGTGTGTGTGTGTGTGTGTGTGTGTGTGTGTGGTGAGGGGGTTGCAATGCTGTATTTCCTGATCTAGGTGTTGGTTACACGGGCCTGTTTACTTGTGAAAAGCCACTGAGCTGTTCACTCATGATGTCTATGCTTTTCTACTGGCACGTCACACTTCCAAAAGGATTTTTTTAAGCCATAAGGCAATTTGTTTCCTAAAATAAGGGGTAAACAGGGCAAGAGACGTTGGCATGACCCCTGTATTGCGGACCAAGGGACTGCCAACTTAAGAAGCAAAATGCATTTTTTCTGCAGTATTTCAAGCTGTTAGAATTGCTTAAGTGGCATACAGATGTGCCAAATCCACACCATTTCTCATGTCTGAAGTGGCTACTTCCCATTGTGGGCGAGGGAAGAACTGGGCTTGGAAAATACAGTTTCTACTTTCAAATGCCATATCTAGAAGATGTCCTCTTTCCCTGAGGCCAAACTCCCAGCCATCTCAAAAGATAAGGGCCAGTGACTATGGGAAGAGAGGAGGAAAAATGGAGCCCTGAGACCCTGTAAAATGAGTGATGTGGCTGGAAACGTGGCACAATCAGAACTGGCAGTCAGTGGTAGACTGAGCACTGCCAGACAGGACCACCTAAACGCCTGAAGCAGCCCCTCCCAGATGTCTGAAATCCATGGACGAGATCCTCCCCGCTGCCCCAAGTTTAAAAGTGCAGAGGCAAACAAATAAACCTGAAAGCACTGAGACCACCAAAGCCCTCCTGCCCCTAGACTAGGTCTGCAATAAAAATGATATCAGAGGGTCATAAGGTGGCTTTAATCCTAAAATTGGCTTTTGCCAGTTAAAAAAAAAAAACACAACAATAAACAAACAAAACAAAACCTCATCTTGAGGTCCTTGGGGTTAAAGAGCTGCTGACAATGCATACCTTTCCCCAGCCAGCCATTAAGCTCACTTTCGGGGCTAGACAGAATAAAAACTTGAAAAACACTCACACATTGGAATAGTGGCATTTTCCAGGGCAGTTTTTCAGACATTCACATGTCTCTAGACATAATGGTCCAGCATGAAGTTGAATCTCTGCACTACCCCCTCCCAAACAGTCGACTGTTGGTGGTGTGAGAAGTGGGGGGGGGAGGGGCGCATAAGAAAAGATGTTGGATTTTTTTCTAAATCAGATCTTTTTTTTCATTCTACAGATGGACAAACTGAGGCCCAGATAGAGGAAGGACTGTGCCCCAAGTCACACAACTAATTTGAGGCTAAGCCTGGACCAGGGAGAGGTCTTCTGGTTCAGTGTGGCCCAGTACACCCCATTGTCACCTCCTCAGCTCTTTCCTGACACCACAGGTTGCTATGCTTGAAGGGCAGTTTCCATTTCCCCAGTCCCTTTTCCCTGCTGTTTTCCTCTCTGACCACCCCTTCTTATTTCCCCCACCCCAGAGCCATCTTTTGCCCTAGCCAGTCACCACGTCAGCTTTCTCAACTAGTCCACATCCCATTTTGAGGGATGTGGATGACTGGAAATTGCTAGCACGCATAGAAAGACATTTATCAAGCTCCTGCTGAGGCTAGCCCCACTCCAGGGCACCAGTGAGCCAGCAAGCAGCTACACATCCCCTTCTCTGATGAGCTAACGCAATCTGGGGTAGGGAGAGAAGCCACCCTCCCTCCCCAGAACAGACAAACAAGACACAAGCCCAGTGCCATGGAATCTTCGAGAAAGCTCCACAGATCAGGAAGCTTGCAAATTTGTGACACTTCACACACAGCAGGAACCATCTCAAAACAACAACAACAAAACGAAGCAGTCATCTTCCACCCCAAAAAGCCACAAATCCAGGGCACGACCCTCCTAGCCAAGTCTCAGGGCGAGGAGAAGGTGTGAGGGAAGATGGTTGTTCAAGGGAAACCTGAAAGGGGAGAAGGGGATTGAAATCTACGGCCCAAACCACAGACTTCAGAGGAGAATAATATTCCTGGCCTCTGGCTCCAGTCTGCCCAAGGCCCAGCAGGGTGTCTAGGGATGAGTTAAGGAAGTGGGAGGCTGTCAGCGGTGGAGAGGGGGCATAGCTGGTGCGGGAACCCTTAGACTAAACCAAAGCTCGTGCCTGAGACTGGCACCAACAGGAGCAGCGGCATGGGAAGCAAGTAATGTCAGAGTTGCCTGGCGCAGTGCCTGGAACTCAGTAGGCACTCTTAAAAAAAATGTGAGCAGCAGAGAACACACGAGGCAACACTCACACATTTTTGGCGCAGCTAAGCTCCCTCAGCCCGCGCACCCCCTTCTCAAAATGCACCTCCGGCCCCCCCAGTAGCTGAAGCCTGCCCTGGCCGGTCACCCCGGGGCCGCTCCCCTGTTCCTGCGCAAGACTCCGAGGAGTGCTTGTCACCAGGCCACCGCAGTGCTTCTGAGAGCGGGAATCCGCGAACTGGAGTCCCGTCTTCCTTCTGGCGTCCTGTCTTCCTTTTGGAGCTCCCCCTCAAGGACCCCGGGAGCCCATCCTACAGTGAGGCGGGCCGAGGCCGGCGCGCATCGAGGGGACGCGGGACTCGGCCAGCCCGCGGTAGGGCCGGGGCAAAGCGGGCGCGGGGCTCGAGGAACGCGGGGCCGCTGGGGTCCCGGGAGCCGTCCCGGCTCCCGGGGAGAGGGAGCTGGGCGCGAAGGGCTCCCGGGTCCCGGGATGGAGACTCACCTCGACTGGAGGATCAATAAGATGCCTAGGAGGACTGGAAGAACTTTGGACAACATTTCCGCGGAGACCGGCGCGACCACCTGCGCGGAGGTCGCGGCTCACGCTCTGGCCGCACTGAGCGCGGGGCGGAGGCTTTTGCTGGGCTCCAACTTTCACTCCTCCCACTCGCCCCGCCCCGTCCCGCGCTCCCCGCCCCAGGCCCGCCCCGATGGAAATCTCCGACGACGTGACGGCTGCTGCGGTGGGGAGCCGGGGAGGCTCGCGCGGGCGCGGGAAGGAGGCGGGAGCCCGGTTGCTGAGGCCCCCCGTCCCCACGCCGCCACTGCGGCGCTGCCAGACAGCCAGGGGCGGGGGAGGCGGAGGGAGGAGGCGGCGAGCCCGCGGCGCGGGGCCTGGGCGGGGGAAACTCGCGCCCCAGGCTGTGGCCGGCAGGGAGCTGCTTCAGGGACAAGATGTGGGGCTGGATGTGCTCACGCCCCAGAGGCGACCCCCTCCTGCCCGCTGGCACGCCGCGGGGTCAAACTGTGCTCTCCAGCCGTGGCTTCCTCCCCGCCACCTGTTGCACCCCATTGCTTCCCCAAGTGTCCTGGCTTCAACCTCCCTCTCTGGTTTTCCCAGCTCTCAGCCCACAATCTTCAGTCCTTCGGAATACAAGTCTTGTCGTATGAAGGAAGCCGGGTAACTCAGCACCTTCCTTGGCACCGAGAAGAAGAGAGACAGGGGTCTCCCCAGCAAGCTCTGATGTGAGGTATTCCACAGGGCAAATTCCCAGGTATTTGGGGGCAGGGAGGACCCGCCAACAGAGGACCAGGCGGAGACATTCACTGGAGAATTTTCTCTGAACCCCAAGGGGGCACTGCCACAATGTGGCTCCCGCTTTGGCCCCAGAAGCTGAGTGTGAGAGGGACCAACTGGAATAGAGGAGGCTTTGGAAACCTCCTTGAGACTGGATGGCCGAATCTTTCTGGAGACTTGGCACCAGGTGATAGCAGAAGAAGACACGAGAAGGCACAGAGGGGGAAGGGGAAGGGGCAGTGCCCCACTTCAGGGGAGACACGTCAAGAGTCTCAAGCATACTTGGACTTCATCTTCTTTCCCTAGACCCTTCTGATTTGCTTCAGAAGGAGAAGGAATGGCAAAGATTTGTGTACCAAGCTGATGCCAGACGCTGGCAGCATCCTCACCTGTTGCTCCAGAAGGGGCTGTGTGCATCCTTGAAGAGGCTTAGCTCTACCACACTCACCTACAACACCCTCTTCACCACCCCACCTCCCAAGCACATCACTCTGCTTTGTCCTCTTCACAACACTGCTCACTCATTGATGATTATCTTGGGCATTTTTTATGAGCTTGTTTACAGTGGGTCTCTCCTACTGAAGTAAGCTCAGGGACAAACACACACATGCATACACACAAAATGTGTCTGTTGGGGTCTCCACTGTATCCCTAAGACTTAGCAGAGCTCTGGGTACACAATAGGCACTCAACCAAATGTGTCACTGATTTGTGTGCAGCTGTGTGTGTCCTACTACCACTGAGTTAGTCCACTAGGACCTGGGGCTGCCTTCAGACTACGGTGCAAGACAGAAGAGACTGCAGGACATGTTTAGGCTTGCACAGCCCCTCACCCCCGCCCCCCGACACACACCGGGAAGAGCCCCATACTTTCTTTCATGCTTTGCTGCTGAAATTTTTAATAATTTTTGAACAAGTGGACCTGCATTTTTCTTTTTTCCTGGGCCCTGCAAATTATATAGCCAGTTTTGCCCTGGGCAGAAATGCCGCAGAGCAGGGAACAGGCAAACACGCGGCTTTGCTGAGGCCATGAGGAAGAGAAGGCTGCCAGTCCATCCGCCTGCCGTCCTGTCCAACACCAGACTGCTATGGAAAGGAGCATGTCTGCCCTTACTGTAGCCAGCCTGGGATTTGAAGTGTCCTGTATGCATGTCTCTTCCTCCACTGACATTGGACCTCCGGGAAATGAAGGTTTGTCTGATTTACCTGTATTCCCCTGGGTTGAGCACAGTGACCAATGACCAGTAGGCATTAATTACGTTTGCTGAATGAGCGACTGAATCCCAGGCAGACAAAGGAAGCAAGTGATTACAGCTCCCTCATCAGAGATTCCCAGGCACTTTTCTCTTACAGGTTGATATTAATCATACTTTGCCATCTTCCTTATAAACCTCATCGAAGGGATAGCTCATCCACAGGATAGCTGTGAGGATTTGTGGAGGCTACAGAATGTTATTATTATTTTGTAGTTTTTCAAGTATTTGCCACATGCTTGTCTAGGTCAGGCCATCGACTTTATGATAGAGGAATATATGGCAAGGACTCAGATGATGTCCTGGCCCTTACATATGTTTTTCAAGAGAGGAGTGGGAACTTGTGGTAAAATTAGTAAAAAATTACTATTTTTTCAAAAATTACTAACACAAGGTACAAAGTCATGAGGGCCCCAGAGTTCCCAGGAAAACACTTATGTGATCTCTAGCCTCTCAAAGCAAGAAAAGGGTATTATAGGCAGCAGAGGTGCAGAGATGGACATTCCAAATTGAGAGCCAGCCAGGGTGTTGAAACCAGCTATGTGTGGTGTTTGACAGAGAACAAGGAGGAGATTGCCTGAGGCATTTGTGAAGAGAAATTTTTGGAGATAAAGCTGGAGTGGGAGGCTGGCCAGGCAATTGCACTTTATCCTGTGGGCAACAGGGGAGTTGCAGACGAGTACCAAAAGGGTACATTGTACGTCCAAACGTTGTTTCCAAAGATCCCTCTGGTGGGGGTAGGCGGGAGAGTTTGCGGGATGGAGAGCTGGAGCCTCTTTTCTCCCAGTGAACAGGATCAGAGCCACAGGGATGGCCAGAAGAGGAGCCGCAGGAGGGAGCAACATCTAAGATGTACAACTGACAGATGGAGTTGGGGAGGAGGCAAAGGAGGGAGGTTTGTTGGAAAAGGCTCACAGGGTCTTCCCGGGTGACCAGGGTGGCAGAACAGAATAATGAAGGCAGGAGGAGGAGAAAGAGCTTTTAGTCACAGCCATGATAGCAGCTCCCTGCATTTTGCATTTCACTTTTTAAAGTTCCATTAGAAATAAACATTCTCATTTAGTGTCTAGGTACGTGTGTGTGTGTGTGTGTGCGTGTGTGTGTGTGCATGTGTGTGGGTGCACACCCCTCTCCCTGGCTGTTTGTACTTCAGATGTGCTTCTCTTCAACTAGATATTCAAGCTGAATATAAACAAAACTGTTAATACAGCAGCTGTGTTTTCATAACTAAACCAAACTACCCATTGATTGGAATAGCAGTGAGCAACCCCCTTGTCAGTTGTGAATTATCAAATTAAATAACCAACAGCAAACCACCATGTGACCTACTATATATGTGATTTAGGGACAAAACCAGAGTTGCTGGTCATAAAGTCTGTGTGTTCATGCCCTAGCATGGCCTAAACTGTAGCACATGCACACATGCTTTTCTTATTAGCTCAAGGAAAAAATACCAGCCCAGACAAATCTTACATGGCTCTTAGCTTGTTAAGTACCTGGGCTTGCAGCAAGACCGAGATGCCAGGGACACTGGGGAAAGCACCTAGAGAAAGAACTATGTACAGGGCTAAGCCAAGTGCAGAAGTGGATGAAGGAGCAAGCAGGGGACAACCAGGCTTCAAAGCAGATAGACTAACAATGGAGGCAGAGGCAGTACAGGGTAGTGACCAGACCTCTGTGCTCCACTGCACACAGGGCACAGGTTGAATTTCAGATCATCCCCTAACTACTGGCTAAATGACTAGGAGCAAGTTCCTTAAAGCCCCTGAACCTCACATTACTCACTTGTCAAATGGAAATTATAATACTTCCCACCTCACGTGGCACCTGTGATGATTCAATGGCAAAGACCAGGTAAAGCAGTTAGCACCATGTCTGGCACATGGTCAGTACTCAACAAAGCTTACCTGCCATTCTCAACATTACTATTATTAGCTAATAACTGATAAATGACAGCGCAGGCACACCTGGTATCCTTGAGGTCTTGAGTAACACCAGGAAGTATCTGGCCAAAGAGCAAGACCTCAGCCCTAGACATACACTGCAGAGCAAGGGCTCATGTCCCAAGGCGGTTGAAATGCTGTGGACAAAACAGGATTCCAGACCTCAGGAAACTGGACCACTGTGAGCACTGCAGGCTGGTGGCACCAGGCTATAAGGGAGGAGAGAGGCATGACTGGGGATGGAGATTGCCTGGCACATGGGTGGCATTCAAGACCATGGAACTGGATGCAGTCACCCAGGGAGAGATAAACAGGCTTAAGCTTGAGTCCTGAGAGGGGTGTCAGAGAAGCCAACACAAGGGAGGGCATTTCTTGTAGGCTGGTGGTTTTAATCATGTGCTAATAAGTCAAGGACTGAATGGTGTCCAGTGGATGACTCAACAAGGAGGTTATTGGTAAGCTTCGGGCAGGGGCTGATCCTCAACACAGAGTTGAGGGGGGGTGTGAGATGGACAGGTAAGAGAAAAGAGCGTATGACTGTAGACAGCTTGCTTGAGAAGTGGCTCGAAAGCAGTGAGAACTGTGACTGTCTCCCACACCAAATACAGGGAGAGAGGCTTAGTGCAGGGGCCATGTCTGATTCTGCTCTGGGCTAGAGGGTTTTAGAGAAGGAGAGGAAGAGATTTAAGGAGAATTCCCATAATGCTGGCAAATGATGTTGGTTGAGAATATTGAGATCTGGAAAGTGTCTGCTCTGAGGGGTGAATGTGTGAGGAGGATGTGAAATCAGCAGGTATAGACAACTCCTCAGGAAGCTCAACATGAAGGAAGACACAGCTAGAGGGAGGCAAATATTTGAAGCATTTTGATTTTTGTGTTTTACAGATGCATGAGACAGAAACATGTTTATAGGCTGAGAGGGAGAAGCCAATTGAAGGGGAGAGGGTGGAAAGCCTTCATGAAGCAGGTGTGTATGGTCAGAGCCCAGTGGGGAGAATTGGCTGCTAGTGGAGGATGAATGCTTCTTCCTCAGAGGAGGGAAGGACAGAAGGAGAGGAGAGGACACAAACAGACTCATTCATTCATTCAACTAATATATGTTACTATGTGCCAGGTACTAGCCTAGGTGCTAAAGATCATAGTGATGAGAAAAGCAAATTGAAAGCCTTGTTCTTGTGAGGCATACATCCCAGAGAAATGAGACAGACCTCAAATAATAAATATAAGGAACAGACAAGTTACTTATATTTATACAGCACATTAGAAGGTAATAAATGGTTTGGAGAAAAATAAGCAGAATCTGATAAGTAGGATTCGGAGTGCTATGGGGGGATAATTTTAAATAGGGTGCTCAGGCAGAGCATCACTGAGAAGGTGATGTTTGGGGAAAGAGTGTTCTAGTAAGAATCAAGAAAAAGTGAAAATTATTAACATGTTCCAGGCCCAACAAGAAAGTCAGTGTGGCTGGAATAGAGTGAAGAAAGAGGAAGTAGCAGGAGATGAGGTTAGAGAGAAAACAAGATTGAGCTGGAAAATCATGGAGTGTCATGTAGCCATTGGAAGAAGTTAACTTTTCTTCTGATTGAAAGTGGGAGTCACTGGGAGAGTTATGAGAAGAGGAGTGACACAATTTGAATTACTTTTTTAAAGGACCACTTCCCTTAGAATAAATTGATGATGGTGAAGATAAAAACAGAGGGGCTAATTAAGGGGCAACTGCAGCAATTGCAAAAGAGATGATGGTCACAGTGGAGATAGTGAGAGGTATTCAGACTTTGGCTCTATTTTGAAAATGGAGTCAATAAGATTTCCTGCCAAATTATATGAAGTGTGAAAGAAAGAGAGACGTCAAGGATGGCTCCAGAATGGTAGAACTACCAACAGCTGAAATGGGGAAGGCTATGGATAGAACAGGTTTTTGTTTGTTTGCTTGTTTGTTTGTTTGTTTGTTTTTTCTGCTGTTTTGTTTTGTGGGAGTTTGGTTTTCCTGGAGTTTTGGTTGGTTTTGTTGGAAGATAGGTCAGAAGTTCAGTTTTCCACATGGTGATTTGAGGTGTCTATTAGACTTCCAAATTCAGGTGTGATCTTGAGTCTGAAATGTGGGTGGGAGAAAAGTGTAGCCTGGATATATACATTTGGGAATCATCAGTATAGAGATGGCACTTAAGGCCATGAAACTGAATGAGATGAACATGAGAGTGCATGTAGCTGGAGAAGGGGAGTGAGACAACGACTGAGCCCTGAGGTGAAGAGGATGGGAAGAAGAGAAGGAGCCAGGGAACAAGACTGAGAAATGTGACCAGTGAGGTAGGAAGAGGAAAACATCTCTTGATGTTTCACTCAGGAGAGTGAAACATCCTGCAAGTCAAGGAGAGAGAGATCAACTGTCAAATGATGCCGGCAGGTCCAGGGGAGTAAGACTAAGAATTGACCACTGGGGCTAGCAACATATAAGTCATTAGTGCCCTTGAGAAGAAAAATTTCTATGGTGTGTGCGTGTGTGTGTGCGTGTTGGGAAGGGTGGGTAGGAGAGGTAAAAGACTGCTCAAGTGGGTTCACAAAAGACTAGGAATTAGAGATAATGAGCTTAGAAACCTCCTTGGAAGAGTTTTGTTGCAGAAGGCAGCAGCAAAATAGGGCAGTTGTTGAAGAAGGAAGGAGACTCTAGAGAAGGTTACATGGGGAAAATAACAGCATGTGTGTATGCCAAGGGGAATGCCTAAGTGCAGAGTCAACCCTTTATACTACCAGGGAGGGAAGAGGAGTGCCGTGGTGTCACTGAGTCAGCAAGAAGGGATGAGATGTAACCCTTTGGAAGCAGAATTAGAGGAGGTGACTACCCTACCTCCAGACTCTGAGAAACATGGAGTGTGGAGAATGAATCTCTTCACTTGCCTCCCAGAACTGGTACCTAATCACAATGTATTGATTGGGTTAAGGACTGAGTGAGTAGTCGAGAGGCCTGCAGGGGAAGCTACATTCTCCAGGCAGGGAGGAACTGTAGTTGGATTTGGACAAAGAGGTAGAAGTAGTATTCAGAGATGAGATGGGAGTAGAGGAGGCATTTTTCTCCTAGAGCAAGGTGCTGGTGGGCCAGTGGGAGGTTTTGAAGATGTGGAGGGGGCACAGGAGTGCTCAGAGGTTCCGTGGAAGTTGAAGAAATGCAGAGTAGTACCACAGAGCACAGTGGAGGGCTGAGGTGGGTCTTGCTGAGGTTTGAGGGAGATGATTAACTGCACCCTCTCCCTTCTCTTGGAAATTCAGAGTAATTAACACAAAAGACATTGGAGTCAGAGAGATATAGAAATGTGGTTACTTCACCCACATCCCCTATAGTTCTCACCTTCGTAAAGCCCTTCCCCCAATGTACAACCCTGCCTCCTTTGTGTATTCTCATTCTTTGTAGGAGGGTAACACTTCCAGCTCCTCCCTCCTCTCTCACAGGCGCTGTTCTGGGTGTTGAGGATGCAGTGACAGGGCAGATTAAGTCTTTGCCTTCATGAAGTTTACATGTTTATGCAGGGAAACGGGCAATCAGCAGACAAGGAAATAAATCTGATAATTTCCAGTATGAAATGCCATGAAGAATGACTACAGGATAATGACTGGGGGGGACTCTCAGTCTGCCCAGGGTGCAGGGAACATCTTGGTCTCCTCTTGGGCTCTCTGGGAAGCTTGGAACCACAGGGTAATCAGCTCTGAAGGCCCTTTTGCCATTTCTAATTCCAATGTGGAATAAAGGGAGCGGGAGGAAGGCAAAATGACAAGGCTATTAATATACGAAAGGCTGCCAAGCCATTATCGTTTATTTCAAGTGGTGGTAAAAGCAGATGACTCATCCTTCAGAGCTGCAGGACTTTGCACCAAACAGTCTGGATAGTTTATTGGCTTGCCTGTTTTTCTGAGCTTGAAGTCAGGGTGACAGGGCTTCTGAGCTTGAATAATCCTGAGAAGCCATATTTCCTTACCCCAACCCTAAGAAAGACTTTCCCAGAAGGTCTCAAGGGAACAAATAGATGTTTCAGCAATGGTTTGGAGCCAGGAAGCTTCCTGGTGAAGATGAAGCCAAGCAGCTACACTGAAGAGTCTTTTTTTTTTTTTTTTTTTTTTTTTTTTGAGACAGAGTCTTGCTCTGTCGCCCAGGCTGGAGTGCAGTGGCATGATCTTGGCTCACTGCAACCTCCACCTCCCAGGTTCAAGCAATTCTCCTGCCTCAGCCTCTCAAGTAGCTGGGACTACAGGCACGTGCCACCACGCCTGGCTATTTTTTTGTATTTTTAGTAGAGACGGGGTTTCACTGTGTAGCCAGGATGGTCTCGATCTCCTGACCTCATGGTCTGCCAGCCTCGGCCCCCAAAGTGCTGGGATTACAGGCGTGAGCCAACGCGCCTGGCCAAGAGTCTTTGTGTTTTTCTTACCCTCCCTTACCAGCCATGCTTGCTTGCCCTGCTGTAGGTTAGGGAGGAAAAGAGGGAATCTCTTTCTGACATTTCCAGTAGTATCACCTTTTCCCTGGCAATCTGGTGAAATGTAGCCTATTAATGAAAGACATTTCTCCTCCCAAAGCTGTGGAAAACCAATTGTTGAGTTCATAATGCTTGCCAATCAGTTAGAACAATTGGGAATGTTGAGATTGGTCAAGTGCCCCAAGAGGCTCCTTGGATGGAAGAGCTGCCATCAAATTTATGGTGTGTAGCAGCCTGTCTTACAAAAGGGATTTGCTCCAACAGATTGGGAAGTGAACTCATCAGGGAAGTAAGTGTAAAAAGGTCTTTGTAAAGAGCAGGTGTTCTGTCTTTCCTGATGCATCATCAGTGATATCACTGGTTGGGCCTCAGTTCCAGCATTTTTATTGCTGGTGCTCTTGTATGACATAGAAAGGGCTCAGTGGTGAGCTAGATCACTTTGATACTGCCTGTTTCTATGGGCAACTTTGACAGGAACAACAACAGAGAATATTTTTCTCCCTCTAAAAGGGCTGTAAGAGAAATCAGGATTGGAAAGAGACTATAAAAGACTTGATGACATCAGCCTTAACTTTTTCCTGGAATAGAAGTCTTCCTCACAAGTAGGGCATTCAAACTCAGTTTGAGCCAGAGATGAGGAGCTCACTACCTCCACAGGGCAGCATGTGTCACTTTTCAATAAGCTCCACAGCAAAATAGTCGTTTGACATGGTAAGTGAAGAATTTTCTGAGAGAAGGTAGAGGAGTCAATCAGATCATCCCTTACTTTTCAAGTCCAAGTTGGCCAGGACAAAACAGTTAAACTTGAGATTAGAGAGCCTGTCCCTACTACTCTTGTGCTATGTGCACTCAGGCAGGCATAGTTTGAGCCCCCCCACACACACATAGAGGCATCCACTCTGTGACATTCATTATTTATTTTCACAAGAAAAATAACTAATTGACACATTGTCCTAATAGTTCTGATGTGATATAGACCAAAGATTAGCCAAGTATATAGAGACATCATACTTATCTCAATGTCCCAAAATCAATGCTAAAGCTCCTGCCATTTCTTCATAGACAAGCTTTTGGAACTTCACTCAGAGTCTGTTTACACTTAGTTTACAAACAGATCTACCTGTCTTGCAGAAACCTGGTTTTCCAGTCCACAGCAGCTTAACAGCAAAACTAGAAGAGAACAGGGCTTATTCACCTGATAATCCAGACTAGAAATAGTTATTAGTATTGTTATATTTTATGCAATTAACCATCGAATTTTCAGTATGTTCTTGGCAAAATCATTTTTCTTTTTCTGAACCTCAGTTTCTGTTTTTGTTTGTTTGGTGTGAGAAACTCCCTTGCATACTTAGGCTGTGTTATTGCTTAAGTCACCTATTGTGTTAGATAATTTACAGTACTTTTAGCTGCAAATAATGGAAACCCTTACTCAGACTGACTCAGACAACAAAAACATTTGTAACAGGAAGTCCATTCGTGTGTGGGCTGCTGGGTTGCTTAATTCAGCAGCTTGACATGTTATCGAAGACCATCTCACAGACATCACAATGGAGTTGGCTCTTTTCTTTAGTGGCAGAACTTGAACTAGAACAAGAACTAAATCTAACATCATATGACAGCTAACACGGTTCTGTTAGCTGCCTGTGCTGCCTTAGAACTGTGGGTATTCCCAAGTCAGCAGTTGCTTTCTGTATGAGGCTGTGTTTGGGGAAAAAAAAAAAAATCACTGGAAGCAGAAGAAAGCTGTCTCAGGGCACTCTTGATGTCAAATAGGCTTCCCTAACTCTAGGAAGAATCCGATTCCATGATATGGCTCCTTGTATATCAGAATGGAAAAAAGCCAAAGACGTTGGCCAGGACTTGGTCTGTTCAGGATGTTTCTCATCGGGAGAGGTGAGAACAGTGGATACTTTAAGGGATAGAGTGAGAAGTGAAACTGGCATACGTTTTCTCCTTTAGGTGTACAAGGGGGCTTTCAAGGATTTAAGGAAAGCAGTTTAGTCAGATTTGTGTTTTGTAAGGTTAACCTGGCTGTGATGGCAAGTCTGGATTTGAGGAAATGGGTGTGTGACCAGAAGTAGCTAGGTCTCTTAAGACTGTGTTGCAACATTCTGGGACAGAAATATTGAGAATTTGACTGAGGTCAGGGCAGAGGGGAAGGAGAAAAAGGGCCGAAAGTCTGTCAGATATTCATTCCAACCTGGTAGTTGTTGGCAGATTGTATGTAAGCTGGGAAAGGAAGGTTCCACTGACGGAGTCCATTAGGTTTCAGGTTCCATACCCCGACACTCTGATTGTCTCTGATGCCCTTCGCTGAAATGGGCTGCACAGAGAAGACAGGAAGCCATGTACTAGAAGATGGGGGTTTTGAAAATTTGGGATATGTTGACTCTGAGTCCAAGTGGAAGTTTCCAGGAGGCGGTTGAATATATCAGGCTGGAGCGTAGGACAGATATTTAGGTTATAGATTGACTTGTTAATATTAGGAATAGTATTGTACAGAACTATGTGATTTACAGAGCAGCTCTATCTTCATGATTTTATTTAGCTCTCACCCAAACTCTGTGAGGTAGACATTATCTTTCCCGCTTCCCAGCTGAAATAACTGTGTCTCAGAGAAAGTAGATGACTTGCCTAAGATTACACAGTCAGAAAGGAACAGAGCTGGGGCTAGAATGCAGGTCCCTCAATGCTGAGTGCCACATGCTTCCCCTTGTTCTTCAGATAGCAATGTCAGCCGCAGCAAGATCATGATAGAAGCTGTGGCAATTGCTGAGGTCCCTGGGAAAGCTTATGAAGAGCCAGAAGAGAGCTGGGCAGAGGATGGAGTCCTAGAGCTTTCGTGAAAGTAGACGTAAGCTGCCTGCAGCTGGGCCTGCAGAATTCTGATTGATGGGACAAAGTTATTATTCCACTTGCCTTTGGACCTTGCCTAGTCTCTTGACCCTGGGGATGCTGCAACTTTGCCTTTCCCAGCTCTCCTCCCACACCTACCCCAGCCTTCTCCTCCCTTTGCTCCTGCTGGAGTCACTGGGTTCTGGCTTGCAGTTTGGATCACGGTTCTGTACATTGTGCCTTGTAGTTCTGAACCTTGGCCATGTCCCTAGATTGTTGACTCACTGGATCCACCCTGGGCCTCCCTGGTTTGGTTTTGGACTCTGTCCAGGGTCTAGGCTGCCTGCTGTGTCACAGGGATTCAGCCACGTTTCCTCATCCCCTCTCAGGCCTGTTTTCTTAACAGTAGGTCACTGAAGAATGGCTGCGATTTGCCTGATTGGCAAACAAGACCCAGTGAAAGTTCACAGGGCATCTTCAACAGAAATGAGGGCTTTGCAGACTGGAGAGCTGTTCTCTAGGTGGCCCTTGTGGAGAGGCAGTACAAAAAAGTCTATAAGGCAAACATCAGCCAAATCGGGGTGAGTTGGAGGAAAGAGGGTACCAAGGAAGACAATGCAAGCTCTGGTTTCTGCCTTCAGGGAAACGAGATGCCATTTCTTTGAGTCCTCAGCAGGAAGCAGTGAGCAGGAGAACTGCACTGAGGACAACCATACTTCTTGTATCACATTTTCCAGCCTGGGGAGTGAGGGATCTACACAAGAGTACTGAAAGGAAGTTCACCACTTTTAGCATCAATGCTCTTGAAAAGTATTATTTAAACCATATTATGAGGGAAACTCATCTCCCAGATAAGGCTTATTTTTCTACCCTAGGGAAAGGAAGCACACCAGACATATGTAACCTGTTCCTAATGACTCCTGGTTCTTATTGTAAACTTCGCTTCCTGTCCTTGGCCATGACAGCAGTTGTCTTGGTTGCCACTTAGACAAAGTCACTTTATTCCTATGGAAAATGGCCTAGATGGATGTGCTTTTTGGCGTGTCTCTCTTTTTACAGGATTTTTTTTCTCTTTCTTTGCTGTCAATCTGTCAACTGCCACTTCTTATGATCATCACTGAGCTTGCTGCTTGCATGAATCCACTTTTTCTCGCTACTTCTTATTTACTTTGAGATTGGAATTTAAATACCTACGTTTCATAGAATTTTATGTAAACTAAAGTTTGTGGGCTCTGAGTGAAATCCTGAGGGGGCCCTCTCTGAAGAAAGTGCATGTGATATGGAGCTTGGGATTCGTGGTCACGATTTCAATTGCTCTGGAGGCTTTCCCTTTTTTTCTTCCTCTCTCTCTCTCAGTTGTGTTCTCAATAAGTGTGCCTTATTCATTCTTTCAGCAAATATTTTCTGAGCACTTCCGGTATGTCAGGGATTCTTTTGAAGCTTGGGGATACAGAAGCAAGCAAAGCAGGAAGGATCCTTGACCTCCTGAGGCTTTCATTTTGTGGGAGGAAATGCTTTGAAAATAAGTCCATGACACTATATATTTGAAGGTGGAAAACGCTAGGAAGATAGATGAAGTAGAGGAGGGGGTGGTATAGTGCTGAGGGTTCAGGTCATTATTTGTATTAGGATGCCATGATTGATAAGGGAATTGGATGGAGAGAATGAGCCATGTGGATATCTGAGGGGAAAAATTCCAGAGAGAGGGAGGAGAAAGACAAGGGCCCCGAGGTGGGTGAGCGCATGCCCACTGTGTCAAAGAAATAGCAATGGGGCAAGTGTGACTAAGCAGAGTGGGCAAAGAGGAGAGTGGTAGGACATAAGGTCAGATAGGTGGCAGGAGCCGGATCCTGAAATGTCTTCAGAGCTGTTGGAAGGACACTAGTTTTCACTCTGAATGAGATGGGAGGACCATTAAAGTGCTTTTCAGAAGAGGAGTAGATTTTTGGGCTGAATTGTGGACCCTCTACAAATTCTTAAGTTGAAGTCCTCACCCCCACTACCTCTGAGTGTGACTGCATTTGGAGATAGGGTGTTTAAAGTGGTAATTAAGGTAAAATGAGGTCATTAGAGTGTGCCCTTATACAATGTGACTGGTGTCCTCATAAAGAAAAAGTGATTAGGACACAGACGCACCCAGAAGGAAGACCATGTGAAGACACAGGGAGAAGACACCATCTACAAGCCAAGGAGAGAGGCCTCAGGAGCAGTTAACCCTACCTACACCTTTGTCTGTGATGTCCAGCCTCCAGAACTATGAGACAATGTATTTCTGTTGTTTAAGCCACCCAGTCTGAGGTATTTTGTTATGGCAGCCCTAGCAGACTAATACAAGTGGCATGATCAGACTTAACTTTAAAACAGCATTCTGGCTCCAGTGTAAAGAAAGAACTATTGAGACACAAGGGCAGCCACATAAATTATCTGTGGATATGAATATTGAGGGAGCATAGTGAAAGTTGTTCAAAAGTGTGTGTTGGACTCAGAGTTGAAGGAGCTGATGAACATAGGCTGGAAGAGAACGAAAGGGAGGGTATGCCAGGGAGTGAGTGACGTACAATGGGATTGAGAACCTGTTTAAAGAAATGATGCAAAGGACAGAAAACACCTTGGTCTGACAAGGCCTAGGAATCCTCATTGGGAACACATACCATCAAACTGGCAAGATAAAGAGAGTCTTGTTCATGTGAGGCTGTGTTATGTCCTGGTAAGTGTGAAAGCAGTACGCAGGGCAACAATGGAGGTGAACTGAACTAAGAACTATATGCAGATGACTCTTAGAAAGCAGGAAAGATGGAACATAGGATAGTAAAAGAAAATGCACGTGCTTGGAGTTAGGTGACTGGAGTACTAACCTCAGGCTTGCCACTCGTGTGGGAGATAATTTGAGCCTTGATATATTTCTTTTTCCATTAGAGCCAAAAATTTACACCTTGCCTGCCTCACAGTACTGTTGGGAAGGCCAAGTATGATAAAGGCTAAATAAATTTTTTTCTAAGTTATATAAAGACCTTTAGGTATAAATGCAAGTGAAAGGTTAAGCCTAGCTTGTAGGTGTGAAGGAAGCAAGAGGAAATTGGTGTGGCCAAAGCTGCTAGCTGTGTAGCTGAATCTAGTTTCATTTTCTTCCATAAAATAAAATTGTAGCTGGGCATATAGCTATCCAGCAAGACCACATTTCCAAGAATCTCCTGCAGTTACGTACTGTCATACGACTATCTTATCAGTAATGGAATGTAAGCAGAAGTAATTATATGTCACTTTCTGGCCTGAATCTTAAGAGCACAGTATGTCTCCTCCTTGTGCTCTTCTCCCTTCCTACCAGCTGGAATCCTTTTATGGTGACCACCCATACTTAACTATGTAGATGATGCTAATGTTGTAATGGATAGCCAAGCAACAACTTGGAAGGAACATGGTTCCTAAATGACTTCAAAGGGGCTGAGCCACTTGCCAATCAGATTCCTTCACATCAGAACTCTTAAGTGAGAGATAAATATCTGCTTTGTTATCTCAGTCATCCCTTTGGTGAGTTTCTGTTACAACAGTTTGCCTTTACCCTAACTAAAATGGAAATGTATCTTCAAGTAGGGTACTATTGCAACAACATCTCAGCAGGTAGGTTGCAGGGACAACAATATTAATATTATAGGCTTGAAAGCTGGTAACTTTTCATGTCATGGCAAAGCATGAAAAGCATGATAGCATGGCAAAACTGTCAACTAAAATAACTTTGAATGCAGTATGATGCCTACTGAGACTATAACTCTAGAGAAAGTGATTGGAGTCAGTGTCTGTGTTGGCTGTTCCTTGATGCTTTTAGAAAAGCATTAAAAAGAAGTGATCTCAGACAAGAATTTCCCTGACCTGCAGTCTGAGATGGAAGGAAATAGACGCAGTCAAAAGGTGTGGGATCCTTGGGTTTGGGAAAGGCAACTACTTAAGTAATTTTAAGTGGCTACAAAGAAGACCAGCATTGTCAAAGTTACAATAGAACTTTTCAGCCAATCAAAAAAAGACGAGAGAGAGAGAGAGGAGAGAGAGGAGAGAGAGAGAGACAGAGAGAGAGAGAGACTGTTGAAAAAGATTAGACTAAGGGATTGCCTTAATGCCTAAACCCATTGTTTTCAGCTTATTTCAGGGAGCGACTCCTAAAATGGTGCAGAGCATTATGAACCAAAGAAGTAAAGAAATAAAGCAAGTTTAAGAGCTGTGTCTACAGACTAAGATATAAAACTGACTGGAAGCAAATGTACCAGAAGTCTACCAAATTTCGTGTTAAAAATCGTTACAGAAATTTTCACTTGGGTAAACTGTAGAGAGAATAGCACGGCGAACTCCCAAGTACCCATTTTTTAGCCCTGCTTCAACAATCATCACCTCATGGTAAATTTAAATTCATCCATACCTCCACTTATCCCCTGACCTCTTGCTTCCCTGGGGATACTAACACGTGTTGTTTTTTAAATTAACTTTTTATTGAAGACACGCACACACACAGAGAGGGAGATAAAGAAAGGGGGGGCGGAGAGAAATGAACATAATCCCTAGAGGTACAGCTTAATAAACATATTCTTGTAATCAGTACTCATCTCAAAAAACTGAACATGATCAGCTCCTCAGAACACCTCTTGGGCTTCCTTCCAGTAATTACACACCCCAAGCAAATAACCGCATTATATTGATTTCTGTCACCATTGAATACTTGTGTTTGTTTTGACTTTTATATAAATGGAATATATAGTTTGTATTCTTTTGCATCCAGCTGTTACTGCTAACCAGAATGTCCATTGAGGTTCTTCCATGTTGCAGTGTGTATCAATAGTTACTTCTTTTTATTGTTATGTAATATTCCATCATATACTATATTTTAAAAGATCCATTCTACTTTTATTAGGCATTTAGAATGTTTCAAATTTTGGGGGTTATTATGAATAAGCTTGCTCTTAAAATTTTTACATATTGGTAAATGAATGTATTTCTTTTAGTTATATTCCAAGAACTAGAATTGCTGGGTCAAAGGGCATGCATATTTTCAGCTTTAATAAGTGTGGCTAAACACTTTTCTGAAATGGATGCACCAATTTACATTCCTGCCAGCAGTATATGAGAGTTTCTTTTGCTCTACATCCTCATGAACACATAGTATAGTGAGGCTTTTTCATTTTAGCCACACTGTTGGGGGTGCAGCAGTATGTAATTGTGGTTATAATTTGCATTTCCCTGATGTTGTTGGGCATCTTTTCTTTTGAACATTTGAATATTTTTGTTTTGTTTGTTAAGTTCCTTTTGTCCACATTTCCCCTGGGATTTCTACATTTTTGTTATCGATTTTTAAAAGTTCTTTATATATTCTGTATATGAGACTTTGTTGATGATATTTTAAATATCTTCTCCCATTATATGAGATTTTTATAGCCTTTTAAATATGTTTTTCCTGTCCCAATGCTATGAAGATGAGCTCCTGTATCGTTTTCTGGGAGCTTTAGCATTTTATCCGTCACACTTAGATGTGTAATCTTATGGAATTTATTTATGTCTCTAGTGTGATATGGGGGTCAATTCATTTTTTCCCAAATAGATATTGAATTAATCCACCATTGCTGTGGCATTTTTTGTTATAAACCAAATGACAATGTTTATATGCATTTTCCTGGTCTATGTTATTACGTTGGTCTTAATTATTATAGCTTTGTAATAGGTCTGATGTCTGGTAGTGTTATCCCTCTGACTTCATTCTTCCAGATTGCCTTGGCTATTCTTGGACCTCCGCATTTTCATATAAACATTAGAATCATTTTGTTAATTTATATATACACATATACACACACAAACATACTCAAGCCTGCTGGAAGTTTGAGAATTGTGTTGAATCTATAAATCAATTTTGGGAGAGTTGGCTTCATTAGAATATTGAGTTTTCCAATCCATGAACATATTTACACAATTTCAGAGAAACTTATGGCTAAAGAAATCAAAACTACCCAGTTTCCATCAACTGACAAATGCACAAACTGTGACATATCTATGCAGTGGAATATTACTCAACGATAAAGAGCATTGAAGTACTGATTCCTGCCGCAACATGTATGAACCTTGAAAATAATATGTTAAGTGAAAGAAGACAGTCACAAAAGGTCACGTATTATATGATTTCATTTACATGAAGTGTCCAGAATAGGCCAAATTGTAGAGATGGAAAGCAGATAGTGGTTGCCTAGGACTGAAGGAGATAAAGGGAATGGTGGTAAGTGATAGCTAAAGGGTATGGAGTATTTTGGGGGGTAATAAAATGTTATAAAATGGACTCATTTTATAACACAATTCCATGAATACATTAAAGAATATTATAAACTTTAAGTGGTGAATGTGTGGTATATAAATTATATCTCACTAGAACTGTTTTACACACACACACACACACACACACACACACACACACACACCTGGTCTGCCAAATTTCTTGATTGTTTAAGCCCTAAATCAGCCCCTATAAAAAATATATATTCTCCAATATTGTGTCACTTGGAGATTTTGGAGAATGGGTGTCTGCAGTAATTGGATGAGGCTGTGGGTTGTTTCCCTTGTGAACACTGTTTGTGTGTGTGTGTGTGTGCAAATAAGGTTGCACACAAATATTGAGGTGGACAGGTAGGTGGATTGTAACGAATATTGTTAATTGCCCACCAAAACCCACTTGGCATTTATTGCAATATAATATAATTGTTAGAGATCACATGGCTGCTCATGGTGACTACATTTTCCAACACTCTGCAGTTAGGTATGAATGTATGACTAGATTCTTGCCAGTAAATTAGAAGTAGAAGTGATGTGGGCTCATTCTAAGCCAGGGCCCTAAAAGAGTGGATGTTCTCTTCTCCATTCTTGCTGGCTGAAACCCTTTTGTGGTAGCCACTGGGTTTGAAATATGTAAAAGATGACATGTCTTAAGGGATAGAAGGAATGGGAGAGCAATGACTTGGAAGGGAAGAAACTGAGTCCCAGAATGACCTTGTTATGCAGCATTGGATCATTCACAGGGAGAATGTTACATGAAAGAGAGATACAAATATCTATTCTTCATATGTAAACATATGTGTATATTCACACCTTAATCTGCTCTATTACTGGTTATGTTTTTAGTAGCTTATGTTTACCATAACTAATACAATAAAAAGGACTTCATTTTTGTGCTCCCTCTTCAACTGAAAATCTGGAATTTGGAAGCTGACAGTTAACCAAGCCCAAAGAAGAATCCACCAATCATATCAGGATTTATGATCATCACCTTGTTACCTGGCCTCACTCAGAAGAAAGTGCCTACATGTGGCACTTCCTGTCATGTCAATAATTAGCAGTTGGCCTTCAGGAGAAATCACTCATATAGGAGGGCCCCAGGGATGGAGAACAATACCAGGCAGAAAGGACTGAGGTCTGGCTCTGAGATTATGGCACAAGCTGAAAACCTCAAAAGTGTTTTCTAGACTTCTGGCTCTCTAGAGTCCCACTAGGTTGCTAAAAACTTTGTATCCTCTGCAACAGGGGTGTCCAATCTTTTGGCTTCCCTGGATCACATTGGAAGAAGAAAAATTGTCTTGGGCCATGCATAAAATACACTAACACTAACGATAGATGATGAGCTAAAACAAATCACTAAAAATCTCATAACGTTTTAAGAAAGTTTACAAATTTGTGTTGGGCTGCATTCAAAGCTATCCTGGGCCACACACAGCCCATGGGCCATGGGTTAGACAAGCTTGCTCTACTTTCTATGTCCAGGTTGGCTCAGACTTTGAAGTAAGGAAAGCTTACTCACTCACTCATATGGAAAGAACTCTTTGGTAGCAGGAAGGCCCAGGGGTAAAATTATCTCCAAATTTTTCAGGCTGCTTTATAATTTCAAATAAAATCATGCTTTATTTGAAGAACTTTTAGGGAGTGAGAAAAGAAACCAAACAAATACCCAGTGAGCTTTTTTAGGGAATAGTGAGGTCAAGTTATAGGGGTTATTTGATATTTTTAGAAAGTGGACTCTGAAGGTTGGACCAGACTTGCTCCTGAGTCAGTAGCTCACTGAGGGAATTCCAGAATTCTACTGCTGACAGAAAGGGCTCAAAATCCAAAACTGTTGATGTTACAATATAGACAGTAATTCTCAGAGAGGGCAAGGAACTTGCCTAGGGTCACCCAGCATGTCAATGGTGGAGTTGGGATAAGAATTAATGTTGACTACGTTCTTGTCTAATTATTGCCCTAGCCCAGACAAAACAGAAAATCTAATTTTCTGGAAATTACTAGTTATGTCTATGTATTTTGCACAAATTTTTTTTTCTACCTAATTATTGCTGTCTGGGAAGCTTGAAAGGATTGCTAAGCAAACACCATGGAACTACCTCTAACCAATAGGGCCTGTGCTAAGGAGGTGCACATGAGAATTATTTTGGCTCCATTCCACTAACCTTATGAGTCAAAATTGCTGGTCATCCTCCTTCTACAAAAGCACCATGGAAGCACTGTACCTAGTGCTTCTCACCATCTCTGTCCCCTCCTGCTCCCCGAACCTTATGGGCATTGAACCTGTATATGTGGGAGGTCTGAGTCGACACTGTATTTGAAGGACAGAGAACATTTCTTTGTTTTTCTGTCTCTAACTCCCCTCCCACCCAGCAGGAACTCAGCAAAGCCCAAAGGCTGGAATCGCTTAACAACTGTGACATTCTAATGGGATACATGACCAAGATCATGCAGGTGACTCGCAATGTCTGGTGAGCAGTTCCAAATAGTTTTAACTAGAGCTGTGACCTGGTAAACAGATTAGATAGCAATCAGTCGAACTATTTCTTTATGATTAATAATGCAGCTTGCATATCCTCAGCTATAGGCTAGATGATGTGAGTGACAGTTCAAGATGGCTTTGTGGAGGTGGGGCCCACTCCACTCCTCCAGACATAAGTGTTCTTTTTAATGAGTAAGACCATCTGCAGAGCTAAGTATTGGAAAGAAATAAGCTCAAAGGCTAGGGAAATTCCATGTGTGGGCAGACATATGAAGCAGTGCTTGAACTTCCATAGTCATCAGAACCACCTGAGGAACTTGTTATAAGGCTGATTCCTGGGCCCTGCCCTAGATGTTTTGATACAATAGGCTTGGGCAAGGAGATTCTGTTGCTGATAGCTCAAGAAAAAACTGCATGTTGATAATTGGTCTCAATTACACCAGAGACTCACCTGACCCAGAGTCAAGTGAGCTGGAAGGTTCTTCTTTCCATCTTCAAATGTACCCAGTTACTCCAGTTGGCCAGCTAGTCCCCGGTCAGCATGCTACCTGAAATAACCTGACAACAATAGCCTCTGATACCTGTACTAACCTTTGAAGTTACTGAAATGCCTCCCAGGAACACATTCATTTGATTTTCATGTTACCCTTGGGGTAGGGCTGGCATGCTGGCTTGAGCATCCCATTTTACAGATGAGGGAGTCGGTGAAGGAAAGTGTCTTGCCCAAGGCTTCAAGTCAGAGTTGCCAAGCTGTGATTCAAAGCCTTATCTTCAGATTCTAGCTTACAGAGTGTCCTGCTCCCCCAGCCTCTGACCTGTTCAGTCAGGAGGCATTGAGCTTCTGATGTTACCCAACTGCAAAAGGCCGTTGGAGACTGCCATTTATTCCAATCCATCAAGTAAGTGAAATAGGACTTTGAAAAGTTAGACTCAGAGGTGCATATCCCTGGCAAGTGAGAACTGTGAAGCAAAGGCCAACTCTCAGAAGAAGAGGCTGCCAATATCCCTCCCATTATCCAAAGCCCAGTCCAGAGCTCTGCTATCCTCCTCCATCAGCCAGGCTGTCCTCCCTGAACAGGGTGCCATCACCCACACCTCTCCTTCCTTCTCTCCATCAGAGCACACTGCCCTGGAAAGGACTCCTGTCCTCAGAATCGCCAGGTCTAGTGGTGCACACTAATTTACTGAGGTCAGGAAAACCTGGGAGGCTTGGCTTAAAGCCCAGACTATTTCTCGAGAAGGGTCTCTTTCCATCTTCAGACCTAGGGATCCTCCCTGCTAATCATCTTTCTCAAACTTGCCATCTGACTATATTTTAAGGAATTGGCCCCAAAGATTGGCTTCAGGGTAGAATATAGCCCCTCAAGCCCCATATACCAGCTCTGGGGGATTAGAGGCTCTTCTATTCATCCCCATGAATAATACACAATTTGCTTATGGGAAAAGCCTTTGGAGCTTGCTTGAAGCTACAAGGTAATCATACAGAAGCCCAACTAGTGTCACACATAACACGTCTGAGGGGTCGGCTTGCTAATTGTCCCCTCTCACATTTCCCCCTCCAAGAAGATCCTCATCTCAGCCTCAGTATTATTTCTTTATTCAACACATTTTTTATTGAGAGCCTGCTGTGTTCCAAGCATGGTAGCAGGCTCCGGCAATACAGCAGTAAACAAAACGTACAACAGATTGCTATGCTAAACGGGCAGAAAAGAAGAGTAAGGTGTGTGTGTGTGTGTGTGTGTGTGTGTGTGTGCATGCACGCGCAATGCACTTTTAAATAGATGGTCCTTCATTTAGAAGGTAATACTTTAACATTTGTCAAAGACCCAAAAGAGGTGGAGGGTGAGCTACGTTATGGATATCTGGAAAAACAGCATTCCAGACAGAGAGAAGAATCAGTTCAAAGTCCCCACAGTGATTGCATGCTTGGCGTGTTCCAGGAAAAGTAAGAAGGCCAAGTGTAGCAAAAATTGAGTAAGTAAGGCAACGAGTATTAAGAGTTGAGGTCAGAAAGAGGAGGGGAAACAGATCATTAGGGACTTTAAGGCTATTGGAAGGATTCTAGCTTTTACTATGAGTGAAATGGGGGAAGCATTGTATGACAGGGAAGTGTCATGATCTGGATTAGTTATTTTAAAAATCTACTTCGTTGAAGCATTTTTTTAATGTACAATAAATACACCAAGTTTAATTGTACTACAGTTGCATAACAGTTTTAGAATACGCACAGCTTGTCAACACCACCACAATCAGGATACTGAATGTTTGCATCACCTTAAGAAAGTTCTAAATGCTGTTAGGAAGTCAGTCGCCCACTCCTGCCTCCTGTCTCATGTAACGCCACTGCTCCAATTTCAATGACAATGCATTAGCTTTGTCTAGTCCAGAATTCACAAAAGTGCAATTATATAGAATAGACTCTTTTATGGCTGCCTTCTTTTGCTAAATATTATGTCTATGAAATTGATTGATGTTGTGTGTAGGAATATTTCATTCCTTTGTAGTGCTGAGTAGTATTCCATTGTACAGATCTAACACAGTTTGTTAATCCATTCACTTTTTTTTTTTTTTTGAGATGGAGTTTCGCTCTTGTTGCCCAGGCTAGAGTGCAATGGCGCAACCTCTGCTCACCTCAACCTCCGCCTCCTAGGTTCAAGCAATTCTCCTGCCTCGGCCTCCTGAGTAGCTGGGATTACAGGCATGTGCCACTAGGCCCGGCTCATTTTGTATTTTTAGTAGAGACAGGGTTTCTCCATGTTGGTCAGGCTGGTCTCGAACTCCCGACCTCAGGTGATCTACCCGCCTCGGCCTCCCAAAGTGCTGGGATTACAGGCGTGAGCCACCGCACCAGGCCAATCCATTCACTTTTTGATAGATATTCATATCATTCTTAGTTTTTGTCAAACATAAATATGCAATGAAAATTTGGGTAAATATTTGTGTGGACATATATTTTCAATTCTTGTAGGTAAATATCTAATAGTGAAATGGCTGGGTTATATAGTAAGTGCATGTCTAATTCATAAGAAACTGCCAAACTGCTTTACAAATTGGTTGTGTCATTTTACATTCCCACAAATAGTGTAGATGAGTTTCAGTTGCTCCCTGTACTTGTCAGCACTTGGTATTATCAGCCTTTTAAATTTTAATTTTAGCCATTCCAATGGTGTATACTGCTATCTCATTGTGGTTTTAATTTGCAATTTTCTGATTAATACTGTTATGTGAGCACCTTTTAATGTTTTTGTTGGCCATTCGTGTATATTTTCTTTTAAGATACATCAACTCATTTATTTTGACCATTTAAAAAATCAGGCTGTTTTTTAAAATTATTTTTAATCTGAAAGAATTCTTTATATATTACAAACATAAGTTGTTTATCAGATATATGCGGTGGGAATATTTGATCTTAGTGATTTGTCTCCTCATTTTCTCATTTTCCGTCCTCCTGATTTTCTGTTTCTCCCTCTCCTCATTTTCTGTCTTTGGAAGAACAGATTTATTTTTTTTTCAACATATTATTATAAAACCGTTGACACACATAACAAAGTAAGCACTTGTATACTACTATCTAGATACTATCATTGTTTGTTTGTTTGTTTGTTTGTTTTGAGATGGAATCTTGCTCTGTTGCCCAGGCTGGAGTGCAGTGGCATGATCTCGGCTCACTGCAACCTCTGCCTCCCAGGTTCAAGCAATTCTCCTGCCTCAGCCTCTCAAGTAGCTGGGACTACAGGCACGTGCCACCACGCCTGGCTAATTTTTGTATGTTTAGTAGAGACGGGGTTTCACTATATTGGCTAGGCTGTTCTCAAACTCCTGACCTCATGATCTGCCCGCCTTGGCCTCCCAATGTGCTGGGATTACAGGCGTGAGACACCGCACCTGGCCGATACTACCATTGTTCTACATATTTGCTATATCACACTTATCCATCCCCCATCAAATATCTAATCTTATGTGTGTATTTTCAAACTAATTACAGATATAAGTTATTTTCCTTATAAATATTTAGTTAGATATGTTATCAACTAGAATTCAATATTTGTCTGCCATTTTTTCTTTTAATTTAAAATGTACATGCAATGAAATGCACAAATCTAAAAAGTATATCCCTTGAGTTGTGACAAATTCCAAACCTGAGTAAGCCATGCCCTTGGAAAGATGTAGAACGTTACCATAACCATGTACTATTACCTCATGATCCTCTCAGTCAAACTCTGTCTATACCTCTGTCTATACTAGTCTCTGGAAGCAACCATTGTTCTAGCACTTTTTTCTTTTTTTTTTTTTGAGACAGAGTCTTGCTCTATCGCCCAGGCTGGAGTGCAGTGGCGCTATCTCTGCTCACTGCAAGCTCTGCCTCCCAGGTTCATGCCATTCTCCTGCCTCAGCCTCCCGAGTAGCTGGGACTACAGGCACCCGCCACCACACCCGGCTAATTTTTTATATTTTAGTAGAGACGGAGTTTCACCGTGTTAGCCAGGATGGTCTTGATCTCCTGACCTCGTGATCTGCCTGCTTTGGCCTCCCAAAGTGCTGGGATCACTTTGGCTTGAGCCACCGTGCCCCGCCTGTTCTAGCATTTTTAAGGATTACTTTGCTTGTTCTAGAACTTCATATAAATGAAGACACACAGTATGTACTCTCTTGTCTATGCCTTCTTTTACTCAGTTTCAGATTGCTCTTCTTTGCTCTATTTTTGAGAGTTTGAGAGATGAATTAATGTTTTTGTGTATATCAATAATGTCTTCCTTTTTAATGCTGAGTGGTTTCCATTGTATGAATATACCATATTTTGTTTATCTGTTCTTCTGCTGAAGCAGAAGTTCCCAACCTTTTTGGCACCTCAGACCAGTTTCATAGAAGACAGTTTTTCCACAGACAGTGGGGAATGGTTTTGGGATGAAACTGGTCCACCTCAGATCATCAGGCATTTTATTCTCATAAGGAGTGCACAACCTAGATTCCTTGCACGTGCAGTTCACAACAGGGTTCCACTCCTCTAAGAAGCTAATGCCCACAGGTGCAGTGGCTCATGCTTGTAACCCCAGCACTTTGGGAGACCAAGGTGGGCAGTTCACTTGAGGTCAGGAGTTCAAGACCAGCCTGGCCAACATGTTGAAACCCTGTCTCTACTAAAAATACAAAAATTGGCCAGGTGTGGTGGTGTGCACCTGTAATCCCAGCTACGAGGGAGGCTGAGCCAGGAGAATCGCTTGAACCCGGGAGGTGGAGGTTGCAGTGAGCCAAGATCATACCACTGCACTCAAGCCCAGGCGACAGAGTGAGAAAAAAAAAGAAGAATCTAATGCCACCACTGATCTGACATCTAACAGGAGAGGTGGAGCTCAGGCAGTAATGTGAGTGATGAGGGAGTGGCTGTAATTACAGATGAAGCTAGCTGGCCTACCACTCACCTGCTGCTGTGCGGCCTAGTTCCTTAAAGGTCACAGACTGGTACCCTGTAATGGGGACCCCTGTATTGAAGGACTTTTTTTTTTTTCCTAATGTTTGGCTATTATGAATAAAGCTGTTATGAACATTCTTCTACAAGTCTTTTTATGAACACATTTTATTTTTTCATTTCTCTTGGATAAATACTTAGTAGAATGGCTGGGTCATATGGTAGGAAAATGTTTAGTTATCAGAAACTTCTAGACCTGTCCCAAAGTGCTTGTAACATTTTATGTTTTAACCAACAATGTGTAATAGCACTAGTTTAGCCCTAGTCTTTTAAAATTTTAGCCATTCCGATGTGTGTGCAGAGGTATTTCCTTTTGGTTTAATTTTGCATTCTCCTGATAGCTACTGATGTTGAATACTTTTTCATATGTTTTTAGCCATTTATATATTTCTCTTGTGAATTTTTGTTTTTTTGAGACAGGGTCTCACTCTGTCACCTAGGCTGGAGTACAGTGGCATGATTAGGGCTGACTGCTGCCTTGACCTCCTAGGCTCAAGCAATTCTCCCACCTCAGTCCCCCAAGTAGCTGGGACTATAGGCACATGCCACAATGACTGGCTAATTTTTTTTTAATTTTAGTAGAAATGAGGTCTCATTATGTTGCCCAGACTGGTATCAAACTCCTGAACTCAAGCCATGCTCTTACCTTGGCCTCCCAAAGTGATGGGATTACAGGCATGAGCCATCATGCTCGGCCTCTTGTGAATGGTTTGTTCACATATTTTGCCAACTTTTAAAGTGTTTTTATTTTGTCTTTTTCTTACTGAGCTGCAGGAGAGCGCATATATATATATTCTGAAAAACAGTATTTTGTAAGATATGTGTTGGGAATACTTTCTTCCAACCTATGATTTGCCATTCATTTTATTAATTATGAGCAGAAATAAGTGTCTTATGAAACAGAAATTTTGATTTTAAGTTCACTTTGTTTTTTATTTATGATTAGTGCTTTCTGTGGCTTAAGAAACCTTTGCTTACCTCCAGTTCTCAAAGACATTCTTCATTTTTCTTAAAAAGATTTAGGATTGTAAGTTTTTACATTTAGGTATGTGATTTATCTTGAATTAATCTTTATGGTGTGTGGTAGATTGGAGGTGTGTGTTTTTCAATATAGCTAACCAGTTGTTCCAGCACCATATGTTCAAACGTTTTTTTGTTGCCCCTTGTATTGCTTGGAAACCTTTGCGAAAATCAAATGACTGTGCATGTGTCTATTTCTGGCTTCTCAATTCTGTTTCACTGATCTGTGTGTCTATCCTTATGGCATTTCTACACTGTCTTGATTAAAAAGTAGATCTTGAAATCTAGTAGTATAGGACCTCCAACTTTATTCTTCTTTGTGGGGGCTTTTGATTTTAAGAAAGCACAATTTATCATTTTTCTCCTTTTATGGTTAGTGATTTTTATGCCCTGGTGAATAAATATTTGTCTACCCCAAGATTATGGGAATTTTCTCCATTTCTATCTAAAAATTTTTTTAGTTTTAGCTTCTACATTTAGGTTTATGCTCAATTTTAAATTAAAATGTTGTATATGGTGTGAAGTAAGGATTAGGATTCATTTCCCCACCCCCCACAGATATCCAGTTTTCATAGTACCATTTATTAAAAAGACTTTCTTTCATCATTGAATTGACTTTACACCTTGTTTGTAATGGTCTGAATGTTTGTATGCTTCCCAAAACTAATGTGTTGATGCCTAACCTTCAAGGAGGTATTAGGTGGTGGGGCACTTGGGAAGTGATTAGATCATGAGCATGAAGCCCGCATGAGTGGGATTAGTGTCCCTATAAAAGAGGTTCCAGAGAACTGCCTTGCCCCTTCTACCATGTAAGGATGCAGCAAGAAGGTGGCATCTATGAGGAACAGGCCCTCACCAGACACTGAACCTACCTGCTCCATGTTCTTGGACTTCTCAGCCTCCCATAAGAAATAAACTTCTGTTTCTTATAAACTACTTTGTTTATGGCATTTTGTTATAGCAGCCCAAATGGACTAAGACATTGGTCTAATGTCAATTAAATTTTGTATGCACAGGTTTCTTTCTGAACTGTCTTTTCTGTTCCAGTGATTTTTATGTCTAAGTATTACACCAATACCACACTGCTGCTTTGCTGTAACTTTATTTTCAATCTCAAAATCAGGTAGTGGAAGTCCTTTACTCTGTTCTACTTTTACAAATGGTTTTAACTATTCTAGCGTTGCGGGAAGTCAGGGACCCCAAACAGAGGGACCAGCTGAAGCCATGGCGGAAGAACATAAATTTTGCAGATTTCATGGACATTTATTAGATCCCCAAATTAATACTTTTATAATTGCTTATGCCTGTCTTTACTGCAATCTCTGAACATAAACTGTGAAGATTTCATGGACATTTATCACTTCCCCAGTCACTACCCTTGTGATTTCCTATGCCTGTCTTTACTTTAATCTCTTAATCCGGTCATTTTCATAAGCTGAGGAGGCTGTATGTCACCTCAGGACCCTGCGATGATTGCATTAACTGCACAAATTGTTTGTAGAGCATGTGTGTTTGAACAATATGAAATATGGGCACCTTGAAAAAAGAACAGGATAACAGCAATGTTCAGGGAACAAAAGAGATAACCTTAAACTCTGACCGCTGATGAGCCGAGCGGAACAGAGCCATATTTCTCATCTTTCCAAAGCAAATGGGAGAAATATCACTGAATTCTTTTTCTCAGCAAGGAACATCCCTGAGAAAGAGAATGCATCCCTGAGGGGAAGCCTCTGAAATGGCCGCTTTGGTGGCAGCTGTCTTCTATGGTTGAAACTGTAGGGATGAAATAAGCCCCAGTCTCCCATAGCACTCCCAGGCTTATTAAGACGAGGAAATTCCCGCCTAATAAATTTTGGTCAGATTTGGTTGTCTGCTTTCAAACCCTGTCTCCTGATAAGGTGTTATCAATGACAATGTGTGCCGAAACTTCATTAGCGATTTTAATTTCGCCCCAGTCCTGTGGTCCTGTGATCTCGCCCTGCCTCCATTTGCCTTGTGATATTCTATTACCTTGTGAAGCATGTGATCTCTGTGACCCACACCCTATTCGTACACTCCCTCCCCTTTTGAAAATCACTAATAAAAACTTGCTGGTTTTACGGCTCAGGGGGCATCATGGAACCTGCCGACATGGGATGTCTCCCCCGGACACCCAGCTTTAAAATTTCTCTCTTTTGTACTCTGTCCCTTTATTTCTCAGACCAGCTGACACTTAGGGAAAATAGAAAAGAACCTACGTGAAATATCGGGGGTGAATTTCACCTGATATCTGGCTGAATTTCCCCCCGATATTCTAATACCTTTGCATTTCCATGAAGATTTTGGAACGGATTTCTGTTTTTTTTTTCCTAGTATAATTTTGATTGGAATTGCATTAAATGTAGAGATCAATTTGGGGGAATGGACATATTAACAATATTGTATTTCCATTCCAGGAGTACACTATTTCTCTGTATTTAATCTTAAATTTCTCTTAGAAATGTATTTAGTGTGGGGGTTTATCATAACTTTTATTACATTTACTCCTAGGTGGTTTATATTGTGATGCTATTGTTAAAGACATTTGTTATTTATTTCCAATTGTTTATTGCTGGAATATAGAAATATAATTGCTATTTGCATATTGACCTTGTATCATGGCATTTTTTTTTAATTTATTATTATTATACTTTAAGTTTTAGGGTACATGTGCACAATGTGCAGGTTAGTTACATATGTATACATGTGCCATTCTGGTGCACTGCACCCACTAACTCGTCATCTAGCATTAGGTATATCTCCCAATGCTATCCCTCCCCCCTCCCCCCACCCCACAACAGTCCCCGGCATTTTGTTAAATTTACCTATTTACAAATTCCGTTAGGACGTGTGTGTGTGTGTGTGTGTGTGTGTGTGTGTGTGTTAAGAGAAAGGGAGAGAATTTTCTTTGAATTCTTCTTAGAATTTTCTTTGTGGAGTTATATTCTCTGTGAATAAAGACAATTTTTCATTTTCCTTTCTAGCCTGTACGCTTTTAATTTCTTCTTGTTTTATTCCTCTGGCTATGACCTCCAGTACAATATTGAGTGGAAATGGTACGAGTGAATATCCTTGCCTTGTTCCTGATCTTAGGGGGAAAATATTCGTATGTTTTATCAGATTGAGAATGTTTCTGTCTATTCTTTGTTTCCTGGAAGCATTTGTAATGAATGAATGCTGATTTTTGTCAAATGCTTCTTAAAATTCTATTGAGATAATCACATGATTTTTCTTCTTTATTCTTTTAACTTGGTAAAATACAATGATTGCTTTTTGAATGTTAAATCAGCCTTGCATTCATATTATAAACTTTACTTGGGCATGGTGTCTTAACATTTAATATATTGTTGGATTCAATTTGCTAGTATTTTATTGAGGATTTTTTGCACTCATAATCATGAAGAATGTTATATTTTTTATTTCTTAAAAAAATTTTATTGGCCTTATAAAATGACTTAGGAAGTGTTCCACCTCCTGTTTTCTGAAATGATTTGTATATGATTGGTTTTATTTCTTATCTAGAGTTTGAAAGAATACACCATCAAAATTATTTAAGCCTGTATATTAATTTGTGGGCAGTTTTTAAAAATATATACATTAAAATTGTCTAGGAGACATGTGTTGTTAAGATTGTATATACCTTCTTAAGTCAGTTTTGGTAAATTTTGTTTTCCAGAAATGTGTCCATTTGATCTATATTATAAAATTAATTGGCATAAATTTGTTTATAATATTTGCTTATTACCCTTTTAAAATATGTTGAAATTTTGGTGATAACCTCTCTTTCATTATTATTATTAAAATTTTATATTTTCTCTTTTTCCTTGATTAGTCTTACTTTGAATTTTTCAATTGTGTTAAACTCTAACCACTAACATCCTCTATTATCCACCTGAAGGGCTGCAGTGGCACACTGCTAGCTGGACCCAAAAGTTCTGTGGAGTCCCCAGTACTCTAGCCCACAAGGAATATTACTCCCTGGGGAAAGGAGACTGCAGTGCAACAAAAAGGGAGCCCCTGGGACAAAAGAATCCAAAGCATTAACTTTTCACACCCTGAGAGCTCCTTGTTGAGGGGCTTGAGAAGTGATCCTGCCCCAGCAGTGGAACAAACACTGTGGTCAGCTTTGCAAGGAGAGCAAAATCCTCTTCCACAGGTAGAACAGCTTCTGTGCTTGGGCTCATGTGTAGAGAATGGGGTCCCTCCTCCCCATCTGCAGCATTAGACGTATCATCTAGACAGAAAATACATTTTTAAAATAAGTTTTAGGCTGGACTTTAGACCAAATGGACATAACAGGTATTTACAGAACATTTTATTCAACAACTACAGAGTATACATTCTTTGCATCAGCACATGGAACGTTCTCCATTATAGACCATATGTTGAACCACCAAACATTTCTCAACATATTTTTAAAAATCAAAATTATATCAAGTATCTTTTCGGGCCACAATGGAATAAAACAAGAAACCAATACCAAGAAGAACTATACAAATACATGGAAATTAAATGCTCCTGAATGATCACTGGATCAATGAAGATACTAAGATGAAAATCAAGCATTTCTTGAAACAAATGAAAATGGAAATACAAAAATACAAAAACAAATGAAAATGGAAATATAAAATATCAAAACCTGTAGGAAACAGAAAAGCTGTGCTAAGAAGGACATTTATAACAATACATGCCTATATCAAAAAGGTAGAAAGATTACAAATCAACAATCTAACAATGTACCTTAAGGAAGTCGCAAAGCAAGAACAAACAATACCGCAAATCAGCAGAAGAAAAGAAATAACAAAAATCAGAGCAAAACTAAATGAAATAGAGACTAAAAAACAATACTAATGATACATGACATAAAAGTTGATTCTTCAAAAAGATAAAATTGATAAATCACTAGCTAGACTAGCCACGAAAAGAAAAGAGAAGACCCAAATAAGAAAAATCATAAATAAAAAAGGAGATATTATAACTGATACTTCAGAAACGCAAAAGTATCATCAGAGACTATCATGCATGTCTACATACAAACAAACTGGAAAACCTAGAGGAAATGGATAAATTCCTGGAAACGTAAAACTTACCAAGACTGAATTAGGAAGAAATATAAAACCTGAATACACCAGTAACAAGTAGCAAGACTGAATCAGTAATAAAACATCTCCCAAGAAATAAAAGCCCAGGATCAGATGGATTTCAAGCCAAACTTTACTAAACATACAAAGAAGAACTATACCAATCCTCTTGAAACTATTTCAAAAAATCAAAGAGGAGGGAATTATTTCTAACTCATTCTTGAAGAAAGGCCAACATCACACCGATACCAAAACCAGACAAGGACACAATGGAAAAAGAAAACTATAGGCTAATTTCCCTAATTAACATAGATGCAAACATCCTCAACAAAATATTAACAAACTGAATACAACAATATGTCAAAAAGGTAATATACCACAGTCAAGTGAGATTAATATCAGGGATGCAAGGATGGTCCAAAATATGCAAATCAATAAATGTGCTACATCACATCAACCAAATGAAGGACAAAAAGTACATTATCATCTCAACAGGTGAAGAAAAAGCTCGTGATAAAATTCATCATCACTTTATGACAAAAACTCTCGGGTGGAGCCAAGATGGCCGAATAGGAACAGCTCCAGTCTAGAGCTCCCAGCATGAGCGACGCAGAAGACGGGTGATTTCTGCATTTCCAACTGAGGCACCGGGCTCATCTCACTGGGGAGTGTCGGAAAGTGGGTGCAGGACAGTGGGTGCAGTGCACCGAGCATGAGCCGAAGCAGGGTGAGGCATCGCCTCACCCGGGAAGTGCAAGGGGTCAGGGAATTCCCTTTCCTAGTCAAAGAAAGGGGTGACAGACGGCACCTGGAAAATCGGGTCACACCCACCCAAATACTGCGCTTTTCCAATGGTCTTAGCAAACGGCACACCCGGAGATTATATCCTGCACCTGGCTTGGAGGGTCCTACACCCACGGAGCCTCGCTCATTGCTAGCACAGCAGTCTGAGATCAAACTGCAAGGCGGCAGCGAGGCTGGGGGAGGGGCACCCGCCATTGCTGAGGCTTGAGTAGGTAAACAAAGCGGCCTGGAAGCTCGAACTGGGTGGAGCCCACTGCAGCTCAAGGAGGCCTGCCTGCCTCTGTAGACTCCACCTCTGGGGGCAGGGAATAGCCAAACAAAAGGCAGCAGAATCCTCTGCAGACTTAAATGTCCCTGTCTGACAGCTATGAAGAGAGTAGTGGTTCTCCCAGCACGCAGCTGGAGATCTGAGAATGGACAGACTGCGTCCTCAAGTGGGACCCTGACCCCCGAGTAGCCTAACTGGGAGGCACCCCCCAGTAGGGGCAGACTGACACCTCACAGGGCTGGGTACTCCTCTGAGACAAAACTTCCAGAGGAACGATCAAGTAGCAACATTTGCTGCTCATGAATATCTGCTTTTCTGCAGCCTCCACTGCTGATACCCAGGCAAACAGGGTCTGGAGTGGACCTCCAGCAAACTCCAACAGACCTGCAGCTGAGGGTCCTGACTGTTAGAAGGAAAACTAACAAACAGAAAGGACATCCACACCAAAACCCCATCTGTACATCACCATCATCAAAGACCAAAGGTAGATAAAACCACAAAGATGGGGAAAAAACAGAGCAGAACAAGTGGAAACTCCAAAAATCAGAGCACCTCTCCTCCTCCAAAGGAATGCAGCTCCCCACCAGCAATGGAACAAAGGTGGACAGAGAATGACTTTGACAAGTTGAGAGAGGAAGGCTTCAGAAGATCAAACTACTCCGAGCTAAAGGAGGAAGTTCGAACTCATGGCAAAGAAGTTAAAACCTTGAAACAAAATTAGAGGAATGGCTAACTAGAATAAGCAATGCAGAGAATTCCTTAAAGGACCCGATGGAGCTGAAAACCAAGGCACGAGAACTACATGACAAATGCACAAGCTTCAGTAGCTGATTCGATCAACTGGAAGAAAGGGTATCAGTGATGGAAGAGGAAATGAATGAAATGAAGTGAGAAGAGAAGTTTAGAGAAAAAAGAATAAAAAGAAATGAACAAAGCCTCCAAGAAATATGGGACTATGTGAAAAGACCAAATCTACATCTGATTGGTGTACCTGAAAGTGACGGGGAGAACGGAACCAAGTTGGGAAACACTCTGCAGGATATTATCCAGGAGAACTTCCCCAATCTAGCAAGGCAGGCCAACATTCAAATTCAGGAAATACAGAGAATGCCACAAAGATACTCCTCGAGAAAAGCAACTCCAAGACACATAATTGTCAGATTCACCAAAGTTGAAATGAAGGAAAAAATGTTAAGGGCAGCCAGAGAGAAAGGTCGGGTTACCCTCAAAGGGAAGCCCATCAGACTAACAGCGGATCTCTCGGCAGAAACCCTACAAGCCAGAAGAGAGTGGGGGCCAATATTCAACATTCTTAAAGAAAAGAATTTTCAACCCAGAATTTCATATCCAGCCAAACTAAGCTTCATAAGTGAAGGAGAAATAAAATACTTCACAGACAAGCCAATGCTGAGAGATTTTGTCACCACCAGGCCTGCCCTAAAAGAGCTCCTGAAGGAAGCACTAAACATGGAAAGGAACAACCGGTACCAGCCACTGCAAAAATATGCCAAATTGTAAAGACCATCGAGGCTAGGAAGAAACTGCATCAACTAACGAGCAAAATCACCAGCTAACATCATAATGACAGGATCAAATTCACACATAACAATATTAACCTTAAATGTAAATGGGCTAAATGCTCCAGTGAAAAGACACAGACTGGCAAATTGGATAAAGAGTCAAGACCCATCAGTGTGCTGTATTCAGGAAACCCATCTCATGTGCAGAGACACACATAGGCTCAAAATAAAGGGATGGAGGAAGATCTACCAAGAAAATGGAAAACAAAAAAAGGCAGGGGTTGCAATCCTAGTCTCTGATAAAACAGACTTTAAACCAACAAAGATCAAAAGAGACAAAGAAGGCCATTACATAATGGTAAAGGGATCAATTCAACAAGAAGAGCTAACTATCCTAAATATATATGCACCCAATACAGGAGCACCCAGATTCATAAAGCAAGTCCTTAGTGACCTACAAAGAGACTTAGACTCCCAAACAATAGTAATGGGAGACTTTAACACCCCACTGTCAACATTAGACAGATCAATGAGACAGAAAGTTAGCAAGGATATCCAGGAATTGAACTCAGCTCTGCACCAAGCAGACCTAATAGACATCTACAGAACTCTCTACCCCAAATCAACAGAATATACATTCTTTTCAGCACCACACCTATTCCAAAATTGACCACATAGTTGGAAGTAAAGCACTCCTCAGCAAACGTAAAAGAACAGAAATTATAACAAACTGTCTCTCAGACCACAGTGCAATCAAGCTAGAACTCAGGATTAAGAAACTCACTCAAAATCGCTCAACTACATGGAAACTGAACAACCTGCTCCTGAATGACTACTGGGTACATAACAAAATGAAGGCAGAAATAAAGATGTTCTTTGAAACCAACAAGAACAAAGACACAACATACCAGAATCTCTGGGACACATTCAAAGCAGTGTGTAGAGGGAAATTTATAGCACTAAATGCCCACAGGAGAAAGCAGGAAAGATCTAAAATTGATACCCTAACATCACAATTAAAAGAACTAGAGAAGCAAGAGCAAACACATTCAAAAGCTAGCAGAAAGCAAGAAATAACTAAGATCAGAGCAGAACTGAAGGAAATAGAGACACAAAAAACCCTTCAAAAAATCAGTGAATCCAGGAGCTGTTTTTTGAAAAGATCAACAAAATTGATAGACCGCTAGCAAGACTAATAAAGAAGAAAAGACAGAAGAATCAAATAGACGCAATAAAAAATGATAAAGGGGATATCACCACCAATCCCACAGAAATAAAAACTACCATCAAAGAATACTATAAACACCTCTATGCAAATAAACTAGAAAATCTAGAAGAAATGGATAAATTCCTGGACACATACACCCTCCCAAGACTAAACTAGGAAGAAGTTGAATCTCTGAATAGACCAATAACAGGCTCTGAAATTGAGGCAATAATTAATAGCTTACCAACCAAAAAAAGTCCAGAACCAGATGGATTCACAGCCAAATTCTACCAGAGGTAGAAGGAGGAGCTGGTACCATTCCTTTTGAAACTATTCCAATCAATAGAAAAAGAGGGAATCCTCCCTAACTCATTTTATGAGGCCAGCATCATCCTGATACCAAAGCCTGGCAGAGACACAACCAAAAAAGAGAATTTTAGACCAATATCCCTGATGAACATTGATGCAAAAATCCTCAATAAAATACTGGCAAACCGAATCCAGCAGCACATCAAAAAGCTTATCCACCATGATCAAGTGGGCTTCATCCCTGGGATGCAAGGCTGGTTCAACATACGCAAATCAATAAACATAATCCAGCATATAAACAGAACCAACGACAAAAACCATATGATTATCTTAATAGATGCAGGAAAGGCCTTTGACAAAATTCAACAACGCTTCATGCTAAAACTCTCAATAAATTAGGTATTGATGGGACGTATCTCAAAATAATAAGAGCTGTCTATGACAAACCCACAGCCAATATCATACGGAATGGGTAAAAACTGGAAGCATTCCCTTTGAAAACCGGCCCAAGACAGGGATGCCCTCTCTCACCACTCCTATTCAACATAGTGTTGGAAGTTCTGGCCAGGGCAATCAGGCAAGAGAAGGAAATAAAGGGTATTCAAGTAGGAAAAGAGGAAGTCAAATTGTCCCTGTTTGCAGATGACATGATTGTATATCTAGAAAACCCCATCGTCTCAGCCCAAAATCTCCTTAAGCTGATAAGCAACTTCAGCAAAGTGTCAGGATACAAAATCAATGTGCAAAAATCACAAGCATTCTTATACACCAATAACAGACAAACAGAGAGCCAAATCACGAGTGAACTCCCATTCACAATTGCTTCAAAGAGAATAAAATACCTAGGAATCCAACTTACAAGGGGCGTGAAGGACCTCTTCAAGGAGAACTACAAACCACTGCTCAATGAAATAAAAGAGGATACAAACAAATGGAAGAACATTCCATGCTCATGGGTAGGAATAATCAATATCGTGAAAATGGCCATACTGCCCAAGGTAATTTATAGATTCAATGCCATCCCCATCAAGCTACCAATGACTTTCTTCACAGAATTGGAAACAACTACTTTAAAGTTCATATGGAACCAAAAGAGAGCCCGCATTGCCAAGTCAATCCTAAGCCAAAAGAACAAAGCTGGAGGCATCACGCTACCTGACTTCAAACTATACTACAAGGCTACAGTAACCAAAACAGCATGGTACTGGTACCAAAACAGAGATATAGACCAATGGAACAGAATAGAGCCCTCAGAAATAATGCCGCATATCTACAAAAAAGTCCAAATAGCCAAAGCAACTCTAAACAAAATGAACAAACCTGGAGGCATCACATTACCTGACTTTAAAATATATTACAAGGATATAGTAACCTAAATAGCATGGCATTGGTATAAAATAGATCAACAAAACAAAATAGAGAATCCAGAAGTAAAGACACATATTTATAGCAAAATGATCTTCAGCAAAGCTGACAAGAACTTACACTGGGGAAAGGACACTTTTTTTAGTAAATGGTGCTGGGAAAAATTTGATAGTCACAAGCAGATTGAAACAGGGCTCTCATCTCTCACTATATATAAAAATCAACACAAAAGGGCTTAAAGACCTAAACATAAGACCTGAAACTATAAAAATACTAGAAAAAAACTTAGGAAAAGCTTTCCTGGACATTGGTCTAGGCAATGAATTTGTGACTAAGACCTCAAAAGCACAGGCAACAAAACAAAAATAGACAAATGTGACTTAAATAAACTAAATAGCTTCTGTACCAAAAAAGAAATAGTCAATAAAGAGACAACTTGTTGAATGAAAGAAAACATTTGCAAACTATTCATCTCGCAAAAGACTCATATCCTGAATATACAAGGAACTCAAATACTTAAATGGAATAAAAACAAATAATTCCAATAAGTAGTGGACAAAGGACATGAATAGGCATTTCTTAAAAGAATACATGTAATGATCAACAAGTATATTAAAAAGTGCTCAACATCACTAATCATCATAGAAATGAAAATCAAAACCACAATGAGATATCATCTTACCACAGTCACAATGGCTACTATTAAAATTACAAAAAATAACATGTTGGCAAGGTCATGAAGAAAAGGGAATGCTTATATACTGTTGGTGAGAATGTAAATTAGTACAACTTCTAGATACCTGGTAGTGGAATATTTCTTTTGTGGTACAGAAGCTTTTTTTTTTTTCTCAAAGAACTGAAAGTAAAATTATTATTGGATCCAGCAATCCCACCATTAGGTATCTACCCCAAAGAAAATAAATCATTATATCAAGGGATACCTGCACTCACATGTTTATTGCAGCACTATTTACAATAAAAAAGATACAAAATCAACCCATGTGTCCATCAATGAATGAATGGATAAAGAAAATGTGGTACATATACATAATGGAATACTATTGGCCATATAAAGAATGAAAGTTCACCATTCGCAGCAATGTAGATGGAACTGGAGGTCATTATCTTAAGTGCAATAAGCTAAGCACAGAAAGACAAATATTTCATGTTTCCACTTAATATGTGAGAACTGAAAAGCTTAATGGCATGGAGGTAGAGAGTGGAAAGGTAGAAAACAGAGACTGGGAAGGGTGGGTAGGGGAAGGATGAAGAGTAGTGGGTTTAAAGGGTAGAAAGATAAAGATAGAAGGAAAAAATTCAATGTTAGATAGCAAAGTAGGGTGACTATGCTTAACAAAAATGTATTGTATTGGCTAATGGAAACCCTAAATACCCTGATTTATCATTATGCATTATATACATGTAATAATATTTCACATGTACCCCATAAGTTTGTATAAATAAAAAATTAAAGTAAATTTATACTTTATATATTATATGTAATATAGATTTTGTATTTTTTATTTGAAATGCTTGGGACTAGAAGTGTTTTGGATTTTGACTTTTTAAAAAAAATGTTGAAATATTTGCATTATTCTTCTCAGTTGAGCATCCCTAATAGGAAAATCCTAAATCTGAATTTTGAGCATCATGTTGGCGCTGAAAGTGTTTTGGATTTTGGAGCATTTTGGATTTTGGATTTTTTGATTAGAGATTCTTTACCTATATATTATATATTTCAATCATTGTACTTTTCAGTTCTAGAATTTTCTTTTATTTCTTTTTCTTATTTTTATGCTGATATTTTCTATTTGTTCACTGCTTAAGACCTCCTTTTCTTTAGTTCTTTGAATAGATTTTTAATTACTGCTTTAATGCTATCTGCTAAATCCAATTTCTGAACTGTCTGATCATTTTGTATTGATTGCTTTTTTCTTGATTATGGGTCATATTTTCCCATTTACTTTTTATATCTAGTAAATTTTGATTGTATAATAAGCATTGTGAATGATACATTTTTGAGTCTCTAAATTCTGTTATGTTTCTCTGAAGAGAGTCAATTTTTGTTCTGTGTGATCTGCTTGGTCGCCTTGAACTTATTTGGCTCGGCTTTATTCTGTGTTTAGGGGGATCTGTGAAAGCCAAAGGTGTTTCACATGCCCATCTCACTTAGAACTCAGTTTTCAAACACTTTCTACCCTCCAGAATTCATCAAGGCTTAGTGTGAGAGCTGGTTTTGGTGGGGTTAAAGTAGGCCTCACTCAAGGAAGTGAATCTGAGGTATACCTTGTGTGCTTTCTTAGTCAGAGACATGTACTTCCTGTTTTCTAATGCCTGAAAACAGTTGTCTTATATATTTTGTACAGTTTTATGGTTGTTAGTAACTGAACTGCTTGTCTAGTACCAGTTACTCTATAACAACTGAAAGCTACAACTTAGGGTTTCAAAAGATCATTCTGGCTACTATCATGGACTATAGGAGGGCAGAGTGGCATCAGAGAGAACAGTAAGGAGGGATGATGATGGTTTGGTCCAGGATGCTAGCAATATAGATGTTAAGAAATCACTGGATTCTGGATATATTTTAAAGTCGTTTGCAATAGCATTTCTTGATAGATTCTATTGAAAGCCAAAGAGCAAGAATAATGCTAAGGTCGTTGGCTTGAGCAACTTGGAGTTTGAAATTCCCATCAACTAACATAGGGAGGGCTGTGGATGGAGCAAATTTTGAGAGTTAATCAGAAGTTCAGCTTTGAACATATTTAGTTTGGATTGTCTATTAAACTCCCAAGTGTAGATGTTGAATGGAATTTGTATATATGAGTGTGTCGTTTGTAAGAGAAGACTGAACTAAAAATACAAATACGAAAGTTAGTGGTATACAGATATTTAAAACCAAGAGAATGGAAATGAGCATAGACAGAAGTGGGTCAGTGTTTTCTGGATTGCCCCAACAAGAAAAGTTCATGCCAAAGAGTAAGAATAAGAAAAGGAACCTGAGCCATCACTGCAGTAGTAGGAAAACCAAGATTGCATGTTAACTTGGAAACCAAGTTACGAAAGTATTTCAAGAAGGAGGCTATGATTGACAGTGACAGATGCTTTTTGATAGGTCATGTAGGATAAATACTGAGACTTAATAGTTATAGTTATATAAAGGTCATTATTGACCTCTTCAAGAGCAGTTCCAATGGAGAGAGAGAGAGAAAGAGAGAGAGAGAGAAATTGATCTACTGTGGAAGAACAAAGATAGATTTTAGGTATAATCATGGGGAGTTAGTTTATAGTAATAGGCATAAGACAGAATATATAGGTACAGTTGTAGGGAGTAGATATAATGAGGGTAGTATATAGAAATTCTCTTCTGATTACTTCTATTTTTCTGAGTGAAGCAGGAAGTATAGTCACTATTTATGAGAGTGAAGCCAGGCACAAGTAATGTTGCAGGCTACCTGCGAACCAGAGTCATTTGAGGCCCATAGTGGCATTCCAAGCTTTCTATAAGGTTGCATCGGCTTTAGCATCAGCTCAGAGTGCCAAAGGAGGAAAAGATGAGGGATTTCATGACATTAAGGACTGTACCAAGATCTGAGACCTTCCTTCTACAGTTTTGTAGGGTTCCTGTAGGTAACTTAGCACCCACTCAGAAGGTGTTGTTGAGTGGCTAGCATTATGTGAGTGTTAGGATGTCTGCCTCCCTTGGTGCTACAGCTGCTACAGAATTGGCAGAGGTAGAGCCTTGCCAGGCAGAAGCACACTTGAATGGCTGGTGATGGCCTCAGGGCTGGCCCTATGACCAGAATGGCTGAATCCTGGCCCATCAAGTCTGCAGCAAAGAGCAGCTTTTCCCTGAGGCATCAGCTTGCCCTGTGGTGTACCCGGGTAAGCTTTAAAAAAGGCAGTAAGAGGTGTGTATGTGCACTCATGGGACTTCTCCAAGACACTATAAACATGTAGCAAAACATATGCCTGGCAGTCTCCATTGGTCCCAGGGGTGAGGGGGAAAATATCATCGAAATCAAACCTTACAAAGGAAGACACTGGATCTGAGTTAATTGCTGAGAAGAGGGTGGGGGCAAGGCTGGAGTCCATTTTGCTACCATTTTGGTAGCAAAACAGGGCCTTTTAAATTTAATTTTTAAATATTCTCAGTTTCTCTGGTTAAAAAAATTGTGCTTATTGTATAAAATTTACAACATATCAAAACATATAGAGAAAAATAAAATCACTGCAATCTCATCACTCAGATAAAAACACTGTTGCAAGGCATTTTGTATATACACATAAAAATGTTTATGCAAATGTGAGATCAGACTGTATTTACGAGGTTGCATCCTGAGTTTTTTACTTGACATTATATGATAACTGATTGGAAAATCAGCATTTGACAATTATTTAAGTCTTGGAAAGTATAAAAATGTAAAAGATGAAAATAACAGCTAATCTCTCCATCTAAGGATAACCACTGTGGGTGGCCAATTTTAAGTGGCAAAACCTTCCTGTGTCTAGTTTATTCTTAGATAATCAGATTCAGTAGTGTTTAGTTCTTTTCCTGTCTCTCAATACTAAGGGGATTTAAAGCACTCCCATGTATGGTTTACAAGGTCCCCTCTCTAATCTAGTTCTATCTCCTTGTTTTACAGACAAAAACTAAAACCCAGAAAAGTTAACTACAGCTCATGTTGCTACATCCAGCTACTTTCTCCTCTGAAATGGACAATCTCTATTGCTACCTCCCCTCAGCTTCTCTGCCAACCCCACCACTAGCGCAAATGCCCTGAGTGACATGACAAGAGTCTAAGGAAGTCCAATTAGCCTGGAGTGGCAGAATGAAGGGCAGCTCCTAGGGAACGCGGGAGGTAACAGAGTGAGGCTGCTTATTTGATTGGACAGAAGGCCCTGAGTTCTTTCAACAGGAGAGAGAACTCGTTCATTCAATTATTCATTTTTTTCATTTGTGGTGGGAGGAAAACAATTGTTATTTTAAGAGCTGGCTGTGGTTTTGTGTTGGCCCTGGAGGAAAGCTGAATTTTATTAGAAAAAAAGATCCTTTCTGTCTAAAATAATCTTATTAGGGCCACATGGCCATGAAAAGCAGAGCCAGTGAGCACAGAGGAGGTGGAAGAGGTGAGATCAACAAGAATTAAAATTCTTGGCATGATGAAGTAACAGGTGTTTCCCTGTCCTCTGGTGAGCCAGAAAAAATGAAGTTTAGAAACTCTAGAACTGATGGGGAACCTTGGAGAGAGAAGGAAGAACTTTAGAGAAGACAACAAAGTAGCAAACAGGAATATAGGCTGAGGATGGCAATGATACTGTACATTCCTTGGGGCCACATGAGAGTCAGGTTTCATATTAATTCTAGAGTGTAATTGTGTTGGATTAAAATCCCTCTCTGCTACCCCCAACCCTGTCAAGAATTCATCATCATTTTCACCACTGTGATATTAATTGAGCGTGTACTACATGCAGTCACTGTCCTGTTTCATGTACATTATACCATTTAACCCTTGTAATAACTCCATGAGGTGGCTGTATCAATATTCCCATTTCTTCAGATGAGGAACCAAGTATGTAGCTAAGTAACTTGTTCAAAGTCAACCAGTTAGTAATGGTTTCAGGCAGGACCTAAGTTCAAGTCTGCACTGTCAAACAGTAATCTTCATATTTTTGTCATTGCCCATCCCATCAGTTAAATGTTTTTGGTCATCTATCACAAATACATGAATATTTATTTATATCCTTTTTGAATTCTAAAAAGGATAATATAAAGATGAGCTAAATAATACCTATAAATATCTTACAAATTCTGATGGCTTTACCCTGCAATCTGCTAATTTCTCAAGGCATGATATACACTTCATGCAAGGTTCATCATTAACAATAGTGATGAAATGTTACGTTTCATATTATCTTGAAAATTTCAACGTTTTACAAATTTTTGTCACATCTGATTACCTTGTCATGTATAAAAGGTTTGTTCCTAGGTTGGTTGAAGGGTCTGCCGTGTCATTTTCTTGTCATTCATTTATGCTAGCATTGTTGGTGTTATCTTCAATCTGCTGTTTCTTTGCAAGAAACTTTTAAAGGTACTTATCTACTTTGTGAGGGTGAATTGAGTTAAAAGTGGGCAAGTTTTTTATTTTAGCCATTCTAATGAGTGTGACTTGGTATCTCATTGTGATTTTGATTGACATTTCCCTATAAAAGAATATTGAGCATCTTTTTACAGTTTTCTGCCCACTTGTATATTGTCTTTGGAGAAATATCTACTCAGATCCCTCAATCATTTTTTAGCAAGGTAATTTATCTTTTTTGAATTCTAAGAGTTTATTTTATATTCTAATACACGTCCTTATCAGATATATAATTTGCAAATATTTTCTCTCATTCTGTATGTTGGCAAAAATGTGAAGAAATTTGAACTCTCATACATTGCTGGTGGGATTATAAAATGGTGCAGTTGCTTTGGGAAATAGTTTGATGGTTAATCAAAGGGGTAGATATAGTTTTGCCATATGACCCAGCAATCGCACTCCCAGGTATCTACCCAAGAGAAATGAAAACATATGTCCACACAGGAACTTGTACGTTAATGTTCATAACAGTGCCACTCATAACTGCAAAATGGTGAAAATAGCCCAAATGTTAATCAGCTGATGAATAGATAAACAAAATGTGATATATCTATACAAAGGAATATTACCCAGCCATAAAAATGAATGTGTTACTGATTCATGTTACAATATGGATACTCCTTGAAAACATGGTGCTAAGGGAAAGAAAGACCACATATTGTATGATTCTGTTTCTATTAAATGCTCAAAATAAGTAAATCCATACAGAAAGGGAATAGTTTAGTGATTGCCTAAGGATGGGAGGACAGTTGGGTGGAAATGGGAAGTGACTGCTAATGGGCACAGTGTCTCTTTTTGGGGTGATGAAAATGTTCTGGGATTAAATAGTAGTGATGGTAGCACAGCTCTGTGAATACATTAAGAACCACTAAATTCTATACATTAAAGGGATGAATTTTATGATCAGTGAATTATATTTCAATAAAGCTGTCATGAAAAAGAATTGGTCTGTAAATCCATTTAACTCAGCACCCATGACCTGCTCAAAATGCTGACACACAGTCATGATGGCCCTATGTCAATGCTAGAACATTGTTCATCTTCCTTCTTATCTTAGGGTACCTCTCACATAGCATAAGACTCAGGACTGTATGTCACGCAGTTGGGCAAAATGAGACAGGACAATATATCAACATGTATGCTACCTATTAAAAAGGTAAGTTTCTGTCCCATTTTGTAAATTTAAAGACAAAGAAACAAACTGTAATGTCTTCTTTATCAGACCACGATAAATCACTCCCATGCAACTCACATTGGAGGCTACTTTTCTAAAACCACTATGCTCTAGCAATGCCCTGAATTTGTTTCCAGTAAAAGCTAGTTTACACACTACTCAAATTCCCAAGAAGAGGTAGCAATTAAACATACAAGGAAGAGAAGTGGTAATTGATATGGGCAGGACTATGAGAAATTGAGACCAAGTATGATCCAAGACAAGGTGGGAGGGATTCCACCAAGAAAAAAGATGGTCACTTCCTCTAACATACACGAAGGGAACAAGTAAAGATGGGTGCTGACATAGGTAGTTTTATAGGTTTGATATCTACAACACAAGGAAATTTCTTTCTGATGATTTCTACTTTATGTGCATAAACTAGGGAGTGAGGTTCCTATGCTGTTGGTGAGACGGAGTTAGGGTACAGAATTAAAGATTTCAGGATGGTAGATAAGGTATGAAATAATTGTTGTGGATGAATGAGAGGATAAGTTGATCAGAGGTATGCTGGAGAATTGCCAGGCAGCGTGGGAGAACCGTTTGAAGTTAATAATCATGCATTTTGAATGAAATCATCTATCTTTCTTTCTTTCTTTCCTTCCTTCCTTCCTTTCCTTCTTTCTTTCTTTCTTTCTTTCTTTCTTTCTTTCTTTCTTTCTTTCTTTCTTTCTTTCTTTCTTTCTTTCTTTCTTTCTTTCTTTCTTTCTTTCTTTCTTTCTTTCTTTCTTTCTTTCTTTCTTCTTTTTTTTTTCAGAGTTTCACTCTTGTTGCCCTGGCTGGAGTGCAATGGTGCAATCTCAGCTCACTGAAACCTCTGCCTCCCAGGTTCAAGCGATTCTCCTGACTTAGTCTCCCAAGTAGCTGGGATTACAGGCGACAGCCACCACGTTCAGCTAATTTTTGTATTTTTAGTAGAGACAGGGTTTCACCCTGTTGGGCAGGCTGGTCTCGAATGCCTAACCTCAGGTGATCCACCCACCTCGGCCTCTCAGAGTGTTGAGATTACAGGCATGAGCCACCGAGCCTGGCCAAAATCAACTTTCTTTAACTACAATTTTTGCCAGCATTACTCAGCTGCTGAGGCTCAGGCACAGAGCAAACAGATTTTTTAGTTCACGCAGAGTTTGAATGACAAACATTGAGAAGCAAGAGAGTTTAGGCAAGGCATTGGCAATGGTGTAAACGGATGAGCCAAGCAATCCAAATAGGAAAAAGTGTCAGGCAGAGAAAGAAAAGGGTTGACAAACTGGCAACAACAAAAGAGTCAATGGTTTGTGAGTCCCAACATTGTGAAGAATGATCATGGTGAAGAGTAGAGCAAGCAATTCAGAAGGAGGGAAGTTTGTTGTCAAAGAGTGGGATGCTTGAAGTACTGGTTCTGGAGGTTGGACAATAACAGGAAATAACAAGGTCTACAATGTGACTGTGAGAGTAGGTGGCTGAGATAAAGTGAAAAGAGGGTCTTTGGAAGTAAGGGAATTAAGGAACTGAAAAATTAGGGTGTTGGATGAATTAGCCACATACGTGGACGCTGAAGTCATCCAAAATGATGGTAGAGCTTAAGGTGCAGCAGAACACTGTGAGCCAGGTGCCAAGTACTCAATAAATGGGAGTATTGTGGCCAGGACATTAGAAAAAGATCTGTGGGTTAGAAAAGTAAGGAAGGAGAGACTGTGTTGTACCTGGATTACATAGGACTCAAATAAATGGACGTTTCTTTATTATTCTGTTTTGTTTTACAAAAAGATGGAGGAGTCAGGTTCTGAAGCAAAAAGGACACCAATGCCATTTTTAGACCCTGAGATACATGAGATGTGAGAAAATAAACAACCTCAGCTTGCATTTAAGAGAGCTATAGGGAAGGAGTATTCTCAGAGGAAGCCTGAAAGACATATTGACAAGCACTGGAGGGAGAGATAGCAAAAGAGAGGTAGGAAAACCATACAAATTAGCAATGAGAATGCAAACAGCGTAATAAATTATGAGCATTTTGAGCAGGAGCAAGCGTCATACCTCTGGAGCCTCTGTATCACGGTAAATGAATATTACACACTCTGAGTCATACACTGCAGGTTCTATTTGCTTCTCTAAATGTATAGTAGGAATCCTCACCACTACAGAGATAAAGAAATAAAACCTAGAGAGGAAAATGAACTTGTCCAACATTCTTCAGAGAGTCAGTGTCAGATTCACAGGGCAAGACATTGCCCCTATGGTGGGACACCTCCCTGTATCCTTTCCAGCGGTTCTTGAAGAATGCTGTAAGCCTTAATCACCACTTTCATTTATTTTCTGGCTACCAGGAAATGAGATGTGCACAGGTATGGTAAGGATGGGGGCAGATATGCTTTGTGGTTCCTTTAGTCTGCTCTCTAAGAGCAGACTTCTTGAAGTGAATCAGCTTCTGGTTCAACTCACCAGATTTTTGATCCAGAAAGTAAAGAGCCAAGAACCAGGAAAGCCTTGGACCCTTTCATGGCTGGCTGATTCTGGTGAGGCAGGTGTGGAGGTTTTAAAACACGGCTGCAAATTATTTAACACTCCTCTCACTTGGGGTGAAGTGTGTCAAAGGGTGAAGTGATTCAAGGGGTGAAGCCCTTGAATTTCAGTGGGCTTCTGATTTCTCCAACCAATAGCCTACTGGGGAAATGATACTGTATGGCTTCAGAAGTTGGGTTATAAAAGGCTGTGCATTTTCCATTTGGGTCACTGGAACACAAGCCCTTGGAGCTCTGAGCTGCCACATAGGAAATCCAGCCGTGGCTGGGCACAGTGGCTCACGCCTGTAATCCCAGCATTTTGGCAGGCGGAGGTGGGTGAATCACCTGAGGTCAGGAGTTCGAGACCAGCCTGGCCAACACGGTGAAACCTCGTCTCCACCAAAAAATACAAAAATTAGCTAGGCGTGGTGGTGGGCACCTGTAAACCAGCTACTTGGGAGGCTGAGGCAGGAGAATCGCTTGAACCCGGGAGGCAGAGGTTGCAGTGAGCCAAGATAGTGCTACTGCACTCCACCCTGGGCGACAGAGTGAGACTCTGTCTCAAAAAAAAAAAAAAAAAAAAAAGGAAATCCAACCACCCTGAGATCACCATGCTGTTGAGGCCATGTGGAGGTATTCTGGTTGACAAGTAAAACTGAGCCTAGCCTTCTAGGAATTCCTGCCAGAGCATCAGACATGTGAGTGAAACTGGAGGGTGGTGCAGGGGCGTGGGGGGAGTGGTTACCATACCAGCCCATTTGTCAGCTGAATACCACTGAGTGATCTGTGTTGATCAAAGGAACCACCCAGCTGAGACTTGCCTGAATTCGTAACCCACTGAATTGTGAGATGTAATAAAATGGTTGCTGTTTTAATCCGCCACGTTTTGGGGTAGTTTGCTGAGCAGCAATAACTAACCAAAACGCAGGGCCGGAAGAGGAAACACTCAGTTCTATCCTCCCACTAGTCTCATCCCCTACCACATACTTCCATCCTGTGTTCCAGACATACAGGACTTCTGTCTGTACTCTGAGCGTACCTTTCACTCGTCTGCCACCATGCCTTTGCTCTTGTTATTCCATCCACTTGAGCTGCCATTCTCATCTCCCCATCTGAATTCTCACTCACCACTCAAGGACCAACTTGAAAGTCAGCTCCCTTATGCCTCTTTTACTGATCACCTTGGAGGAATTAATACCTCATTTTCCCTGCTCCCATTAGCCATTTGCTTACCTCCTTCATCTAGCACATTTTCCAGTTGTCTATCTCTATTCTTAGACTGTGAGCAAAAGCTAGTCTTATTCACTTTGGCATCTCCTGTAGTGTCACAGATGTTGCCCAAGTGGGTTTCCAAATTGTGTTAAGGATAGGAAAGAGACCCTGATGGAACAAGCCCCACTCCCTAGAGAGAAAAAAGCTCAGTTAGGGTAAAGTGGAAACTATGGCATGGTGATACCAAGTTTACCTGGTAGTCTATTTCCAGGAGTAGCAGAGCATCTGTGCACAGGGATGATTCTCATGGGCAAGGAATATGAAGAGCTTTCCCTAAGACCTGAATACACAGCAAAGACCAGGGAGATTCTTGAAGAAGTGGGTTCCTCAGCGAAGAGATTTCTTCTTTATTTCTTTCTTCTGAAAATCTGCCATTTTTTCCTTTTATTTTTAATAAATGGAAATATGTAATAATTATAAATATTTATGGGATACAGATTGATATTTTGATACATGTATACAATGTGTAATGATCAAATCAGGGTAATTAGCATATCCACCCCCTCTAATATTTACCACTTGTTTGTGTTGGGAACATTCAAAATCTTCTCTTTCATCTTCTTGATAATATACAATAAATTATTGTTACCCATATTCACCCTACAGTGCTATAGAACATCAGAACTCATTCCTCCTATTTAGCTGTAATCTCTTATCCATTAACCAAACTTTCCCTATCCTCCCCCTTGCCCCACCCTTCCCACCCTCTAATAACCACAATTCTTCTACTCTCTAGTTCTATGAGCTGAACTCTTTCTAGATCCCACATACAAGTGAGAACATGTGGTATTTATCTTTCTATGCCTGGCTTATTTCACTTGACATAATGTCCTCCAGTTCCATCTGTGTTGCTGCAGATGGCATGATTTTATTCTTTTTATGGCCAAGTAGTATTCCACTGCATGTATGTGTGTATATATATATATATATATATATATATATATATATATATATATACACACACACACACACACACATATATGTATACCCATATATATACACACACATATATGTGTGTATTCATATACACATTTTCTTTATTCATTCATCAATAGATGGATATTTAGGTTGATTCCATATCTTGGCTATTGTGAATAGTACTGCGATTAACATGGGGAAGGTTTGCAGGTTTCTAGTGAATAGAGGGTTGACTGCTCAGAAATGATAGGTCAGAGCAAGTGGGCAGCTGCAGGAATGTGTCAACGTGTACCACCAGGGGATTAGAAGTTTCAAATGACCCTTCACCCATGTCCCCCCTTGGTGAGTCTGGAATGATCCCTCAAGCCTGAATATATGGGCCTGGAAATCCTGACTTGAAGATTATAGGCTGAAAAAGTAGTGAAACTTCCTTTTTTTTTTTTTTGAGGTGCACACACAGAGTGATGCCACCTTTTGCCTTGTAAGATTTGCTTAGTAGGCACAGACCCCCTAATCCAGGGGTCCCCAAACCCTGGGCCACAAATGGTAGCTGTCCCTGGCTTGTTAGGAACCGGGTCACACAGCAGGAGGTGAGCGTCAGCCCAACAAGCAAAGCTGAGCTCCGCCTCCTGTCAGATCAGCGGCGGCATTAGATTCTCACAGGAGCACAAACCACGCTGTGGACTGTGCATATGAGGGATCTGGGCTGTATGCTCTTTATGAGAATCTAATGATGAATGTAATGTGTTTGTTTAAATCATCCCAAAACTATCCCCCACCTTGTCAGTGGAAAAACTGTCTTCTATGAAAGTGGCCCTGGTGCCACAAAGGTTGGGGACCACTGCCCGAAATCAGTCTCTTAGACCCAGGGACCTGGGACACAGTTTGGCCTGGATTCTGATTCCTCCCAGCTTTCTTTACCTCTACCCTTGAATGTGCTGGGGGAACTCTCAAACCTTCTGTCTGACCTCCTGAGACATGGAAGCCTGACTGTTCACATGCTCTGAATAAGTAAATCCCATGTCAGAATCTCAATTTTTCATCTAGAAAATGTGGGGCCTTGACTGGCTGGAATCTGAGGATTCCTCCTGCCCTGCTTCCACCAGCAGTAGTTGGAACTGAGACTGTGCCTGTGGCCTCCACATTTGAGGAGGCCCTGGCTTCTGGCCGTCCCATGGAATGAGGCATTGGCAAGTTTCCAAGGACAGGTTGGGACTTTTGTCCTTGGCCAGGCCAGGGGGCCAATTAACAGTAGGTTAATCACAGTTCAACATGCCCAATATACTTATTTACTGAGTCATTATTAAATAAGGCCAATTAATAGCGTTGGATGGATTTTTAATCCCTGTGAGGCACCGATGATGTGAAGGTGACAATGTGCAATTAACAAGGCAATAGGTGATTAATGGCAGTGACCTTACATGGAGAAGAAAGCCCTTCCTCCAGCCCCCTTTATTCCATACACAAATAAAGCATTTTGGGAAAGTCAGAACTGGTGATAGGCAGTATGCCAAGATAAAGAAATATTTTGCAAACCTCATTGCAACTGATGCAGCGTTGGAAAACACTGTCTTTTGTGATTTTTGTGGCATTACTAGAATTAGAGCATCCAGACAAAGGAATAAGCAGGTCTTCCCCTTGTGTGGGCAGCAATTGCACTCCTCAGGCCTCTCTCTCAGGGAGGCCCAGGGGATGGATAGTCCTGGCCCTGTGCTGTGGGTATCTAGGGGAATCCAAAATGCAGGGATGAGCATCATTTAAAAGAGGTCTCTATCAATCTGAGCTCTTTAGCAGAGGGGGCTTCTGAGGAAAGCATTAATAATATCCATAGTGTGGACATAATGCACCCCAAAGAAGTTTGCAACCTAAATTCTCAAGGTCCTTCAACCTTGAGAGTGCTGAAGTTCATGTTTTGAAAAGTGCAGTCTTCTGTGAATGAAAGTCAGGGTGGGAAATGGCCTGGACTATGACCCAGGGGGAAGAGAATAAGAGCTTGAGTCAGATACTTCTCCATCTTAGTCCTGGCCGCTCATCAGCTGAAAAACCACGATCTGGCCTCTTAGCCTCTTTGAGCCCACCTCATCTCATTAGCAAACAGCTGTGATAATAACCCCTAGCTCACAGAGATTTGCACTAATGTGGCCACAGCTTGGGTAGCACCAAGAAGCTACCCAGGGAGGTAATGCAAGGAAACGTATGACAGGCCCCCAGTTTCTGAGCTCAGATTTTCCATGACTTAGATTTCCCATTCCTCCTCCAGCCTTCACTGGTGGCCGTGTGCTGGCTGTTCTGGTGACTGCAGTTAGTAAGTCTTGGAGACTTCCCTGCCCTGCAGACTGAGAAAATGGTATGTGTGATATGGTAGCTGCCAAGTCAGGCTCCAGAACCACAGTAGCATAGGAGGCTTCATATAGAAGGCTTCATATAGAAAAGCCACTAACCAGGCAAGGCACCATGAGGTCACTCACCTGGGGAAGAGCCAGCTTGCTTTTTGCCAACTACCAAACATATTTACCTCAGTCCATCATTGCCTAACAGCCCGTAATCTGTGCCTGAGGCCAGATGAATATGCATGCACCTGTCTCAAGCAGAAACTCAGGTGGGAGCTTATGCTGCACAAGCCATTTGCCCTTTCCAGCAATTTACTCCCAGATATTAATGTCAAAGTAGTTTCAGGATTTCCAAAAAGAGCTAAGTTATGTTGCCAAATTCTTGATGGGAAAACACTAGATTTATGGTGCATCTCTCACTGTAAAATGCCTGTGAATCCCCCGAAGGATCTCGTTAAAACACAGATTCTGACTCAGAGGGTCTGGGTCCAGCCAGAGACACTGCATTTCCACAAGCTCCCAGGTGGTGTTACTGGCACTGGTCCATGTGCCTGAAGAGAAATGTCCAGTCAGCGCCTTATCCCTGGGATGCTGGTACATAATGGCCACAATAAAGATCACAGCACTAGCTCAGAGTTGGGATCCCCAGGGCCAGATCTATAGCCTCTCTCTTCCCTTACAGAGTTCTGAATCCCAGAGGCCTGAGTCAGACAGATGGAGATCAAAGTAACAGTTCCATTACTGATAAAATCTCACCCACGTAACAAAAAACCACTTGTACCCCCAAAAGCTAGTGAAATATATATCTTTTCATCTCAATGGGAGGCCTTGGTTTAGCCAGGCAGCCACAGTGGGCCTGCCAGTGAGTCCGTCCTCCTCCCACGAGTTCAGCAAATGAGCCCACTCAGAGTGAGTGCAGCTGGTCAATGCCCAGGGGCTTTTGGCTTTCTCCTGAGGGCAAGAGACCTCTTGGGGACCATAGGTCCATAGGGACCATATCCCCTATTCTTCCCATCCTTCCTCCTCTGGGTCCACATTTGTTTAAGCCAGACCCCTTAATGATGCCATCATGCCCAGAACCAGGACTTAGCTACCAACGATGACTTTTTTTCCTAAAGGCTCTAAGAATTCTGACTTACTGGCATGTTATAGGTTGTACGTTATGTAAGCTATTAATATTATCTTTTGTATAAAATTTTAAAATCATAATATATTTCTCTCTTCTTAGACCCCTTTCCCTCGGAGGACAGTGGACCATACAAGTAGGCGAGTAGGCCTCAGAACAGAGATAGAGGAGGGGGTTGCACCAGTGGGAAGGATCCGCTCAGTGCCTCCTGTTAAGCTATCCAACCTTGGGGAGCACAGATGGAAAAGAGGAGGAAAGTGGCCATGAGAATCACCTCTGAAGTCCCTGGACATGTTACCATGAAGCCTAGGACCTGGGTGGACCCACTCGCCCCAACCTAGTTTGAATGTGTAATGTGAGCCATGTGCCTTGTGGTCGGTTTGGGAGGTGTGAGAGCCACGTGGCTTGTGGCAGGCTTGGGAGGTGTCAGCCTTCTTGCTGCTGGCCCCCTCCCCGGGTCTCCCCTTTCCCCCCTTCAATGTAATCACCTCACAGTGGCCAGAGTGGCCTGTCAATCAAATCAGATTATGTCATGCCTCTGCTCAAGACCTTCCAGTGGCTTCCAACCACAGGTACAATGAAGTCTTCATCCCTCACTGAAGCCTGTAAAGCCTGGCATGGTCTGGCCCCTATTCACTGCACCCCAGCCACCTGCCCTTCTCAGCTCACCTCAGGTCTCTTTTCATATGTCACCACTTCACACTGCCAGGTGCACACTCTCAAAAATGCCCACTCCTTAGCAAACTAACACAGGAACAGAAAACCAAATACTGCATGCCCTCACTTATAAGTGGGAGCTAAATGATGAGAAAACATGGACACATAGAGGGGAGCAACACACACTAGAGCCTATGAGAGGGTGGAGGTTGGGAGGAGGCAGAGGATCAGGAAAAACAACTAATGGATACTAGGCTTAATACTTGGGTGACAAATAATCTGTACAACAAACCCCCATGACACAAGTTTATCTATGTATTGATAACAAACCCGCACATATACCCCTGAACTTAAAATTAAAAAAAAGAAAAGGGCCAGGTGTGGTGGCTCACGCCTGTAATCCCAGCACTTTGGGAGGCCGAGGCGGGTGGATCACGACGTCAGGAGTTCGAGACCAGCCTGGTCAACATGGTGAAACCCCGTCTCTACTAAAAATACAAAAAAAAATTAGCCAGGCGAGGTGGTGTGTGCCTGTAGTCCCAGCTACTCAGGAGGCTGAGGCAGAAGAATCACTTGAACCCGGGAGGTGGAGGTTGCAGTGAGACAAGATCACGCCACTGCACTCATGGCGACAGCTAGGCGTCATCTAAAAAAAAAAAAAAAAACAGAAAAGAAAAAATGTACCTCTTTTTCACTACCTTGATTCTCACTCTCCTGTTGATGGCACTTATCGTTGTCTATTCAGGTGAACAAGCACTCCTCCTGATAGAGTTGTCTCTTTTCTGCCTGTTGAAATTCAATACTTATTCACAGTCTCCTTCTCCTGGGAAGTGAACCATTTGTTGCTCCATTGAGCAATCTCTCCATAGGTTTACTGGACCTATTACAAATATGGTCACCTTCTCTGTGACCTTGGCCCCTGCTATGATCTGAATGTTTGTGTCCCCCCCACGCCCACATTCACATGTTGAAACCTAATCCCCAGTGCAATGTTCTTAAGAGAGAGATAAGATATTTGGGAGATAAGATTAAGTCATGCGCATAGAGCCCGCATGATTGGGATTGGTATCCTTACAAAAGAAGCTCAAGGGAGCTTGTTTGCCCCTTACACCATGTAAGGACACAACACATACCATCTATGAGGACTGGGCCTTCACCAGACACTGAAATAGGTGATGCTTTGATCTTGGACTTCCCAGCCTCTAAAACTGGGCAATAAATTTTTATTGTTTATAAATTACCCAGTCTAAAGTATTTTGTTATAGAATCCCAAACGGATTAAAACAGCTCCTCTTTCCAAAATCATTTAACTACTGGTTTGTATGGACCTGCCCTTAATCATAGACTTCACCTGGGGAATACAGACTGCATGAGAATAAGTTGTCCTAGCTAGCAGGAACTTCAGGATCTGGCTTATAATGGAAAGTTCCCATTCTCTGACAAGCTGGGGACTTTTAGTTCCTGAGTCCCAGAGAAAGAAAATCACTTTCCCAAGACCAAAAAGCTTATAACAGGCAACGTATATCCTCTGGCTGCATATCTTGAATGTCTCACAGCTCTTCAGACTCAACAACACCAAAAGCAAACTCTTGATTCCATATCTTCCCCCGTCTTCTCACCCTCCTGCACCAATCTGAGTTTTCTTCAAGTGGACTCATCTCAGAGGCTTCCAACTGGTGTGCTCAATACCAGTTTATCTCAAATGGGTTGTAAGTGTACCAAGATAATGTTTTCCTTGCAGCTCTTGCAACAGCTAGGAAGAATCTTGGGTTTCTGAAGTTTTTGAGTGAGCCGCCTCTATCTTCAACTTGTTATTTCTTTTTACCCCAATGTGCTGTGTGACTATTATCATTTCCTATATTTTAAGTTATAATGCATATTGGGAATCACTTTCCCATTTCAATGAATGCAAACAGAAACCTAAGAGTCACCCTTGATATACCCTTTCCCTCTCCCAGCCATCAGCAAGTCCAGTTGGCTCAACCTACAAAACTTATCTCACATCCATCCATTTTTCTCCATCTCTATTAAGTCACAGTCTGGGCCAAGCCACCATCATGACCCATCCTGCATCATGGGTGTCCAATGCTCTCCCCACCTCCTACCCACTGACACTGTTCTCAGACTGCTCTTTTGTCCATATTGTTGAAGCAATGAGGTGCAGGGAAATTGACCCTGGTCTAAAAAGGAAGATGGCATGTTCTATTCCTTCACTTTGTTTTTTTGTTACCAATTGTCTGTGTAGCTTTGGAAAATTTCTGCCCCTGATTTGGCCTCAGTGTTATCACATCTGCAGTGGGAATTAAGGTAAAAAGCCAATCTCAACAGTGTCCGCAGAAGGACTGACTTTCTTACCTCTTCCTTTGTTCTGAACTCAAAATTGTCATGGCTTGTATTACCTTGGGCATTCCCCCGAGTGTTTCCCCAGCTTCTGCCCAAAGTGTGCTCTGCCACACAAAAACCTGTTCAAAGCTTTTAAATGTAACTTTAAAGCCACTTTACTATAGATAAAAGGCTGTATTAAAGGGTTATAATAATTGACTTCAACTGCCAAACCAAGTGGTTTGGCCTCAGGCTCCACAGAGCATTGCATGTGCCTCATTCAACCAACAAGTTAGTAGTGCAAGTTGTCCTTATTTGGTACATATTGGCAAAGGGAGAGGGGTGCTTGTGCCAAGTACTGCTTTATGTCCAGAGACTCCCAACAGCTTCATTGAATAGTAACTAGCTCTTCGACACTCCCGTCCCTACACGATAACACAACTGGTGGTGACCATATCCCCTATTCTTCCCATCCTTCCTCCTCTGGGTCCACATTTGTTTAAGCCAGACCCCTTAATGATGCCATCATGCCCAGAACCAGGACTTAGCTACCAACAATGACTGTTTTTCCTAAAGGCTCTAAGAATTCTGACTTACTGGCATGTTATAGGTTGTACGTTATGTAAGCTATTAATATTATCTTTTGTATAAAATTTTAAAAACATAACATATTTTTCTCTTCTTAGAAAAAGAAAGGGGACTTGTAGCTCCAGTGATGGCAGACTAGGCTAGTTGGTTGATACTTCCCCTTTAAAGAAAACTAAAATGCTAAATAAATTATAAAAATTATTACAAACAAAAGAACTAGTAAAATAGGAAGAAATTATAGCAGAACAGAGGTTTTAAAAGTGGGATCCCAGAGAAGTTAAATAATCATGGAAGCTGGTTTTACCGGGGGATGTTTCAGATCCCCAAATGTGTGAGTTTTATTATGTCTTGTGGTCTCTTGGGATGAAAGAAATAGGAATCAAATCCCAGAATAAGGACAAAGTAAAAACTCCTTTTTAGAGTCCTCTCCAAACAATTGCCTGGTACTCTCAAAGGACTACAGCCTTGGGTAAGGATAAATTCATAACAAATCAACCTTCTTTTGGTCTTGAAGCTATGAACTCCAAAAAGCTGAGACAGGTCTCAGTTAATTTAGAAAGTTTATTTTGCCAAGGTTGAGGACCCGTGCCTGTGACACAGCCTCAGGAGGTCCTGACAGCATGTGCCTAAGGTGGTCAGAGCACAGTTTGGTTTTATACATTTTAGGGAGATATGAGACATCAATCAACATATGTAAGATGAACATTGCTTTGGTCTGGAAAGGCGGGACAACTCAAAACTGGGAGGGGACTTCCAGGTCATAGGTAGATAAGAGACAAATTGTTGCATCCTTTTGAGTTTCTGACTAGCCTCTCCAAAGGAGGCAATCAGATATGCATTTATCTCAGTGAGCAGAGGGGTGACTTTGAATACAGTGGGAGGCAGGTTTGCCCTAAGCAGTTCCTAGCTTGACTTTTCCCTTAGCTTAGTGAATTTGGGGGCCCAAGATATTTTCCTTTCACATTTCCCCATTTTTCTTTCAAATGATCTTTTGGAGAAAGTATTTTAGAAGAAAATGAGTCAGTCTCTGGTCTCAGGTTTCGTCTGATCTCTCATGGTTAGGATGGTTTATTCCTAGACAGGTAGGTCCCGAGTTATTAGGAAAGCTCATTTTTAGAAGGCTGTGACGTCTTATGTCTTATGAAGAGAAAATAGGGGGAGGAAGGGAGAAAAACAACAACAAACAAAAGGATAATCCTGGAATATTGATATAAACCACATTCCTCTGAAGTCCATACATCAGTAGGCAGGTATGAAAGTGGCTTAGGTATGTAAATAGGTTGCTGTTATTTTCTTCTGAAGTTTAAGTTGTCTGGCTTCAGTTCCCAGGGTTTTAAGAAAACACAGCTTAGTTTTTGGTGACTCCACATTAGGAAAAATGAGGAGAAAGGAAGGAAATAAAATGTAAACATTATTTTCAAGGCTTGTAGCTAAGAAAAATTAGAATTCGGTCCAAAGTGTAGAAAATAATAAAAACTGACTAGAGCCTAATGGTAGGTGTAATATAGTTTTTGAAACATATTTTTTCTCTCTCCGGTTTCCCATTTTTACTAAAGACAAATTATTATAGGATTAATTTGCTTTATTGTACTTGGCCAGATTATTTGTATAAAGTGCAGCAAGAATAATTCTTTTTCACATAGGCTTTTTATTTTAATTGGCTTTGATGGAATTTGTTTCATAGAAGGAATCTCAGATAAGACTTTTTTAAAGCCAAGCCCAGCCATGGATTTGTACCATTAAATACCTATGAGTTGGGTAAATTCCTCTCCTCTTGAGGTTCCAAGATAAATTTGGGGCTCCTGGGCCTGTCAGAAAGTGGCATTGTTTACTTACCACAGGTCAAGAACCCTGTATAGGGACTGTGTAGACAAAGGTATAAGGCCAGATTTTCCAAAGGGCTTTATTGGCTCTGTAAGTCAAGTTTGATTCCTTAAAGGAAAGCATTCCATTCCAGTCAAAGCCTTGGTAAAATAGCCAGTTTCTCCAATTGTGTCCTGTTACAAATGAAAACAGATTCTTATTGCACTTATGCAAATGACTATATCATCATAACTTAAGAATACTCACAGTTTCCAAATTCTGTAGAAATCAGGTAGAGAGAAACAAATATGCTCCAAATTTTGTCCATAAGAATATACTTTACTCAACTGTTAAAAGCTTTAAATAGCTTAAAAGTTTTCTTTTAAGAAAAACAAAGGATCAGCAACACTTTTAGCAAAAAGTTAGAAAGATTATTTCATACTTCTATTAGTCTAGTAATTGCAGTTAATTTCTCTTCTGCTTGATACTCATAAACATGTCAGTTCTCTATGAGTCCTGAAAGTTTTCCTCTATTCTGATGTCACAGTCTCCAAAGTTCTCAGAAACCTGCATTCAAAATCACCTGTTAGAGTTTTATAGCTGATTATAAAACCACCTTCTAAAGAGGACCAAAACAAGGCAACAATTGTCCATGGATGACAAAAAGTTTTAGGACAGCCATAAGCAAAGACACAATTAACAAGGAAATTTATTACCTCTGTGGCACACAATAATTTAGCATAACAATTATAATTGTTGCTGGTAGTGTACATTAAATCATATCAGAAATATAGGGGTTTCCCATAGTTTTGGAACACATACCAATAACACATTTATACAAATGCAGCCCAAAGGAAACCAAACACAATTTTACATTTGACAATGCTTCCTGTACAATTTTTATACCATATAAGCCAAATATGTCGTTTTTGGTCTTTTTTTTTATTAGCATTTTTTTATTATTATACTTTAAGTTTTAGGGTACATGTGCACAATGTGCAGGTTAGTTACATAGGTATACATGTGACATGCTGGTGCGCTGCACCCACTAACTCGTCATCTAGCATTAGGTATATCTCCCAATGCTATCCCTCCCCCCTCCCCTCACCCCACAACAGTCCCCAGAGTGTGATGTTCCCCTTCCTGTGTCCATGTGTTCTCATTGTTCAATTCCCACCTATGAGTGAGAATATGCGGTGTTTGGTTTTTGTTCTTGCGATAGTTTACTGAGAATGATGATTTCCAATTTCATCCATGTCCCTACAAAGGACCTGAACTCATCATGTTTTATGGCTGCATAGTATTCCATGGTGTATATGTGCCACATTTTCTTAATCCGGTCTATCATTGTTGGACATTTGGGTTGGTTCCAAGTCTTTGCTATTGTGAATAGTGCTGCAATAAACATACATGTTCATGTGTCTTTATAGCAGCATGATTTATAATCCTTTGGGTATATACCCAGTAATGGGATGGCTGGGTCAAATGGTATTTCTAGTTCTAGATCCCAAAGGAATCGCCACACCGACTTCCACAATGGTTGAACTAGTTTACAGTCCCACCAACAGTGTAAAAGTTTTCCTATTTCTCCACATCCTCTCCAGCACCTGTTGTTTCCTGACTTTTTAATGATCGCCATTCTAACTGGTGTGAGATGATATCTCATTGTGGTTTTGATTTGCATTTCTCTGATGGCCAGTGATGATGAGCATTTTTTCATGTGTTTTTTGGCTGCATAAATGTCTTCTTTTGAGAAGTGTCTGTTCATGTCCTTTGCCCACTTTCTGATGGAGTTGTTTGTTTTTTTCTTGTAAATTTGAGTTCATTGTAGATTCTGGATATTAGCCCTTTGTCAGATGAGTAGGTTGCGAAAATTTTCTCCCATTTTGTGGGTTGCCTGTTCACTCTAACAGTAGTTTCTTTTGCTGTGCAGAAGCTCTTTAGTTTAATTAGATCCCATTTGTCAATTTTGGCTTTTGTTGCCATTGCTTTTGGTGTTTTAGACATGAAGTCCTTGCCCATGCCTATGTCCTGAATGGTAATGCCTAGGTTTTCTTCTAGGGTTTTTATGGTTTTAGGTCTAACATTTAAGTCTTTAATCCATCTTGAATTGATTTTTGTATAAGGTGTAAGGAAGGGATCCAGTTTCAGCTTTCTCCATATGGCTAGCCAGTTTTCCCAGCACCATTTATCAAATAGGGAATCCTTTCCCCATTGCTTGTTTTTGTCAGGTTTGTCAAAGATCAGATAGTTGTAGATATGTGGCGTTATTTCTGAGGTCTCTGTTCTGTTCCATTGATCTATATCTCTGTTTTGGAACCAGTACCATGCTGTTTTGGTTACTGTAGCCTTGTAGTGTAGTTTGAAGTCAGGTAGCATGATGCCTCCAGCTTTGTTCTTTTGGCTTAGGATTGACTTGGCAATGCGGGCTCTTTTTTGGTTCCATATGAACTTTAAAGTAGTTTTTCCCAATTCTGTGAAGAAAGTCATTGGTAGCTTGATGGGGATGGCATTGAATGTATAAATTACCTTGGGCAGTATGGCCATTTTCACGATATTGATTCTTCCTACCCACGAGCATGGAATGTTCTTCCATTTGTTTGTATCCTCTTTTGTTTCATTGAGCAGTGGTTTGTAGTTCTCCTTGAGGAGGTCCTTCACATCCCTTGTAAGTTGGATTCTTAGGTATTTTATTCTCTTTGAAGCAATTGTGAATGGGAGTTCACTCATGATTTGGCTCTCTGTTTGTCTGTTGTTGGTGTATAAGAATGCTTGTGATTTTTGTACATTGATTTTGTATCCTGACACTTTGCTGAAGTTGCTTATCAGCTTAAGGAGATTTTGGGCTGAGACAATGGGGTTTTCTAGATATACAATCATGTCATCTGCAAACAGGGACAATTTGACTTCCTCTTTTCCTAACTGAATACCCTTTATTTCCTTCTCCTGCCTAATTGCCCTGGCCAGAACTTCCAATACTATGTTGAATAGGAGTGGTGAGAGAGGGCATCCCTGTCTTGTGCCGGTTTTCAAAGGGAATGCTTCCAGTTTTTGCCCATTCCATATGATATTGGCTGTGGGTTTGTCATAGATAGCTGTTATTATTTTGAGATACGTCCCATCAATACCTAATTTATTGAGAGTTTTTAGCATGAAGCGTTGTTGAATTTTGTCAAAGGCCTTTTCTGCATCTATTGAGATAATCATGTGGTTTTTGTCTTTGGTTCTGTTTATATGCTGGATTACATTTATTGATTTGCTTATATTGAACCAGCCTTGCATCCCAGGGATGAAGCCCACTTGATTATGGTGGATAAGCTTTTTGATGTGCTGTTGGATTTGGTTTGCCAGTATTTTATTGAGGATTTTTGCATCAATGTTCATCAAGGATATTGGTCTAAAATTCTCTTTGTTGGTTGTGTCTCTGCCAGGCTTTGGTATCAGGATGATGCTGGCCTCATAAAATGAGTTAGGGAGGATTCCCTCTTTTTCTGTTGATTGGAATAGTTTCAGAAGGAATGGCATTTTTGGTGTTTAAGGAATCTATTAATAATATCTTAAAGGTTAATTAGGTCAGAAAAAGACATAATTTACAATTTGATTTGGAAAGTGTGTCAAATATGAAAGGCTTAAAACACTTGATATTATGAAACAGGATCACAGGTCATTGTAAAATAAGTCGTTCATTTAACCAAAGTGATAAGAATTTCAAAAAAAAGGCAAAAACCTTCATTCTTTGAGAGAGGAGACATAATTTTTCAAACAATAAGCCCTAAAAAAAACAGCACGAAGCCAATTAAATTTGTTTTCCAAAATTTTGTAATCTATAACATTTTCATCTTGATCATAAGATATAACTTTCTTAAGCCTTTATAACCTTTATTAACAGGTCAGTTCATATTTCAAGAAAACCCTGTTATTCTGACCCAGGGGCCCGTATGCTGGTGTTGCATCAATGTGCCTTTGACATTCATGATTAATTTATAGAGAAACTGAACTTATTTTATCTCTCAGAATAAGTACTTACAATCTCACATGCTCATGTCTTCCATGATCATCCCTGGCCCTTGAGGAGTTAAATAGCTTTAATTTTTTGCCCTGTGTCTCAGGAAGGCAGTTTATTTTGATTGGCATCTTCTACTGGGACTGAAAATGAGGCTTTAATTGCTGTTAGTTTTTAAGATTTAGCAGGTCTTGGTGTTCTTTTTAGACCCAGGAGATAAAGCCCTGTAACTCAATGTCACAAGAACTTTCAAAGCACATATAGGAAAATGCAAGAATGTAATAAACTTAATTTAAAAAATATTTTTTTAATATCAGTTTCTCCTAAGCAAACCAAACTTAATAATAATGCCATAGGAACTATTTTGATAAAATGTAAAATCTGTTAGGCCAGTTATCAAAAGGCAAAAGAAAAGACACTGTGCAGTGCACAGAATATTATTTTGGAATAAAATATTTCCTTTAGCTCTTTAGGAAACTACTGTTAGCATCAGGCCACAAAAAACAGAACCCAAGGAGGAAAAAAAACATATATTTGAGCTGAAAATGAGTTCAAGGGGAATGTTACTTTTTCATGCCTTTTAAAAGGGGAGAGAACACTGAAACCAGTGAGATGCAATAAAAGTTGAACTTTGGGTTGAAATAAAAAAAATTAAAATCTCTTATAATTTATCAAGAGTAAATCAAACCCTTAAGAAAATTTCATTGTTCTAACCAATTCTTTATGTGTTTTTTTACATCAAACCTAATCTCTAGAAAGATCATTATAATTTCCCTTTAATCATAGACAACATGATCATATATAAATTTTTGTTGTTTTTTAAAAATAAATCCTTTTCTTATGACTTACACAGACCGTTTATGACATCCTTGAAATTGTTTTTCTGAACATCCCTCTGTCCTTAACAACCAGCCATTTTATTCTAGTACTAAATTTATCATACAAGGTTCTTTCTCATATGAAATTATTTCTCTTTAGCCTTCTTACAAGAAAAAACCCTCTTTATTTATATAACTTTCTTAACATCTCTTTTATTTCCTGGCTCCTTTTACCTTGTTTGAAAAATGACCCTTAAATAAACTTTTGAATTAGGCAAAAATTGTTCACTTTTTAAAAAGAATACCATTTTATTTTAGAAAGAATGTTTTCTCACAAATATATTTTTCTTGGAAAATACGCAAATAATAATATATCTATTACTTAATTTAACATAACTTTAGATTCTAAATTATGATGAGTTTGTCTACAAGTATTTATCCTGTAATATATATCTAATTATTTTATTCTAATCATGTACCTAGATTATTTATAAAAACTATGATGGTCGTTATTTAAAGTTAGGGAACCACCACTGCAGAATTATAACTGAGCCAGTGAAAAATATTTGACCTGACTCCATCTTGCTTTTAACTTCCAAGCTTTCCTTGTTCATTCCTGGGCATAGGACAAACTAAGTTTGGGAGGAACTTACTTTATAGTTTAGCTTTGAAACAAAGATGATGACAATCCTTTCCCAAAACAAACCTTAATGCCTGTGGACTAGACTGCCTAAAGCCACAAGAATAGAAGTTATGGTAATCTTACTAAATTCAAGACATAACTATTTTTATTAAGCCAGCATCAATGTCTGATTTATTAAAGATTATACAAGCAAAGGTCATTCTGTCTTGTGCTGGGTTTGTAGATTTGTAACCCCTATGCCAAATTTTGACACCTTATAATATTTGGCAGGAATAAATATGAAATTGCTTGATTAATACATGCAAATAAATGTGTGCTGGTGATTCTTAAGACATTTCTAATATTACTTTACCAATAATTTTAAAGCTAGCTTATTTAATAAAGATTTTAAGTTATGTAAACTTGAAAAAGCATTTGACTAGTCTTTTATTTTTTCCTGATAAAATATTTGATTCAAATGTTTCTATTTTCTTAAGCCAATTAATTAGCAGTCTTTTATATATTTTCAGTAGTGAAACATTGTGTATGCAACACATAAATACATAGACATATTAGGCATGCCGGTAGAAGCACATCTTATAGTTTTATAAAAACCTTTTATTTTCCTATTTTAGACTTTCAGATTCTTGATAACCTGTTTCACAACCCTAGGAAGTTGTCAGCTAAATAGCCTTAAATTTGCATATTAAAGCAAACAACTCAGGTGAAAAATCAAATAGCAAAATTTATATCATAAGGTACAGAGAGAAAAAGCCTGTTTGTGCTAGAGGGAGATTAAAGATGGATGCCAAATCAAACATAAATTGTAGAAATCTATCACAGGATTGTATAAGGAGACCAGTTTTATTTAGATAGGGACTACCTATCTTTTGACTGGATCTCTGAGCTTTGGACAGAGCCTACAATGAATCATGGGTCTCCACAAAGGGATAATTATTGTGAGGTTAGATCACATGATGCTTTTACAGTACACTTAATTTTTTTTTAAACAAAGACATTTCTAAGTATCGAAACCATACTCTTCCTTAAAGACCCAAGAGTAACCTCTGTTGCAATAACTATAAACAGGTAATGCAATACAAAAGTAAGCAGTTTAAGAGCTGAGACGAACTTGTCTGTTTACATTCTTGGGGTTCCATAAGGAAAAACAGGTTTCTCCCCCAAAGGGAGTCAGTCTTCTCCATTTTCTTTAAAGAATCCCAGGCTGTTATAAAGTATTTTAGGTCCCCATGCAGCAGAGGGTGCAAGAGAAAGAAGAGAAAGCAGAAGTAAATGAAGAAAACAGAATTCAGTCAACTGAGAAGAAAAAGCTTTTGCTTCAGAAGAAGACAAGGTCCTAGGAGAAAAACAAAAACAAAAACATGAAGGCCTTTTAAATACAAACACACACATATGGGCACACACAAACACACATCTTGGATGTTAGCTTTTAATTAAGCTGACTTTTGACCATTGAGTTCCTTTTAAAAATACCTTCTTAAATCTCATTACCATATCTCAGCTAGGACAAATTGCTGCTATTTCAGAAGGGTAGCCATTGCTTTTTCAGTTTGGCCTGGCTAGGAAAAAGGTGGCCTTGTTATGTAAATAAAGCCCCTTTGTAATAAAAATAAAAAATCTTTCCTCTTTTTTTTGTCTTTTTGCTGGCCGTCTTTCTCCTTGCACCACACCACCGTGTGTGTGTGTGTGTGTGTGTGTGTGTGTGTGAATTTAACTCCTTCCGAGGTCTTGTTCCCCATAATTTGGAACTTCCTTGGGATTTGATCAAGTCACATAGAGCTGATCAAACCCAATGTGAAAAAGACTGAAACAACAACAAAAACAGAAACAACTAATGACAACAGCAAAAAACAGTTAAGCAAAATAAACAATTGCACAACTTATATGATTACTGAGCACTCTAATGGTAAGGAGAAATTAAGATCAGCTGGTTGTTAATCTTAACTTTAGCCAAGACATACTCCAATTTAGTTACTTGCCTAGGGATAGGCTCAGGCTGAAGACCGCTCTCTAACACCCTAGAAGCAGAAAAAAAAAAAAAACCCTCTTTTTCCCTGTTGGAAGTGAGCTCAAACTCCATAAAGGAATTTCCTGCCTTCCATCATCATGGAAGCAGGAAAAACTTGTCTTCCTTGTGTTTGTTGGAAGTGTGTACAACTCCAAAAAAAGGAGTTGTACAGCAAAATAAATTTTAGATCTCAACCAAATTTTGGCAGATCAGAGATTCTCTGGAGGAGGTGCTTCCAGGTCTCAGCAAATTGTCCTATTGGTTTGAGCCATAAGCATAGCTCAATCTGATACCAAGCACAGATAGAAGATTTTTCAAAGGTCAGGAGCACCTCCTCTCAGACTCCCTTTGTGGTTATCAAAATGTGAACCTGAAAATCTGAGACAGGTCTCAGTTAATTTAGAAAGTTCATTTTTCCAAGTTTGAGGACCCCCGTGCCTATGACACAGCCTCAGGAGGTCCTGACTACATGTGCCCAAGGTGGTCAGAGCACAGTTTGGTTTTACACATTTTTTGGAGACATGAAACATCAATCAACATATGTAAGATGAACATTGGTTCAGTCTGGAAAGACGGGACAACTATAAGTGGGGAGGGGGTTTCCAGCTCATAGGTAGATAAGACACAAATTGTTGTATTCTTTTGAATTTCTGATTAGCCTCTCCAAAGGAGGCAATCAGATATGCATTTATCTCAGTGAGCAGAGGGGTGACTTTGAACAGAATGTGAGGCAAGTATGCCCTAAGAAGTTTTCCCCTTTAGCTTAGTGATTGTGGGGGCCCAAGGTATTTTCGTTTCACAAAGCTCAAGTAATAGTAAAGTGAGGGTAGTCTAAGAAATCTCCAGTCTTCAACTTTAACGAAAGTGGTTCCATATTAGAAGAGTCCCCTGGTTGTCCCATACAATAGCTAATATTCTGTAAAGAGAATCACATTGATCCTAGGTTTCATTACCAGTACAATAAAGATAATCGGGCATACAAGTAAACCAGACACCATCAATAACAACAAAAAACAAAAGCAAAACACAGCAAATACCAGAAAAAGACACAAACTTTAGAAAACTCAGTTGTCAGATATAGATTATTAAATAATTGTACTTATCATATATACAGTAATAAAAGAAAAAACTTGAAAATATCTGCAAATTAAAGATACCTATGTATGCATTTCTAAATTAAAAACTCAATGCATGCTTTTACAGTAGATTATACGTAGCTGAAGAAATAATTATTGTAAGACAGATAAGAAGAAATTATTCAGAATGCAGCAAGTAGATATGAAAAGCTGGAAATACAGAGGAAAATAAGAGATGTAATGGATACAATAAATAGCCCTTACCTATATCTAGTTGAAATCCCAGCAGGAGAAGATAAAGCACATTAGGTGGAGGAAATATTTTAGGCGATAATAGTGGAGAAATTTCCACAACTGACAAAAGACACCAATCCACGGTTTTAGAAAGCCCCTCCTCTCTCTAAAATCCCAATGATAAAAGAGAATAAGTAAACAACAGCTAGATACATTATAGTGAAATCACAGAAACCTGAGAAAGAAAACCTTAAAAGTAGCCTGATAAAAAGACATATAACTTTTAAAAGAGTAGATTAATAGCTGGCTTATAGCAGCAATGGAAGCCAGAAAATAGTGAAATGATTTCATCCATATACTGAGGGAAAATAACTGTCAACCTAGAATGATATACCCAGTGAACATATCATTCAAGAATGGAGGCAAGATAATGACAGTTTTTAGACAGAAAATTATAAATTACCACCAATAATCAAGCACTAAAAAGTCTAATAACTATCTATTAAGCTAGCCAACTAGCTATTATCTATCAGTGTATAATGGATATAGTTTATTTTGAAGGCTAATTATTATCCCACATAATATCTCAGATAATTTATCTCAGATAAGTGTGAGATGCATAAAGAAATAAAGGCTAAATGAAATGATTATATAAATTATAATGAACTAAATGTTTTAATCAAAATAAGACAATTGCCAGAATGGAAAAAATCCAACTTTAAGCAGTTCACAAGAGATGCATTCAAAATATAAGAATATGTAAACTAAAAGAATATAAAAAATTAGATTATGCAAACACTAATAAAATACAATTTTTATAGCTGTATTAATTTCAGACATTTTTAAGGCAAAATGCAATCTTAGAGAGAAAGGTCACTTTATAATGAAAAAAGGTTAATGTTGCCCCAAAATATCGCATTTAAAAATTATGCACCTAGTAACATAGTAACAACAGATATAAAGTTGACAGATACAAAGAGAAATAAAGTCAATAAGCATAGTTGGAGATTTTATCATAACTCAGAAAAACCAAAAAGGATTATAAGAGATTTGATCAATATGCTAAACAAACTTTACTTTATGGACAAATATAATATTTAAAATTTGGTAACATTTGTCCCATGGCTAGAACACACTAATCTAGAAACCAAGAGATAGAGGATGGAGAACAGCCTCTCAGGATTACACCTCATCACTCACTTGAAAATTACACCTCATCACTCACTTGAAAAATGTTTGCTTGCCATCTTCACATCTTTGGACTATGATTGTATAATGGTCTTAGAGCCCCACAAAGGAAGACTTATGCCATAGCACTCAACAAAGGTTTCACTAAATTGAAAACTGAGACTGCAACATGGTCATTTCAGGTATTTTTTGACACTTGATTGATAATCAATATACGGGTTACTATATTGTCTAAAATAATTAATATCAGTTTTTAAGAGGAACTAAGATTGTTGATATCCAAAGGTAACAGGGATACTTATGTTTGGATCTCAGGAGACTTTTTGGGAAATCTTCCTATACTCCAATTTCCAATGATAAAAATCAGTTGAGATACATCACGGCCCCCCCAGAACATCATACACCTCAGGAATAAAATTCTGAGTAGTCTATCCACCAGCTAATTATACTTCCTACCGACTCTCTGGCTGAAAGCATAAAGCAAAGAGAATAAGTAATGATTCCAGTAATGGCAGACTATAACATGAAAGTCATCCCTCATACTGAGAACAACCAAATAATCTGAATATGTTTTTTAAAAATATGATGAAAGACATCATAGAGTTAACAAAGCAAGAAGTATATGTAGCAAAAATACAGAAGAAGAAGAAGAAAACCCAGAGAGGTAATTTGAGATTTGGTGGTTGCTTTTTCCTTAGGGAAATTTTTCAATTCCAGAAGAGACTACTGAAAGGCTACAAACTGAGCAGAAATTTTAACAGGTCCATATGCTTAGGAAGACAAAAACTAGAGTCCAAGGCCTGCCAAGGAGACACGCTGGTAAAATCTTCAGGCTTTGGGCTAAAATCCCAAATATTAGTTCTCTAGGAGTAAGAGTGAACCATGCCTAGACTAGGACTTGTAGTGCTTTAAGATCATCATAGAATCATCTTCATACCTGAATGGATTAAGGTTCTTCTGGGATTGATAATGCTCCTTTAGCTCTAACCCAGAAGCAAACAAATCTTCTGTGTAGGAAGGTAGCATCTTTCTAGGCCTCAAATTATAATTTTTCACATATGATATCCAGCACACAATCTTTTTTTTATTATTTTTATTGTCATATTTTTTAAAATTATACTTTAAATTCTGGGATACAAGTGCAGAATGTACAAGTTTGTTACATAGGTATACACGTGCCATGGTGGTTTGCTGCACCCATCAACCCGTCATGTACATTAGGTATTTCTCCTAATGCTGTCCCTCCCCTAGTCCCCCACCCCCCGACAGGCCCCAGTGTGTGACGTTCCCATCTCTGTGTCCATGTGTTCTTATTGATCAACTCCCACTTATGAGTGAGAACATGCGGTGTTTAGTTTTCTGTTCTTGTGTTAGTTTGCTGAGAATGATGGTTTCCAGCTTCATCCATATCCCTGCAAAGGACATGAACTTATCCTTTTTTTATGGCTGCATAGTATCCCATGGTGTATGTGTGCCACATTTTCTTTATCTAGTCTATCATTGATGAGCATTTGGGTTGGTTTCAAGTCTTTGCTATTGTGAACAGTGCCACAATACACATACAAGCAGCACACAATCTTAAATAGCTATGCATAGGAGGTGACAGAACAATATGAACAAAACCCAAAACAAATAAGGCAAATTGAAATAAACACACAGACAATCCATATAATGGTGTTTGGAGACATAGATTTTAATATGTTTATCATGAATCTATTATGCTTAATATTAATTAAAATGGAGCCTTATGAAAAATAATAAACTAAATATTCTAGAATTGAAAACTTTAAAAATAAACTAAAACTAATAACTTAAAGATGAATTTAACAGCTCTTAACCTAAATAACCATCAGAGAGAAGCTCTCTAAACCAAAAATATATGTATTTGAGATACAGCATGGCAATGGGAATATGCATGTCATAGTAAACTATGTGTGTATTCAGGGAAGTAAAGGAAGACAAAGGTTTTTTTGTTTGTTTCTTTGTTTGTTTTTTAATGAGGAGATTGTCCTTGGCCACAAAGATCCATAGCAAGGGTGATGCCAGTCCTAGTTGGGACAGGCAGTTGCTGAGCAGATGTCCTTGTAAAAGGATATTTATGTGTAAGCTTGCCGTGGACTTTGAGCAAGGTTGTGGATTTTGAAGAATGCACCTCTTGTAAACAGCTTAGAGCTATATTTTTTCAAACTTAACAAGACATAACTTTAAGATGTAAAATTAAATGGAAAGTTTATGATGTTTATTGTATTTATATTAACTTAATTTTGAGTAGTTTATTTAGATTATGAAAACTGAGATATTAGTCAAAGTTATAATTTTAAGGTTTTTGGTAAATTATTTTCATAGTTTGTAAATATTAGGTGTTTAGGAACCTTACAGTTAAATTCATGAGTACTTTGTTGATAACTTAGAAGACAAATTAGTTTCATTTAGTAAAAAGTTACATAAACAAAGATTATTTTTTAAGGCTGGGCTTGTAGTTTTACATCATTTGTGACAAATCTTGACATATTAAAATATTTAGTAGAGACGAATATAAAACTGACCAGTAAACTTGGGTAAAAATATATGTTGACCATTTTAAAGAAATTTATATTTTTATTTTATTGTTTTAAAACTGGTTTATTTATTAAAGATGTATTTAAGTCATGGGAACTAAAGGCATTTGCGTTAATTATATATTTTATATGAATGTGTATTTATTTACGTTAATTTTAATAAAATTTATTTTTGGAAACTGACATTTATTTGTCACCAACCTTATTTCTATCTTGCATAAGAGCCTGTGGAAGAACAGCTTAAGATCACTCAGAGGTTGTTCCTACCCGTTCAGTGGTCTGAGCAGCGGGAGCTGCAAATCAATCTTCCCTGGCAGGCTGAGCACTCTAGTCTTGAGTAGAGAACTGCTTGATAAGCACTGAGGATACCTGCCCACTTTCAGACCAATCTGCAACCTCAGGCTGAGTAGCAGTGAACTCAGGAGCTGCAGCAGCAGTCCATACACCCTGAAACTCCTCCTTGGTTATGGTCTTTTCAGCAACGTCTGCTCTTCCTTTTCAGTCTTTTCAGGATTTCTGTAGAAGTAAAGATCAGGCAGGACCTTCCATGGATGCTCATGGGAGATGGTACCGTGTGTGTACAACTTCCAAGCTGGCATTCACCATCAGACCCACTGAGGGAACTCCCTTGTTGCATGGGATGGCAATGTCCACACAATGCAGAGGAGAATCTGTTTTCCACAGAGCAATGGGAGTCAGGTTAACATAAGATTACTCTGTGAGAGGTAATGGTCAGCCCTGGGATCAGTAACCACCAGAAACTGGAGCTCCGAGAAGGCCGCTTGGATTTGGTTAGTGAAGTTTCCAGGAGTGAAGTGACCAGCAATAGGAATGGCTCCAGTGGCAGTGGTGCGCTTCAGCACAACCCAGCAGCCAGAATTCCTGGAGGATAAGACAGGGAAATCAGCAAGGTTTTCAGTGGCAACAATGACAAGAGCTGCCAGCAGAAGCTTCTCCCAGGTCTTCTTCATATTTATGATGCAGATGCCATCACTTTTCTTTTATACTTGTGCTGTCCCATTTGGAAGTCAAGGTTGGGGCTACCTAAGTGAGTTCCTGCTGCAAGCAAGTTGAGGATATCATCCTCCTTCATTGGCAGGATATCAAGGATTCCAGACATTGTGAAATTTTCTCTTTAAGCGATTCCAGGAATCCAGAACAATGCCCTGTGGACCCCTCTCTAGGTAGCGTGGAAAAAGCTGAATAGAACTTTTAAGGGTTTTTTGACTGATGGTATGAGACTTTATTATGTAGACACTGCATATAACACAATATATGCAGATATGTGCAAACACACTTGAACACATATATGTATACGAATAAAGATTTTATTTTCATTTTAGAATTTTATTTATAAAATAGTAAGATAAAATTATTGGTTTATAGAAGATAGCTGTATCTAAATGATATTTTTAACAAAATTGGGACCTGTTTACATGACTAAACTTTATTTCTCTTGATAGGTAATTTAATGAAAGCTGTGGACTAAAGTTGTGGGTCAAGTAGTTTTTATAGAAATTTGATTTTAGAAAACTTAATTATTTTACTTTTAAAATGAGTTTAGGGTTAAATTTTTAACTGTTTATATATTTTTTAGGACTGGCTGAATTGTATAAGAAAAACAAATAGTTTTGAACTAGTAATAAATTTAATTTTTGTTTGTCAGCTGTTTCGCTTGATTAGTAAATGTGGATCAGGAGGAATTTTAGTAAGTTTTTTGGCTTTTTTTGTTTTTGTGTGGCAGAAAAAGCAAAATTTTTGTGTTGGAAAGAGATATATTATTGTTTTGAGCTTATGGTTCTGACTTGCTAGATTTGAGAGTCAAACATAAACATTTATTTAGGTTTTTCATTGGTTATTAATTTGTAATTAAGTATTTTATTACCATAAGTGATTGTTAGGCAAATTTAGATTTATATTTCTAAAAGATGTTTAGGACACTCATATGTGGGAGTTGAACAATGAGAACACATGGACACAGGGAGAGGAACATCACACACCAGGGCCTATCGAGGGGTGCAGGACTAGGGGAGGGATAGCATTAGGAGAAACATGTAATGTAGATGACAGGTTGATGGGTGCAGCAAACCACCATGGCACGTGTATACCTATGTAAGAAACCTGCACGTTCTGCACATGCACCCCAGAACTTAAAGTATAATAAAAGGTGTTTAGGTTATTGGTTATTATGGAATTGCTGTAACTTGTAAAGTCATTAATTTGGAAGTCTTTAAGCCTTTTTTTTTTTTTTTGGCTTGGAAATCTCTAAGCCTTTTTTTTGGCTATAAAGTCATAAGTGTAAGTTTTATCTCAACACTAGTAGAAAAGTTAGTAGATTTAAAGTAGGGAAGTTAATGAGTACAAATGTATACTTAGATAGAAGGAATAAGTTTTGGTATTCAGTATAACAGTATGGTAGTTATAGTTATCAACAATATATTATATCTTTCAAAATAGCTAGAAGAGAAGCTTTGAAATGTTCCCAACACAAGGAAATGATAAATGTTCAAAGTGATGGATATGATAAATGTTCAAAGGGACTTGATCATTACACATTCTATGTATGTATCAAAATATTACATTCAACCCATAAATGTGTACAAATATTATGTATTAATAAAAATGTAAAGTAGGTAGAGAAAAATACAGAGAGGGAGAACTTAGAGGGCTTTATATGTTAATATTCAATTGTAGTGGTTTTTTAGAGAATTTGAATAACAGCTACTTGCATTTTCAATTTTTGATGTAATTTTATTAGTTTAAAAATGTGTACAATATGTAGTTGGCTGGAGTCTCAGGAAATTTGGCATGTCCTAATGCCTGAGAATTTTGTTTTGTATTTTTTTTTTTTTAGAATAAAGAAAATTTTGCTAATTTTGTTAGAGAATATTAGGGGTTTTGGCTGCCATTTTAGATGGCAGTGACTGTCTTAGTGGTTTTTAATTAGCTATTTTGTGTTTACTATTTAGAATGTCTATTTTTGTTTTGGGGATGTTTTCAGAAACAAGTAAGAGAGAAGAGTTAAACTAAATCAAAAGAAACTAAGATAAGAGCGTTTATAAAAACTTTAACCCAGATGTGTAAATTAAACAAAATATTAAACTAGGTGTGTAGACTAAACTGAAAGTAAATTTATTAGAAAATACATGTTTAACAGACAGAACGTAAATTTTGTAGAAATTAGAGTATTTAGTCTAAAAGACACTTGTCTTTATATTCAAAAAGACTTATCAGAAAGACCAAAAAAATATTTCAGGAAGGTTGTGTGGCCTTTTATTAAGGTGGCCTTATTTAAACTAGAGTTTGAATAATATTAAAAATCATTTATTAAAGGCCGGGAGCAGTGGCTCACACCTGTAATCCCAGCACTTTTGGAGGCCGAGGTGGGCGGATCACGAGGTCAGGATATCGAGACCACCCTGGCCAACATGGTGAAACCCCATCTGTACTAAAAATAAAAAAATTAGCTGGGCGTGGTGGCTGCGCACCTGTAGTCCCAGCTACTCAGGAGGCTGAGGCAGGAGAATCGCTTGAACCCACGAGGCGGAAGTTGCAGTGAGCCGAGATTGCGCCACTGCACTCCAGCCTGGGCGACAATGCAAGACTCTGTCTGTCTCTCTCTCTCTCTCTCTCTCTCTCTCTCTCTCTCTATATATATATATATATATATATATATATATATACACAATATAATATAATATTATTATATATAATATTATATTATATTATATTATTAAATATAAGATTATATTATATATATTTTATTATATTATATAATATATAATATACATTATATATAATATAATATTGTATATATATGAGAAGGAGGCTTGGTTTGAGAGAAGACTTACAAAGGCAGAAAAGGCGAGCCATGGAAATGGAGAGCTCAAAGGTTTTAAGTGAGTACTGTACACTGGTTTTAAGAATCATCAATTTTTGTGGTGATCTTTTTCAAGTTAAAATATGTAATATTACAGCATAGTAGACACAGTGGAAGGAAGAATAATCTGGAAGACAGAAAGAAAATAGCTAGAATAAAAGTCAGAGACAAAAGGGCAGAATTTACAAAAAAGAGTGTACAAGACATAAGAAGAAAAATATGCTTTCAATATGTCAAAGTAGCTTCTATGAAAAATCTCCAAGCGAGTGAAAAAGAAACATAAAACCCAGTGCATGAGTTTCCTACTGCTGTTGCAGCAAATTACCACAAACTTAATGATTTGAAATAACACAAACTTATTCTCTTTCAGTTCTGATAGTAAGTAGTCACAAAGGAACCTCAAAGTAATAAAATCAAGGTGTTGGCAGAACTGGTTCCTTCTGGAGACTTCAGGGGAAGATACATTATTTGCTTTTTGCATATTTTAGGGACTACTGGCATTCCTTGCCTCATGCCCATATTCCAGTCTCTTACTTCCACATCACATCTCCTGTTATTCACTCTAACTTCTAGCCTCCCTCTTATAGTTAATTTTGTAATTACATATGGCCCACCCAGATAATTCAAGATAATCCCCTCATCTCAAGATCTTTGATCTAATAACATCTGCAGAGTCCCTATTGTCATATAAGATAATATGAACAGTTTCTAGGGACTAGAATGTAGACATTGTTTGCGGGGGGGCCATTATTCTGCCAGCTACACATAGACACACTTAAGGGAGGAAAATTTTGAATTACTGAAATTCCAGAAAGAAGAAAAAAATGAGGTGAGTTCACTTTTCTCTGTTAGTTGTCTTTTTCAGGCAATTGTCAATTTATAAGCAGGATGGAGCTGAGAAGCACAGTAGAAAGTGATGGCTAACAACTTTTGGCAGGGCAGTATCATGGGGTTTAAAAAACAAAAATTAGAGTCCAAGACTAGGATTCAAGGGGCCAAGATCTTTGAGGAAAGACAATTGTGCATACGTGATCTTGATATTCTCTGTCAGTTTTCTCCAGCAACCATCTTCAAGATGTGACAAGAGACCAAAAAGCCAAATAGAAAGCAGCAGCTAAGAGCCTCAAAAGCTAAGCAGAAATTTCAGCATTCTCACAGTTCTGGAAAGATAAGAATTGGAACTAAAGATTAGTAAAATGGATGGAGCTTCTTTAAACACTCCAGTATTAAAATTAATATCTGTGAAGGTCAACATCCTAGAAATATTGGAAAACCTGAAATAGATCAGCCATTTCAAAAACATAAATCAACACTCAAATAATCTTTTTTAAAAATTTAATTTCAACCATTTATTCACGGATTCAACCCACATACTCTCACAGTTTCACACTCTTATGGTTGAAGATAATTAAACAACCAGAAAGGCTATTAAATATCATCTGCTACAATTCCCTTATTTTAAAGGTTAAGACATTAAATCTGAAAGATTCATTATCACCCCATATTTCACATTTAATATTAGAATGACTATTGTTTTTTATTTGTTTGTTTTCAGCTTTTATTTTAGATACAGGGGGTACATGTGCATATTTGTTACATGGAAATATTGCATGATGCTGAGGTTTGGAGTATGGATCTTGTTACCCAGGTAGTGAGCAAATTTCTCGACAGGTAGTTTTTTCATCCACCTACCTCTCCCCTCTAGTAACCCACAGTGTATATTGTTCCTACACTTATGTCCATTTGTGCTCAACGTTTACCTCCCATTTATAAGTGGGAATATGCAGTATTTAATTTTCTGTTCCTGCATTAATTTGCTTAGGATTATGGCCTCCAGCTCCATTCATATTGCTGCAAAGGACATTATTTTATTCTTTTTAATGGCTGCATAGTATTCCATTGTGTATATGTACCACATTTTCTTTATCCAATCCTCCATTGATGGACACTTAAGTTGATTCCATTTCTTTACTTTTTAATAATAGGTATTATGAATGGTGTGAGATGGTATCTCATTGTGGTTTTGATTTGCATTTCTCTGATGATTAGTGATGCTAAGAAGTTTTTCATGTGTTTGTTGGCCACTTGTTAGTTTTCTTTTGAGACATATCTCTTCATGTCCATTGACCATTTGTAAATGGAGTTACTTGGTTTTTGCTTGTTCATTTGTTTAAGTTCCCTATGAATTCTGGATATTAGGCCTTGGTCAGATACATAGTTTGTGAATATCTTGTACTCTGTAGACTGTTTAATCTGTTAATAGTTTCTTTTGCTGTGCAGAAGCTCTTTAGTTTAATTAGGTCCCACTTGTCAATTTTTGTTTTTGTTACAATTGCTTGTGGGGATTTAGCCAAAAATTCTTTGCCAAGGTTGATATTGAGAAGAGTATTTCTTAAGTTGTCTTGCAGGA